>NC_000019.10:24908689-25234715 GCF_000001405.40 Homo sapiens
ATCATTTCCACAAACTGCGTTGTGATGTGTTCGTTCAACTCACAGAGTTTAACTTTTCTTTTCATAGAGCAGTTAGGAAACACTCTGTTGGTAAATTCTGTAAGTGGATATTCTGACATCTTGTGGCCTTCGTTGGAAACGGGATTTCTTCATATTCTGCTAGACAGAAGAATTCTCAGTAACTTCCTTGTGTTGTGTTTATTCAACTCTGTGAGTTGAATGATCCTTTACACAGAGCAGACTTGAAACACTCTTTTTGTGGAATTTGCAAGTGGAGATTTCAGCCGCTTTGAGGTCAATGGTAGAAAAGTAAATATCTTCGTATAAAGACTAGACAGAATGATTCTCAGAAACTCCTTTGTGATGTGTGCGTTCAACTCACAGAGTTTAACTTTTCTTTTAATAGAGCAGTTAGGAAACACTCTGTTTGTAAAGTCTGCAAGTGGATATTCAGACCTCTTTGAGGCCTTCGTTGGAAACGGGATTTCTTCATATTATGCTAGACAGAAGAATTCTCAGTAACCTTCCTTGTGTTGTGTGTATTCAACTCACAGAGTTGAACGATCCTTTACAGAGAGCAGGCTTGAAACACTCTTTTTGTCGAATTTGCAAGTGGAGATTTCAGCCGCTTTGAGGTCAATGGTAGAATAGGAAATATCTTCTTATAGAAACTAGACAGAATGATTCTCATAAACTCCTTTGTGATGTGTGCGTCCAACTCACAGAGTTTAACCTTTCTTTTCATAGAGCAGTTAAGAAACACTCTGTTTGTAAAGTCTGCAAGTGGATATTCAGACCTCCTTGAGGCCTTCGTTGGAAACGGGGTTTCTTCATATTCTGCTAGACAGAAGAATTCCCAGTAACTTTCTTGTGTTGTGTGTGTTCAACTCACAGAGTTGAACTTTCATTTACACAGAGCAGATTTGAAACACCCTTTTTGTGGAATTTGCAAATGGAGATTTCAAGCGCTTTGAGGCCAAAGGCAGAAAAGGAAATATCTTCGTATAAAAACTAGACAGAATCATTCTCAGAAACTGCTCTGCGATGTGTGCGTTCAACTCTCAGAGTTTAACTTTTCTTTTCATTCAGCAGTTTGGAAACACTCTGTTTGTAACGTCTGCACGTGAATAATTTGACCACTTAGAGGCCTTCGTTGGAAACGGGTTTTTTTCATGTAAGGCTAGACAGAAGAATTCTCAGTAACTTCCCTTGTGTTGTGTGTATTCAACTCACAGAATTGAACGATCCTTTACACAGAGCAGACTTGAAACACTCTTTTTGTGGAATTTGCAAGTGGAGATTTCAGCCGCTTTGAGGTCAATGGTAGAATAGGAAATATCTTCGTAGAAAAACTAGACAGAAATGATTCTCAGAAACTTCTTTGTGATATGTGCGTTCAACTCACAGAGTTTAACCTTTCTTTTCATAGAGCAGTTAGGAAACACTCTGTTTGTAAACTCTGCAAGTGGATATTCAGACCTCTTTGAGGCCTTCGTTGGAAACGGGATTTCTTCATACTGTGCTAGACAGAAGAATTCTCAGTAACTTCCTTGTGTTGTGTGTATTCAACTCACAGAGTTGAACGATCCTTTACAGAGAGCAGACTTGAAACACTGTTTTTGTGGAATTTGCAAGTGGAGATTTCAAGAGCTTTGGGGCCAAAGGCAGAAAAGGAAATATCTTCGTATAAAAACTAGACAGAAATCATTCTCAGAAACTGCTCTGCGATGTGTGCGTTCAACTCTCAGAGTTTAACTTTTCTTTTCATTCAGCAGTTTGGAAACACTCTGTTTCTAAAGTCTGCACGTGGATATTTTGACCACTTAGAGGCCTTCGTTGGAAACGGGTTTTTTTCCTGTAAGGCTAGACAGAAGAATTCCCAGTAACTTCCTTGTGTTGTGTGCATTCAACTCACAGAGTTGAACGTTCCCTTAGACAGAGCACATTTGAAACACTCTATTTGTGCAATTTGCAATTGTAGATTTCAAGCGCTTTAAGGTCAATGGCAGAAAAGGAAATATCTTCGTTTTAAAACTAGACAGAATCATTCCCACAAACTGCGTTGTGATGTGTTCGTTCAACTCACAGAGTTTAACCTTTCTGTTCATAGAGCAGTTAGGAAACACTCTGTTTGTAAAGTCTGCAAGTGGATATTCAGACCTCCTTGAGGCCTTCTTTGGAAAAGGGATTTCTTCATATTCTGCTAGACAGAAGAATTCTCAGTAACTTCCTTGTGTTGTGTGTATTCAACTCACAGAGTTCAACGATCCTTTCCACAGAGCAGACTTGAAACACTCTTTTTGTGGAATTTGCAAGTGGAGATTTCAGCGGCTTTGAGGTCAATGGTAGAATAGGAAATATCTTCCTATAGAAACTAGACAGAATGACTCTCAGAAACTTCTTTGTGATGTGTGCGTTCAACTCACAGAATTTAACCTTTCTTTTCATAGAGCAGTTAGGAAACACTCTGTTTGTAAACTCTGCAAGTGGATATTCAGACCTCTTTGAGGCCTTCGTTGGAAACGGGATTTCTTCATACTATGCTAGACAGAAGAATTCTCAGTAACTTTCTTGTGTTGTGTGTATTCAACTCACAGAGTTGAATGATCCTTTACACAGAGCAGACTTGAAACACTCTTTTTGTGGAATTTGCAAGTGGAGATTTCAGCCGCTTTGAGTTCAATGGTAGAATAGGAAATATCTTCCTATAGAAACTAGACAGAATGATTCTCAGAAACTCCTTTGTGATGTGTGCGTTCAACTCACAGAGTTTAACCTTTCTTTTCATAGAGCAGTTGGGAAACACTCTGTTTGTATAGTCTGCAAGTGGATATTCAGACCTCTTTGAGGCCTTCGTTGGAAACGGGATTTCTTCATATTCTGCTAGACAGAAGAATTCCCAGTAACTTCCTTGTGTTGTGTGTGTTCAACTCACAGAGTTGAACTTTCATTTACACAGAGCAGATTTGAAACACTCTTTTTGTGGAATTTGCAAGTGGAGATTTCAAGCGCTTTGAGGTCAAAGGCAGAAAAGGAAATATCTTCGTATAAAAACTAGACAGAAATCTTTCTCAGAAACTGCTCTGGGATGTGTGCGTTCAACTCACAGAGTTTAACTTTTCTTTTCATTCAGCAGTTTGGAAACACTCTGTTTGGAAAGTCTGCACGTGGATATTTTGACCTCTTTGAGGCCTTCGTTGGAAACGGGTTTTTTTCATGTAAGGCTAGACAGAAGAATTCCCAGTAACTTCCTTGTGTTGTGTACATTCAACTCACAGAGTTGAACGTTCCCTTAGACAGAGCAGATTTGAAACACCCTTTTTGTGCAATTGGCAAGTGGAGATTTCAAGCGCTTTAAGGTCAATGGCAGAAAAGGAAATATCTTCGTTTCAAAACTAGACAGAATCATTCCCACAAACTGCGTTGTGATGTGTTCGTTCAACTCACAGAGTTTAACCTTTCTGTTCATAGAGCAGTTAGGAAACACTCTGTTTGTAAAGTCTGCAAGTGCATATTCAGACCTCTTTGAGGCCTTCGTTGGAAACGTTATTTCTTCATATTATGCTAGACAGAAGAATTCTCAGTAACTTCCTTGTGTTGTGTGTATTCACCTCACAGAGTTGAACGATCCTTTACACAGAGCAGACTTGTAACACTCTTTTTGTGGAATTTGCAAGTGGAGATTTCAGCCGCTTTGAAGTCAAAGGTAGAAAAGGAAAAATCTTCCTATAAAAACTAGACAGAATGATTCTCAGAAACTCCTTTGTGATGTGTGCGTTCAACTCACAGAGTTTAACCTTTCTTTTCATAGAGCAGTTAGGAAACACTCTGTTTGTAAAGTCTGCAAGTGGATATTGAGACCTCTTCGAGGCCTTCGTTGGAAACGGGTTTTTTTCATATAAGGCTAGACAGAAGAATTCTCAGTAACTTCCTTGTGTTGTGTGTATTCAACTCACAGAGTTGAACGATCCTTTACACAGAGCAGACTTGTAACACTCTTTTTGTGGAATTTGCAAGTGGAGATTTCAGCCGCTTTGAAGTCAAAGTTAGAAAAGGAAATATCTTCCTATAAAACCTAGACAGAATGATTCTCAGAAACTCCTTTGTGATGTGTGCGTTCAACACACAGAGTTTAACTTTTCTTTTCATAGAGCAGTTAGTAAACACTCTGTTTATAAAGTCTGCAAGTGGATATTCAGACCCCTTTGAGGCCTTCGTTGGAAACGGGATTTCTTCATATTATGATAGACAGAAGAATTCCCAGTAACTTCCTTGTGTTGTGTGTGTTCAACTCACGGAGTTGAACTTTGATTTACACAGAGCAGATTTGAAACACTCTTTTTGTGGAATTTGCAAGTGGAGATTTCAAGCGCTTTGAGGCCAAAGGCAGGAAAGGGAATATCTTCGTATAAAAACTAGACAGAATCATTCTCAGAAACTGCTCTGTGATGTGTGCGTTCAACTCTCAGAGTTTAACTTTTCTTTTCATTCAGCAGTTTGGAAACACTCTGTTTGTAAAGTCTGTACGTGGATAATTTGACCACTTAGAGGCCTTCGTTGGAAACGGGTTTTTTTCATGTAAGGCTAGACAGAAGAATTCTCAGTAACTTCCTTGTGTTGTGTGCATTCAACTCACAGAGTTGAACGATCCTTTACACAGAGCAGACTTGAAACACTCTTTTTGTGGAATTTGCAAGTGGAGATTTCAGCCGCTTTGAGTTCAATGGTAGAATAGGAAATATCTTCCTATAGAAACTAGACAGAATGATTCTCAGAAACTCCTTTGTGATGTGTGCGTTCAACTCACAGAGTTTAACCTTTCTTTTCATAGAGCAGTTAGGAAACACTGTGTTTGTAAAGTCTGCAAGTGGATAATCAGACCTCTTTGAGGCCTTCGTTGGAAACGGGATTTCTTCATATTCTGCAAGACAGAGGAATTCTTAGTAACTTCTTTGTATTGTGTGTATTCAACTCACAGAGTTGAACCTTCTTTTAGATAGAGTAGATTTGAAACACACTTTTTGTGGAATTCCCAATTGGAGATTTCAAGCGCTTTGGGGCCAATGGTAGAAAAGGAAAAATCTTCACATAAAAACTAGACAAAATCATTCTCAGAAACTGCTCTGCGATGTGTGCGTTCAACTCTCAGAGTTTAACTTTTCTTTTCATTCAGCAGTTTGGAAACACTCTGTTTGTAAAGTCTGCACGTGGATATTTTGACCACTTAGAGGGCTTCGTTGGAAATGGGTTTTTTTCCTGTAAGGCTAGACACAAGAATTCTCAGTAACTTCCTTGTGTTGTGTGTATTCAACTCACAGATTTGAACGATCCTTTACACAGAGCAGACTTGAAACACTCTTTTTGTGGAATTTGCAAGTGGAGATTTCAGCCGCTTTGAGGTCAATGGTAGAAAAGGAAATATCTTCGTATAGAAACAAGACAGAATGATTCTCAGAAAATCCTTTGTGATGTGTGCGTTCAACTCACAGAATTTAACTTTTCTTTTCATAGAGCCGTTTGGAAACACTCTGTTTGTAAAGTCTGCAAGTGGATATTCAGACCTCTTTCAGGCCTTCGTTGGAAACGGGATTTCTTCATATTATGCTAGACAGAGGAATTCCCAGTAACTTCCTTGTGTTGTGTGTGTTCAACTCACAGAGTTGAACTTTCATTTACACAGAGCAGATTTGAAACACTCTTTTTGTGGAATTTGCAAATGGAGATTTCAAGCGCTTTGAGGCCAAAGGAAGAAAAGGAAATATCTTCGTTTCAAAACTAGACAGAATCATTCTCAGAAACTGCTGCGTGATGTGTGCGTTCAACTCTCAGAGTTTCACTTTTCTTTTCATTCAGCGGTTTGGAAACACTCTGTTTGTAAAGTCTGCACGTGGATATTTTGACCACTTAGACGCCTTCGTTGGAAACGGGTTTTTTTCATGTAAGGCTAGACAGAAGAATTCCCAGTAACTTCCTTGTGTTGTGTACATTCAACTCACAGCGTTGAACGTTCCCTTAGACAGAGCAGATTTGAAACACTCTTTTTGTGCAATTGGCAAGTAGTGATTTCAGCCGCTTTGAGGTCAATGGTAGAAAAGGAAATATCTTCGTATAAAAACTAGACAGAATCATTCCCACAAACTGCGATGTGATGTGTTCGTTCAACTCACAGAGTTTAACCTTTCTGTTCATAGAGCAGTTAGGAAACACTCTGTTTGTAAAGTCTGTAAGTGGATATTCTGACATCTTGTGGCCTTCGTTGGAAACGGGATTTCTTCATATTCTGCTAGACAGAATAATTCTCAGTAACTTCCTTGTGTTGTGTGTATTCAACTGACAGAGTTGAAGGATCCTTTACAGAGAGCAGGCTTGAAACACTCTTTTTGTCGAATTTGCAAGTGGAGATTTCAGCCGCTTTGAGGTCAATGGTAGAATAGGAAATATCTTCTTATAGAAACTAGACAAAATGATTCTCAGAAACTTCTTTGTGATGTGTGCGTTCAACTCACAGAGTTTAACCTTTCTTTTCATAGAGCAGGTAGGAAACACTCTGTTTGTAAACTCTGCAAGTGGATATTCAGACCTCTTTGAGGCCTTCGTTGGAAACGGGATTTCTTCATACTATGCTAGACAGAAGAATTCTCAGAATCTTCCTTGTGTTGTGTGTATCCAACTCACAGAGTTGAACGATGGTTTACACAGAGCAGATTTGAAACACTCTTTTTGTGGAATTTGCAAGTGGAGATTTCAGCCGCTTTGAGGTCCATGGTAGAAAAGGAAATATCTTCGTATAAAAACTAAACAGAATGATTCTCATAAATTCCTTTGTGATGTGTGCGTTCAACTCACAAAGTTTAACCTTTCTTTTCATAGAGCAGTTAGGAGACACTCTGTTTGTAAAGTCTGCAAGTGGATATTCAGACCTCTTTGAGGCCTTCGTTGGAAACGGGATTTCTTCATATTATGCTAGACAGAAGATTTCTCAGTAACTTCCTTGTGTTGTGTGTATTCAACTGACAGAGTTGAACTTTCATTTAGAGAGAGCAGATTTGAAACACTCTTTTTGTGGAATTTGCAAGTGGAGATTTCAAGCGCTTTGGGGCCAAAGGCAGAAAAGGAAATATCTTCGTATAAAAACTAGACAGAATCATTCTCATAAACTGCTCTGCGATGTGTGCGTTCAACTCTCCGAGTTTAACTTTTCTTTTCATTCAGCAGTTTGGAAACACTCTGTTTGTAAAGTCTGCACGTGGATAATTTGACCACTTAGAGGCCTTCGTTGGAAACGGTTTTTTTTTCATGTAAGGCTAGACAGAAGAATTCCCAGTAACTTCCTTGTGTTGTGTGCATTCAGCTCACAGAGTTGAACGTTCCCTTAGAGAGAGCAGATTTGAAACACACTTTTTGTGCAATTGGCAAGTGGAGATTTCAAGCGCTATAAGGTCAATGGCAGAAAAGGAAATATCTTCGTTTCAAAACTAGACAGAATCATTCCCACAAACTGCGTTGTGATGTGTTCGTTCAACTCACAGAGTTTAACCTTTCTGTTCATAGAGCAGTTAGGAAACACTCTGTTTCTAAAGTCTGAAAGTGCATAGTCTGACATCTTGTGGCCTTCGTTGGAAACGGGATTTCTTCATATTCTGCTAGACAGAAGAATTCTCAGAATCTTCCTTGTGTTGTGTGTATTCAACTCACAGAGTTGAACGATCCTTTACACAGAGCAGACTTGAAACACTCTTTTTGTGGAATTTGCAAGTGGAGATTTCAGCCGCTTTGAGGTCGATGGTAGAAAAGGAAATATCTTCGTATAAAAACTAGACAGAATCATTCTCAGAAACTGCTCTGCGATGTGTGCGTTCAACTCTCAGAGTTTAACTTTTCTTTCCATTCAGCAGTTTGGAAACACTCTGTTTGTAAAGTCTGCACGTGGATATTTTGACCACTTAGAGGCCTTCGTTGGAAACGGGTTTTTTTCATGTAAGGCTAGACAGAAGAATTCTCAGTAACTTCCTTGTGTTGTGTGTATTCAACTCCCAGAGTTGAACGATCCTTTACACAGAGCAGACTTGTAACACTCTTTTTGTGGAATTTGCAAATGGAGATTTCAGCCGCTTTGAAGTCAAAGGTAGAAAAGGAAATATCTTCCTATAAAAACTAGACAGAATGATTCTCAGAAACTCCTTTGTGATGTGTGCGTTCAACTCACAGAGTTTAACTTTTCTTTTCATAGAGCAGTTAGGAAACACTCTGTTTGTAAAGTCTGCAGGTGGATATTCAGACCTCTTTGAGGCCTTCGTTGGAAACGGGATTTCTTCATATTATGCTAGGCAGAAGAATTCTCAGTAACTTCCTTGTGTTGTGTGTATTCAACTGACAGAGTTGAACTTTCATTTAGAGAGAGCAGATTTGAAACACTGTTTTTGTGGAATTTGCAAGTGGAGATTTCAAGCGCTGTGGGGCCAAAGGCAGAAAAGGAAATATCTTCGTATAAAAACTAGACATAATCATTCTCAGAATCTGCTCTGTGATGTGTGCGTTCAACTCTCAGAGTTTAACTTTTCTTTTCATTCAGCAGTTTGGAAACACTCTGTTTGTAAAGTCTGCACGTGGATAATTAGACCACTTAGAGGCCTTCGTTGGAAACGGGTTTTTTTCATGTAAGGCTATACAGAAGAATTCCCAGTAACTTCCTTGTGTTGTGTACATTCAACTCACAGAGTTGAACGTTCCCTTAGACAGAGCAGATTTGAAACACTCTTTTTGTGCAATTGGGAAGTGGAGATTTCAAGCGCTTTAAGGTCAATAGCAGAAAAGGAAATATCTTCGTTTCAAAACTAGACAGAATCATTCCCACAAACTGCGTTGTGATGTGTTCGTTCAACTCACAGAGTTTAACCTTTCTGTTCATAGAGCAGTTAGGAAACACTCTGTTTGTTAAGTCTGTAAGTGGATATTCTGACATCTTGTGGCCTTCGTTGGAAACGGGATTTCTTCATATTCTGCTAGACAGAAGAATTCCCAGTAACTTCCTTGTGTTGTGTGTGTTCAACTCACAGAGTTGAACTTTCATTTACACAGAGCAGATTTGAAACACTCTTTTTGTGGTATTTGCAAATGGAGATTTCAGCCGCGTTGAGGTCAATGGTAGAAAAGGAAATATCTTCGTTTCAAAACTAGACAGAACGATTCTCAGAAACTCCTTTGTGATGTGTGCGTTCAACTCACAGAGTTTAACCTTTCTTTTCATAGAGCAGTTAGGAAACACTCTGTTTGTAAAGTCTGCAAGTGGATATTCAGACCTCCTTGAGGCCTTCGTTGGAAACGGGATTTCTTCATATTCTGGTAGACAGAAGAATTCTCAGTAACTTCCTTGTGTTGTGTTTATTCAACTCACAGAGTTGAATGATCCTTTACACAGAGCAGACTTGAAACACTCTTTTTGGGGAATTTGCAAGTGGAGATTTCAGCCGCTTTGAGGTCAATGGTAGAAAAGTAAATATCTTCGTATAAAGACTAGACAGAATCATTCTCAGAAACTGCTGCGTGATGTGTGCGTTCAACTCTCAGAGTTTAACTTTTCTTTTCATTCAGCGGTTTGTAAACACTCTGTTTGTAAAGTCTGCACGTGGATATTTTGACCACTTAGAGGCCTTCGTTGGAAACGGGTTTTTTGCATGTGAGGCTAGACAGAAGAATTCCCAGTAACTTCCTTGTGTTGTGTGCATTCAACTCACAGAGTTGAACGTTCCCTTAGACAGAGCAGATTTGAAACACTCTATTTGTGCAATTTGCAAGTGTAGTTTTCAAGCTCTTTAAGATCAACGGCAGAAAAGGAAATATCTTCGTTTCAAAACTAGACAGAATCATTCCCACAAACTGCGTTGTGATGTGTTCGTTCAACTCACAGAGTTTAACTTTTCCGTTCATAGAGCAGTTAGGAAACACTCTGTTTGTAAAGTCTGCAAGTGGATATTCAGACCTCCTTGAGGCCTTCGTTGGAAACGGGATTTCTTCATATTCTGCTAGACAGAAGAATGCTCAGTAACTTCCTTGTGTTGTGTTTATTCAACTCACAGAGTTGAACGATCCTTTACACAGAGCAGACTTGAAACACTCTTTTTGTGGAATTTGCAAGTGGAGATTTCAGCCGCTTTGAGGTCAATGGTAGAAAAGGAAACTATCTTCATATAAAGATTAGACAGAATGATTCTCAGAAACTCCTTTGTGATGTGTGTGTTCAACTCACAGAGTTTAACCTTTCTTTTCATAGAGCAGTTAGTAAACACTCTGTTTATAAAGTCTGCAAGTAGATATTCAGACCCCTTTGAGGCCTTCGTCGGAAACGGGATTTCTTCATATTATGCTAGACAGAAGAATTCTCAGTAACTTCCTTCTGTTGCGTGTATTCAACTCACAGAGTTGAACGATCCTTTACACAGAGCAGACTTGAAACACTCTTTTTGTGGAATTTGCAAGTGGAGATTTCAGCCGCTTTGAGGTCAATGGTAGAATAGGAAATATCTTCCTATAGAAACTAGACAGAATGATTCTCAGAAACTCCTTTGTGATGTGTGCATTCAACTCACAGAGTTTAACCTTTCTTTTCATAGAGCAGTTAGGAAACACTCTGTTTCTAAAGTCTGCAAGTGGATATTCAGACATCTTTGGGGCCTTCGTTGGAAACGGGATTTCTTCATGTTCTGCTAGACAGAAGAATTCTCAGTAACTTTCCTTGTGTTGTGTGTGTTCAACTCACAGAGTTGAACGATCCTTTACACAGAGCAGACTTGTCACACTCTTTTTGTGGAATTTGCAAGTGGAGATTTCAGCCGCTTTGAAGTCAAAGGTAGAAAAGGAAATATCTTCCTATAAAAACTAGACAGAATGATTCTCAGAAACTCCTTTGTGATGTGTGTGTTCAACTCACAGAGTTCAACCTTTCTTTTCATAGAGCAGTTAGTAAACACTCTGTTTATAAAGTCTGCAAGTGGATATTCAGACCCCTTTGAGGCCTTCGTTGGAAACGGGATTTCTTCTTATTATGCTAGACAGAAGAATTCTCAGAATCTTCCTTGTGTTGTGTGTATTCAACTCACAGATTTGAACGATGGTTTACACAGAGCAGATTTGAAACACTCTTTTTGTGGAATTTGCAAGTGGAGATTTCAGCCGCTTTGAGGTCAATGGTAGAAAAGGAAATATCTTCGTATAAAAACTAGACAGAACGATCCTCAGAAACTCCTTTGTGATGTGTGCGTTCAACTCACAGAGTTTAACTTTTCTTTTCATAGAGCCGTTAGGAAACACTCTGTTTGTAAAGTCTGCAAGTGGATATTCAGACCTCTTTGAGGCCTTCGTTGGAAACGGGATTTCTTCCTATTCTGCTAGACAGAAGAATTCTCAGAAACTTCCCCTGTGTTGTGTGAATTCAACTCACAGAGTTGAACGATCCTTTACACAGAGCAGACTTGAAACACTCTTTTTGTGGAATTTGCAAGTGGAGATTTCAGCCGCTTTGAGGTCAATGGTAGAATAGGGAATATCTTCCTATAGAAACTAGACAGAATGATTCTGAGAAACTCCTTTGTGATGTGTGCGTTCAACTCACAGAGTTCAACCTTTCTTTTCCTAGAGCAGTTGGGAAACACTCTGTTTGTAAAGTCTGCAAGTGGATATTCAGACTTCTTTGAGGCCTTCGTTGGAAGCGGGATTTCTTCATATTCTGCCATACAGAAGAATTCTCAGTAACTTCATTGTGTTGTCTGTATTCAACTCACAGAGTTCAACGATCCTTTACACAGAGCAGACTTGAAACACTCTTTTTCTGGAATTTGCAAGTGGAGATTTCAGCCGCTTTGAGGTCAATGGTAGAAAAAGAAATATCTTCCTATAAAAACTAGACAGAATCATTCCCACAAACTGCGTTGTGATGTGTTCGTTCAACTCACAGAGTTTAACCTTTCTGTTCATAGAGCAGTTAGGAAACACTCTGTTTGTAAAGTCTGTAAGTGGATATTCTGACATCCTGTGGCCTTCGTTGGAAACGGGATTTCTTCATATTCTGCTAGACAGAAGAATTCTCAGTAACTTCCTTGTGTTGTGTGTATTCAACTCACAGAGTTGAACAATCCTTTACACAGAGCGGACTTGAAACACTCTTTTTGTGGAATTTGCAAGTGGAGATTTTAGCCGATTTGAGGTCAATGGTAGAATAGGAAATATCTTCCTATAGAAACTAGACAGAATGATTCTCAGAAACTCCTTTGTGATGTGTGCGTTCAACTCACAGAGTTTAACCTTTCTTTTCATAGAGCAGTTAGGAAACACTCTGTTTGTAAAGTCTGTAAGTGGATATTCAGACCTCTTTGAGGCCTTCGTTGGAAACGGGATTTCTTCATATTGTGCTAGACACAAGAATTCTCAGTAACTTCCTTGTGTTGTGTGGATTCAACTCACAGAGTTGAACGATCCTTTACACAGAGCAGACTTGAAACACTCTTTTTGTGGAATTTGCAAGTGGAGATTTCAGCCGCTTTGGGTTCAATGGTAGAATAGGAAATATCTTCCTATAGAAACTAGACAGAATCATTCCCACAAACTGCGTTGTGATGGGTTCGTTCAACTCACAGAGTTTAACCTTTCCGTTCATAGAGCAGTTAGGAAACACACTGTTTGTAAAGTCTGTAAGTGGATATTCTGACATCTTGTGGCCTTCGTTGGAAACGGGATTTCTTCATATTCTGCTAGACAGAAGAATTCTCAGTAACTTTCCTTGTGTTGTGTGTATTCAACTCACAGAGTTGAACGATCCTTTACAGAGAGCAGACTTGAAACACTCTTTTTGTGGAATTTGCAAGTGGAGATTTCAGCCACTTTGAGGTCAATGGTAGAAAAGGAAATATCTTCGTATAAAGACTAGACAGATTGATTCTCAGAAACTCCTTTTTGATGTGTGTCTTCAACTCACAGAGTTTAAACTTTCTTTTCATAGAGCAGTTAGGAAACACTCTGTTTGTATACTCTGCAAGTGGATATTCAGACCTCTTTGAGGCCTTCTTTGGAAAAGGGATTTCTTCATATTGTGCTAGACAGAAGAATTCTCAGTAACTTTCCTTGTGTTGTGTGTATTCAACTCACAGAGTTGAACGATCCTTTACACAGAGCGGACTTGAAACACTCTTTTTGTGGAATTTGCAAGTGGAGATTTAAGCCGCGTTGAGGTCAATGGTAGAAAAGGAAATATCTTCGTATAAAAACTAGACAGAATGATTCTCCGAAACTCCTTTGTGATGTGTGCGTTCAACTCACAGAGTTTAACCTTTCTGTTCATAGAGCTGTTAGGAAACACTCTGTTTGTAAAGTCTGCAAGTGGATATTCAGACCTCCTTGAGGCCTTCGTTGGAAACGGGATTTCTTCATATTCTGCTAGACAGAAGAATTCTCAGTAACTTCCTTGTGTTGTGTGTATTCAACTCACAGAGTTGAACTGATCCTTTACACAGAGCAGACTTGAAACACTCTTTTTGTGGAATTTGCAAGTGGAGATTTCAGCCGCTTTGAGGTCAGTAGTAGAAAAGGAAATATCTTCGTAGAAAAACTAGACAGAATGATTCTCAGAAACTCCTTTGTGATGTGGGCGTTCAACTCACAGAGTTTAACCTTTCTTTTCATAGAGCAGTTAGGAAACACTCTGTTTGTAAAGTCTGCAAGTGGATACTTGGACTTCTTTGAGGCCTTCGTTGGAAACGGGTTTTTTTCATGTAAGGCTAGACAGATGAATTCTCAGTAACTTCCTTGTGTTGTGTGTATTCAACTCACAGAGTTGAACGATCCTTTACACAGAGCAGATTTGAAACACTGTTTTTCTGGAATTTGCAAGTGGAGATTTCAGCCGCTTTGAGGTCAATGGTAGAAAAGGAAATATCTTCGTATAAAAACTAGACAGAATGATTCTCAGAAACTCCTTTGTGATGTGTGCGTTCAACTCACAGAGTTTAACCTTTCTTTTCATAGAGCAGTTAGGAAACACTCTGTTTGTAAAGTCTGCAAGTGGATATTCAGACATCTTTGAGGCTTTCGTTGGAAACGGGATTTCTTCATATTCTGCTAGACAGCAGAATTCTCAGTAACTTCCTTGTGTTGTGTGTATTCAACTAACAGAGTTGAACGATCCTTTACACAGAGCAGACTTGAAACACTCTTTTTGTGGAATTTGCAAGTGGAGATTTCAGCCGCTTTGAGTTCAATGGTAGAATAGGAAATATCTTCCTATAGAAACTAGACAGAATGATTCTCAGAAAATCCTTTTTGATGTGTGCGTTCAACTCACAGAGTTTAACTTTTCTTTTCATAGAGCAGTTAGGAAACACTCTGTTTGTAAAGTCTGCAAGTGGATATTCAGACCTCTTTGAGGCCTTCGTTGGAAACGTTATTTCTTCATATTATGCTAGACAGAAGAATTCTCAGTAACTGCCTTGTGTTGTGTGTATTCAACTCACAGAGTTGAACGATCCTTTACACAGAGCAGACTTGAAACACTCCTTTTGTGGAATTTGCAAGTGGAGATTTCAGCCGCTTTGAAGTCAATGGTAGAATAGGAAATATCTTCCTATAGAAACTAGACAGAATGATTCTCATAAACTCCTTTGTGATGTGTGCGTTCAACTCACAGAGTTTAACCTTTCTTTTCATAGAGCATTTAGGAAACACTCTGTTTGTAAAGTCTGCAAGTGGATATTCAGACCTCTTTGAGGCCTTCGTTGAAAACGGGATTTCTTCATATTCTGCTAGACAGAAGAATTCTCAGAAACTTCCTTGTGTTGTGTGTTTTCAACTCACAGAGTTGAACGATCCTTTACACAGAGCAGACTTGAAACACTCCTTTTGTGGAATTTGCAAGTGGAGATTTCAGCCGCTTTGAGGTCAATGGTAGAATAGGAAATATCTTCCTATAGAAGGTAGACAGAATGATTCTCATAAACTCCTTTGTGATGTGTGCGTTCAACTCACAGAGTTTAACCTTTCTTTTCATAGAGCAGTTAGGAAACACTCTGTTTGTAAAGTATGCAAGTGGATATTCAGACCTCTTTGAGGCCTTCGTTGGAAACGGGATTTCTTCATATTATGCTAGACAGAAGAATTCTCAGTAACTTCCTTGTGTTGTGTGTATTCAACTCACAGAGTTGAACGATCCTTTACACAGAGCAGACTTGAAACACTCTTTTTGTGAAATTTGCAAGTGGAGATTTCAGCCGCTTTGAGGTCAATGGTAGAAAAGGGAATATCTTCGTATAGAAACTAGACAGAATGATTCTCAGAAACTCCTTTGTGATGTGTGCGTTCGACTCACAGAGTTGAACCTTTCTTTTAATAGAGCAGTTGGGAAACACTCTGTTTGTAAAGTCTGCAAGTGGATATTCAGACTTCTTTGAGGCCTTCGTTGGAAGCGGGATTTCTTCATATTCTGCTAGACAGAAGAATTCTCAGTAACTTCCTTGTGTTGTGTGTATTCAACTGACAGAGTTGAACGATCCTTTACACAGAGCAGACTTGAAACACTCTTTTTGGGGAATTTGCAAGTGGAGATTTCAGCCGCTATGGGGTCAATGGTAGAATAGGAAATATCTTCCTATAGAAACTAGACAGAATGATTCTCAGAAACTCCTTTGTGATGTGTGCGTTCAATTCACAGAGTTTAACTTTTCTTTTCATAGAGCAGTTAGGAAACACTCTGTTTGTAAAGTCTGCAAGTGAATATTCAGACCTCTTTGAGGCCTTCGTTGGAAACGGGATTTCTTCATATTATGCTAGACAGAAGAATTCTCAGTAACTTCCTTGTGTTGTGTGTATTCAATTCACAGAGTTGAACGATCCTTTACAGAGAGCAGGCTTGAAACACTCTTTTTGTGGAATTTGCAAGTGGAGATTTCATCCGCTTTGAGGTCAATGGTAGAATAGGAAATATCTTCCTATAGAAACTTGACAGAATGATTCTCAGAAACTCCTTTGTGATGTGTGCGTTCAACTCACAGAGTTCAACCTTTCTTTTCCTAGAGCAGTTGGGAAACACTCTGTTTGTAAAGTCTGCAAGTGGATATTCAGACATCCTTGAGGCTTTCGTTGGAAACGGGATTTCTTCATATTCTGCTATACAGAAGAATTCTCAGAAACTTCCTGGTGTTGTGTGTTTTCAACTCACAGAGTTCAACGATCCTTTACACAGAGTAGACTTGAAACACTCTTTTCGTGGAATTGGCAAGTGGAGATTTCAGCCGCTTTGAGGTCAATGGTAGAAAAGGAAATATCTTCGTATAAAAACTAGACAGAATGATTCTCAGAAACTCCTTTGTGATGTGTGCGTTCAACTCACAGAGTTTAACCTTTCTTTTCATAGAGCAGTTAGGAAACACTCTGTTTGTAAACTCTGCAAGTGGATATACAGACCTCTTTGAGGCCTTCGTTGGAAACGGGATTTCTTCATACTATGCTAGACAGAAGAATTCTCAGTAACTTCCTTGTGTTGTGTGTATTCAACTCACAGAGTTGAACGATCCTTTACACAGAGCAGACTTGATACATTCTTTTTGTGGAATTTGCAAGTGGAGATTTCAGCCGCTTTGAGGTCAATGGTAGAATAGGAAATATCTTCCTATAGAAACTAGACAGAATGATTCTCAGAAACTCCTTTGTGATGTGTGCGTTCAACTCACAGAGTTTAACCTTTCTTTTCATAGAGCAGTTAGGGAACACTCTGTTTGTAAAGTCTGCAAGTGGATATTCAGACCTCTTTGAGGCCTTCGTAGGAAACGGGATTTCTTCATATTATGCTAGACAGAAGAATTCTCAGTAACTTCCTTGTGTTGTGTGTATTCAACTCACAGAGTTGAACGATCCTTTACAGAGAGCAGACTTGAAACACTCTTTTTGTGGAATTTGCAAGTGGAGATTTCAGCCGCTTTGAGGTCAATTGTAGAAAAGGAAATATCTTCGTATAAAGACTAGACAGAATGATTCTCAGAAACTTCATTGTGATGTGTGCGTTCAACTCACGGAGTTTAACCTTTCTTTTCATAGAGCAGTTAGGAAACACTCTGTTTGTAAACTCTGCAAGTGGATATTCAGACCTCTTTGAGGCCTTCGTTGGAAACGGGATTTCTTCATACTATGCTAGACAGAAGAATTCTCAGTAACTTCCTTGTGTTGTGTGTATTCAACTCACAGAGTTGAACGATCCTTTACACAGAGCAGACTTGAAACACTCTTTTTGTGGAATTTGCAAATGGAGATTTCAAGCGCTTTGAGGCCAAAGGCAGAAAAGGAAATATCTTCGTATAAAAACTAGACAGAATGATTCTCAGAAACTCCTTTGTGATGTGTGCGTTCAACTCACAGAGTTTAACCTTTCTTTTCATAGAGCAGTTAGCAAACACTCTGTTTGTAAAGTCTGCAAGTGGATATTCAGACCTCTTTGAGGCCTTCGTTGGAAACGGGATTTCTTCATATTATGCTAGACAGAAGAATTCTCAGTAACCTCCTTGTGTTGTGTGTATTCAACTCACAGAGTTGAACGATGGTTTACACAGAGCAGAATTGAAACACTCTTTTTGTGGAATTTGCAAGTGGAGATTTCAGCCGCTTTGAGGACAATGGTAGAAAAGGAAATATCTTCGTATAAAAACTAGACAGAATGATTCTCAGAAACTCCTTTGTGATGTGTGCGTTCAACTCACAGAGTTTAACCTTTCTGTTCATAGAGCAATTGGGAAACACTCTGTTTGTAAAGTCTGCAAGTGGATATTCAGACCTCTTTGAGGCCTTCGTTGGAAACGGGATTTCTTCATATTCTGCTAGACAGAAGAATTCTCAGTAACTTCCTTGTGTTGTGTGTATTCAACTCACAGAGTTGAATGATCCTTTACACAGAACAGACTTGAAACACTCTTTTTGTGGAATTTGCAAGTGGAGATTTCAGCCGCTTTGAGGTCGACGGTAGAATAGGAAATATCTTCCTATAGAAACTAGACAGAATGATTCTCAGAAACTTCATTGTGATTTGTGCGTTCAACTCACAGAACTTTAACCTTTCTTTTCATAGAGCAGTTAGGAAACACTCTGTTTGTAAAGTCTGCAAGTGGATATTCAGACCTCTTTGAGGCCCTCGTTGGAAACTGGTTTTTTTCATGTAAGGCTAGACAGTAGAATTCTCAGAAACTTCCTTGTGTTGTGTGTTTTCAACTCCCAGAGTTGAACGATGCCTTACACAGAGTAGACTTGAAAAACTCTTTTTGTGGAATTTGCAAGTGGAGATTTCAGGCGCTTTGAGGTCAATAGTAGAAAAGGAAATATCTTCGTATAAAAACTAGACAGAATGATTCTCAGAAACTCCTTTGTGATGTGTGTGTTCAACTCACAGAGTTTAACCTTTCTTTTCATAGAGCAGTTAGGAAACACTCTGTTTGTAAAGTCTGCAAGTGGATATTCAGACCTCTTCGAGGCCTTCGTTGGAAACGGGTTTTTTTCATATAAGGCTAGACAGAAGAATTCTCAGTAACTTCCTTGTGTTGTGTGTATTCAACTCACAGAGTTGAACGATCCTTTACACAGAGCATACTTGAAACACTCTTCTTGTGGAATTTGCAAGTGGAGATTTCAGCCGCTTTGAGGTCCATGGTAGAATAGGAAATATCTTCCTATAGAAACTAGACAGAATGATTCTCAGAAACTCCTTTGTGATGTGTGCGTTCAACTCACACAGTTTAACCTTTCTTTTCATAGAGCAGTTAGGAAACACTCTGTTTGTAAAGTCTGCAAGTGGATATTCAGACCTCCTTGAGGTCTTCGTTGGAAACGGGATTTCTTCATATTTTGCTAGACAGAAGAATTCTCAGAAACTTCCTTGTGTTGTGTGTTTTCAACTCACAGAGTTCAACGATGCTTTACACAGAGTAGACTTGACACACTCTTTTTGTGGAATTTGCAAGAGGAGATTTCAGCCGCTTTGAGGTCAATGGTAGAAAAGGAAATATCTTCGTATAAAAACTAGACAGAATGATTCTCAGAAACTCCTTTGTGATGTGTGCGTTCAACTCACAGAGTTCAACCTTTCTTTTCATAGAGCAGTTGGGAAACACTCTGTTTGTAAAGTCTGCAAGTGGATATTCAGACTTCTTTGAGGCCTTCGGTGGAAGCGGGATTTCTTCATATTCTGCTAGACAGAAGAATTCTCAGTAACTTCCTTGTGTTGTGTGTATGCAACTCACAGAGTTGAACGATCCTTTACACAGAGCAGACTTGTAACACTCTTTTTGTGGAATTTGCAAGTGGAGATTTCAGCCGCTTTGAAGTCAAAGGTAGAAAAGGAAATATCTTCCTATAAAAACTAGACAGAATGATTCTCATGAACTCCTTTGTGATGTGTGCGTTCAACTCACAGAGTTTAACCTTTCTTTTCATAGAGCAGTTAGGAAACACTCTGTTTGTAAAGTCTGCAAGTGGATATTCAGACCTCCTTGAGGCCTTCGTTGGAAACGGTATTTCTTCATATTCTGCTAGACAGAAGAATTCTCAGTAGCTTCCTTGTGTTGTGTTTATTCAACTCACAGAGTTGAATGATCCTTTACACAGAGCAGACTTGAAACACTCTTTTTGTGGAATTTGCAAGTGGAGATTTCAGCCGCTTTGAGGTCAATGGTAGAAAAGTAAATATCTTCGTATAAAGACTAGACAGAATGATTCTCAGAAACTTCATTGTGATGTGTGCGTTCAACTCACAGAGTTTATCCTTTCTTTTCATAGAGCAGTTAGGAAACACTCTGTTTGTAAACTCTGCAAGTGGATATTCAGACCTCTTTGAGGCCTTCGTTGGAAACGGGATTTCTTCATACTGTGCTAGACAGAAGAATTCTCAGTAACTTCCTTGTGTTGTGTGTATTCAACTCACAGAGTTGAACGATCCTTTACACAGAGCGGACTTGAAACACTCGTTTTGTGGAATTTGCAAGTGGAGATTTCAGCCGTGTTGAGATAAATGGTAGAAAAGGAAATATCTTCGTATAAAAACTAGACAGAATGATTCTCAGAAACTCTTTTGTGATGTGTGCGTTCAACTCACAGAGTTTAACCTTTCTTTTCATAGAGCAGTTAGGAAACACTCTGTTTGTAAAGTCTGCAAGTGGATATTCAGACCTCCTTGAGGCCTTCGTTGGAAACGGGATTTCTTCATATTCTGCTAGACAGAAGAATTCTCAGTAACTTCCTTGTGTTGTGTGTATTCAACTCACAGAGTTGAACGACCCTTTACACAGAGCGGACTTGAAACACTCTTTTTGTGGAATTTGCAAGTGGAGATTTCAGCCGCGTTGAGGTCAATGGTAGAAAAGGAAATATCTTCGTACAAAAACTAGACAGAATCATTCCCACAAACTGCATTGTGATGTGTTCGTTCAACTCACAGAGTTTAACCTTTCTTTTCATAGAGCAGTTAGGAAACAGTCTGTTTGAAAATTCTGTAAGTGGATATTCTGACATCTTGTGGCCTTCGTTGGAAACGGGATTTCTTCATATTCTGCTAGACAGAAGAATTCTCAGAATCTTCCTTGTGTTGTGTGTATTCAACTCACAGAGTTGAACGATGGTTTACACAGAGCAGATTTGAAACACTCATTTGGTGGAATTTGCAAGTGGAGATTTCAGCCGCTTTGAGGTCAATGGTAGAAAAGGAAATACCTTCGTATAACAACTAGACAGAATGATTCTCATAAACTTCTTTGTGATGTGTGCATTCAACTCACAGAGTTTCACCTTTCTTTTCATAGAGCAGTTAGGAAACACTCTGTTTGTAAAGTCTGCAAGTGGATATTCAGACCTCCTTGAGGTCTTCGTTGGAAACGGGATTTCTTCATATTCTGCTAGATAGAAGAATTCTCAGTAACTTCCCTTGTGTTGTGTGTATTCAACTCACGGAGTTGAACGATCGTTTACACAGAGCAGACTTGAAACACTCTTTTTGTGGAATTTGCAAGTGGAGATTTCAGCCGCGTTGAGGTCAATGGTAGAAAAGGAAATATCTTCGTATAAAAACTAGACAGAATGATTCTGAGAAACTCCTTTGTGATGTGTGCGTTGAACTCACAGAGTTTATCTTTTCTTTTCATAGAGCAGTTAGGAAACACTCTGTTTGTAAAGTCTGCAAGTGGATATTCAGACCTCCTTGAGGCCTTCGTTGGAAACGGGATTTCTTCATATTATGCTAGACAGAATAATTCTCAGTAACTTCCTTGTGTTGTGTGTATTCAACTCACAGAGTTGAACGATCCTTTACACAGAGCAGACTTGAAACAATCTTTTTGTGGAATTTGCAAGTGGAGATTTCAGCCGCTTTGAGGTCAATGGTAGAATAGGAAATATCTTCCTATAGAAACTAGACAGAATGATTCTCAGAAACTCCTTTGTGATGTGTGCGTTCAACTCACAGAGTTCAACCTTTCTTTTCATAGAGCAGTTGGGAAACACTCTGTTTGTAAAGTCTGCAAGTGGATATTCAGACTTCTTTGAGGCCTTCGTTGGAAGCGGGATTTCTTCAAATTCTGCTAGACAGAAGAATTCTCAGAAACTTCCTTGTGTTGTGTGTATTCAACTCACAGAGTTGAACGATCGTTTACACAGAGCAGACTTGAAACACTCTTTTTGTGGAATTTGCAAGTGGAGATTTCAGCCGCTTTGAGGTCAATGGTAGAATAGGAAATATCTTCCTATAGAAACTAGACAGAATGATTCTCAGAAACTCCTTTGTGATGTGTGCGTTCAACTCACAGAGTTTAACCTTTCTTTTCATAGAGCAGTTAGGAAACACTCTGTTTGTAAAGTCTGCAAGTGGATATTCAGACCTCCTTGAGGCCTTCTTTGGAAACAGGATTTCTTCATATTCTGCTAGAAAGAAGAATTCTCAGTAACTTCCTTGTGTTGTGTGTATTCAACTCACAGAGCTGAACGATCCTTTACACAGAGCAGACTTGTAACACTCTTTTTGTGGAATTTGCAAGTGGAGATTTCAGCCGCTTTGAAGTCAAAGGTAGAAAAGGAAATATCTTCCTATAAAAACTAGACAGAATGATTCTCAGAAACTCATTTGTGATGTGTGTGTTCAACTCACAGAGTTTAACCTTTCTTTTCATAGAGCAGTTAGTAAACACTCTGTTTATAAAGTCTGCAAGTGGATATTCAGACCCCTTTGAGGCCTTCGTTGGAAACGGCATTTCTTCATATTATGCTAGACAGAAGAATTCTCAGAAACTTCCCTTGTGTTGTGTTTATTCAACTCACAGAGTCGAACGATCCTTTACTCAGAGCAGACTTGAAACACTCCATTTGTGGAATTTGCAAGTGGAGATTTCAGCCGCTTTGAGGTCAATGGTAGAATAGGAAATATCTTCCTATGGAAACTAGACAGAATGATTCTAAGAAACTCCTTTGAGATGTGTGCGTTCAACTCACAGAGTTTAACCTTTCTTTTCATAGAGCAGTTAGGAAACACTCTGTTTGTAAAGTCTGCAAGTGGATATTCAGACCTCTTTGAGGCCTTCCTTGGAAACGGGATTTCTTCATATTATGCTAGACAGAAGAATTCTCAGTAACTTCCTTGTGTTGTGTGTATTCAACTGACAGAGTTGAACTTTCATTTAGAGAGAGCAGATTTGAAACACTGTTTTTGTGGAATTTGCAAGTGGAGATTTCAAGCGCTTTGGGGCCAAAGGCAGAAAAGGAAATACCTTCGTATAAAAACTAGACAGAATCATTCTCAGCAAACTGCTCTGTGATGTGTGCGTTCAACTCTCAGAGTTTAACTTTTCTTTTCATTCAGCAGTTTGGAAACACTCTGTTTGTAAAGTCTGCACGTGGATAATTTGACCACTTAGAGGCCTTCGTTGGAAACGGGTTTTTTTCATGTAAGGCTAGACAGAAGAATTCCCAGTAACTTCCTTGTGTTGCGTGCATTCAACTCACAGAGTTGAACTTTCCCTTAGACAGAGCAGATTTGAAACACTCTATTTGTGCAATTTGCAAGTGTAGATTTCAAGCGCTTTAAGGTCAATGGCAGAAAAGGAAATATCTTCGTTTCAAAACTAGACAGAATCATTCCCACAAACTGCGTTGTGATGTGTTCGTTCAACTCACAGAGTTTAACCTTTCTGTTCATAGAGCAGTTAGGAAACACTCTGTTTGTAAAGTCTGCAAGTGGATATTCAGACCTCCTTGAGGCCTTCGTTGGAAACGGGATTTCTTCATTTTCTGCTAGACAGAAGAATTCTCAGTAACTTCCTTGTGTTGTGTGTATTCAACTCACAGAGTTGAAGGATCCTTTACAGAGAGCAGGCTTGAAACACTCTTTTTGTCGAATTTGCAAGTGGAGATTTCAGCCGCTTTGAGGTCAATAGTAGAAAAGGAAATATCTTCGTAGAAAAACTAGACAGAATGATTCTCAGAAACTCCTTTGTGATGTGTGCGTTCAACTCACAGAGTTTAAACTTTCTTTTCATAGAGCAGTTGGGAAACACTCTGTTTGTAAAGTCTGCAAGTGGATATTCAGACATCCTTGAGGCTTTCGTTGGAAACGGGATTTCTTCATATTCTGCTAGAAAGAAGAGTTCCCACTAACTTCCATGTGTTGTGTGTGTTCAACTCACAGAGTTGAACTTTCATTTACACAGAGCAGATTTGAAACACTCTTTTTGTGGAATTTGCAAATGGAGATTTCAAGCGGTTTGAGGCCAAAGGCAGAAAAGGAAATATCTTCGTATAAAAACTAGACAGAATCATTCTGAGAAACTGCTCTGCGATGTGTGCGTTCAACTCTCAGAGTTTAACTTTTCTTTTCATTCAGCAGTTTGGAAACACTCTGTTTGTAAAGTCTGCACGTGGATAATTTGACCACTTAGAGGCCTTCGTTGGAAACGGGTTTTTTTCATGTAAGGCTAGACAGAAGAATTCTCAGTAACTTCCTTGTGTTGTGTGTATTCAACTCACACAGTTGAACGATCCTTTACACAGAGCAGACTTGTAACACTCTTTTTGTGGAATTTGAAAGTGGAGATTTCAGCCGCTTTGAAGTCAAAGGTAGAAAAGGAAATATCTTCCTATAAAAACTAGACAGAATGATTCTCAGAAACTCCTTTGTGATGTGTGCGTTCAACTCACAGAGTTTAACCTTTCTTTTCATAGAGCAGTTAGGAAACACTCTGTTTGTAAAGTCTGCAAGTGGATATTCAGACCTCTTTGAGGCCTTCGTTGGAAACGGGTTTTTTTCATATAAGGCTTGACAGAAGAATTCTCAGTAACTTCCTTGTGTTGTGTGTATTCAAGTGACAGAGTTGAACGATCCTTTACACAGAGCAGACTTGAAACACTCTTTTTGTGGAATTTGCAAGGGGAGATTTCAAGCGCTTTGGGGCCAAAGGCAGAAAAGGAAATATCTTCGTATAAAAACTAGACAGAATCATTCTCAGAAACTGCTCTGCGATGTGTGCGTTCAACTCTCAGGGTTTAACTTTTCTTTTCATTCAGCAGTTTGGAAGCACTCTGTTTGTAAAGTCTGCAAGTGGATATTTTGACCTCTTTGAGGCCTTCGTTGGAAACGGGTTTTTTTCATGTAAGTCTAGACAGAAGAATTCCCAGTAACTTCCTTGTGTTGTGTGCATTCAACTCACAGAGTTGAACGTTCCCTTAGACACAGCAGATTTGAAACACTCTATTTGTGCAATGTGCAAGTGTAGATTTCAAGCGCTTTAAGGTCAATGGCAGAAAAGGAAATATCTTCGTTTCAAAACTAGACAGAATCATTCCCACAAACTGCGTTGTGATGTGTTCGTTCAACTCACAGAGTTTTACCTTTCTGTTCATAGAGCAGTTAGGAAACACTCTGTTTGTAAAGTCTGTAAGTGGATATTCTGACATCCTTGTGGCCTTCGTTGGAAAAGGGATTTCTTCATATTCTGCTAGACAGAAGAATTCTCAGTAACTTCCTTGTGTTGTGTGTATTCAACTCACAGAGTTGAACGATCCTTTACACAGAGCAGACTTGAAACGTTCTTTTTGTGGAATTTGCAAGTGGAGATTTCAGCCGCTTTGAGGTCAATCGTAGAATAGGAAATATCTTCCTATAGAAACTAGACAGAATGATTCTCAGAAACTCCTTTGTGATGTGTGCGTTCAACTCACAGAGTTTAACCTTTCTTTTCATAGAGCAGTTAGGAAACACTCTGTTTGTAAAGTCTGCAAGTGGATATTCAGACATCCTTGAGGCTTTCGTTGGAAACGGGATTTATTCATATTCTGCTAGACAGAAGAATTCTCAGTAACTTCCTTGTGTTGTGTGTGTTCAACTCACAGAGTTGAACTTTCATTTACACAGAGCAGATTTGAAACACTCTTTTTGTGGAATTTGCAAGTGGAGATTTCAGCCGCTTTGAAGTCAAATGTAGAAAAGGAAATATCTTCCTATAAAAACTAGACAGAATGATTCTCAGAAACTCCTTTGTGATGTGTGCGTTGAACTCACAGAGTTTAACCTTCCTTTTCATAGAGCAGTTAGGAAACACTCTGTTTGTAAAGTCTGCAAGTGGATATTCAGACCTCTTTGAGGCCTTCGTTGGAAACGGGTTTTTTTCATATAAGGCTAGACAGAAGAATTCCCAGTAACTTCCTTGTGTTGTGTGTGTTCAACTCACAGAGTTGAACTTTCATTTACAGAGAGCAGATTTGAAACACTCTTTTTGTGGAATTTGCAAGTGGAGATTTCAAGCGCTTTGAGGCCAACGGCAGAAAAGGAAATATCTTCGTATAAAAACTAGACAGAATGATTCTCAGAAACTTCTTTGTGATGTGTGCGTTCAACTCACAGAGTTTAACCTTTCTTTTCATAGAGCAGTTAGGAAACACTCTGTTTGTAAACTCTGCAAGTGGATAGTCAGACCTCTTTGAGGCCTTCGTTGGAAACGGGATTTCTTCATACTATGCTAGACAGAAGAATTCTCATTAACTTCCTTGTGTTGTGTGTATTCAACTCACAGAGTTGAACGATCCTTTACACAGAGCGGACTTGAAACACACTTTTTGTGGAATTTGCAAGTGGAGATTTCAGCCGCGTTGAGGTCAATGGTAGAAAAGGAAATATCTTCGTATAAAAACTAGACAGAATGATTCTCAGAAAATCCTTTGTGATGTGTGCGTTCAACTCACAGAGTTTAACTTTTCCTTTCATAGAGCAGTTAGGAAACACTCTGTTTGTAAAGTCTGCAAGTGGATATTCAGACCTCTTTGAGGCCTTCGTTGGAAACGGGATTTCTTCATATTATGCTAGACAGAAGAATTCTCAGAAACTTCCTTGTGTTGTGTGTATTCAACTCACAGAGTTGAACGATCCTTTACACAGAGCAGACTTCTAACACACTTTTTGTGGAATTTGCAAGTGGAGATTTCAGCCGCTTTGAGGTCAATGGTAGAAAAGGAAATATCTTCGTATAAAAACTAGACAGAATGATTCTCAGAAACTCCTTTGTGATGTGTGCGTTGAACTCACAGAGTTTAACTTTTCTTTTCATTCAGCAGTTTGGATACACTCTGTTTGTAAAGTCTGCACGTGGATATTTTGAGCACTTAGAGGCCTTCGTTGGAAACGGGTTTTTTTCATGTAAGGCTAGGCAGAAGAATTCCCAGTAACTTCCTTGTGTTGTGTGAATTCAACTCACAGTGTTGAACGTTCCCTTAGACAGAGCATATTTGAAACACTCTATTTGTGCAATTTGCAAGTGTAGATTTCAAGCGCTTTAAGGTCAATGGCAGAAAAGGAAATATCTTCGTTTCAAAACTAGACAGAATCATTCCCACAAACTGCGTTGTGATGTGTTCGTTCAACTCACAGAGTTTAACCTTTCTGTTCATAGAGCATTTAGGAAACACTCTGTTTGTAAAGTCTGTAAGTGGATATTCTGACATCTTGTGGCCTTCGTTGGAAACGGGATTTCTTCATATTCTGCTAGACAGAAGAATTCTCAGTAACTTTCCTTGTGTTGTGTGTATTCAACTCACAGAGTTGAACGATCCTTTACACAGAGCAGACTTGAAACACTCTTTTTGTGGAATTTGCAAGTGGAGATTTCAGCCGCGTTGAGGTCAATGTTAGAAAAGGAAATATCTTCGTATAAAAACTAGACAGAATGATTCTCAGAAACTCCTTTGTGATGTGTGCGTTCAACTCACAGAGTTTAACCTTTCTTTTCATAGAGCAGTTAGGAAACACTCTGTTTGTAAACTCTGCAAGTGGATATTCAGACCTCTTTGAGGCCTTCGTTGGAAACGGGATTTCTCCATACTGTGCTAGACAGAAGAATTCTCAGTAACTTCCTTGTGTTGTGTGTATTCAACTCACAGAGTTGAACGATCCTTTACACAGAGCAGACTTGAAACACTCTTTTTGTGGAATTTGCAGGTGGAGATTTCAGCCGCTTTGAGGTCAATGGTAGAAAAGGAAATATCTTCGTATAAAGACTAGACAGAATGATTCTCAGAAACTCCTTTGTGATGTGTGCGTTCAGCTCACAGAGTTTAACGTTTCTTTTCATAGAGCAGTTAGGAAACACTCTGTTTGTAAAGTCTGCAAGTGGATATTCAGACCTCTTTGAGGCCTTCGTTGGAAACGGGTTTTTTTCATATAAGGCTAGACAGAAGAATTCCCAGTAACTTCCCTTGTGTTGTGTGTGTTCAACACACAGAGTTGAACTTTCATTTACACAGAGCAGATTTGAAACACTCTTTTTGTGGAATTTGCAAGTGGAGATTTCAAGCGCTTTGAGGCCAAAGGCAGAAAAGGAAATATCTTCGTTTCAAAACTAGACAGAATCATTCTCAGAAACTGCTGCGTGATGTGTGCGTTCAACTCTCAGACTTTAACTTTTCTTTTCATTCAGCGGTTTGGAAACACTCTTTTTGTAAAGTCTGCACGTGGATATTTTGACCACTTAGAGGCCTTCGTTGGAAACGGGTTTTTTTCATGTAAGGCTAGACAGAAGAATTCCCAGTAACTTCCTTGTGTTGTGTGCATTCAACTCACCAATTTGAACGTTCCCTTAGACAGAGCAGATTTGAAACACTCTATTTGTGCAATTTGCAATTGTAGATTTCAAGCCCTTTAAGGTCAACGGCAGAAAAGGAAATATCTTCGTTTCAAAACTAGACAGAATCATTCCCACAAACTGCGTTGTGATGTGTTCGTTTAACTCACAGAGTTTAACCTTTCTTTTCATAGAGCAGTTAGGAAACAGTCTGTTTGTAAATTCTGTAAGTGGATATTCTGACATCTTGTGGCCTTCGTTGGAAACGGGATTTCTTCATATTCTGCTAGACAGAAGAATTCTCAGAAACTTCGTTGTGTTGTGTGTTTTCAACTCACAGAGTTCAACGATCCTTTACACAGAGTAGACTTGAAACACTCTTTTTGTGGAATTGGCAGGGTGGAGATTTCAGCCGCTTTGAGGTCAATGGTAGAAAAGGAGATATCTTCGTATAAAAACTAGACAGAATGATTCTCAGAAACTCCTTTGTGATGTGTGCTTTCAACGCACAGAGTTTAACCTTTCTTTTCATAGAGCAGTTAGGAAACACTCTGTTGGTAAAGTCTGCAAGTGGATATTCAGACCTCCTTGAGGCCTTCGTTGGAAACGGGATTTCTTCCTATTATGCTAGACAGAAGAATTCTGAGTATCTTCCTTGTGTTGTGTGTATTCAACTCACAGAGTTGAACGATCCTTTACACAGAGCAGACTTGAAACACTCTTTTTGTGGAATTTGCAAGTGGAGATTTCAGCCGCTTTGAGGTCAATGGTAGAAAAGGGAATATCTTCGTATAGAAACTAGACAGAATTATTCTCAGAAACTCCTTTGTGATGTGTGCGTTCAACTCACAGAGTTTAACCTTTCTTTTCATAGAGCAGTTAGGAAACACTCTGTTTGTAAAGTCTGCAAGTGGATATTCAGACATCTTTGAGGCTTTCGTTGGAAACGGGATTTCTTCATATTCTGCTAGACAGAAGAATTCCCAGTAACTTCCTTGTGTTGTGTGTGTTCAACTCACAGAGTTGAACTTTCATTTACACAGAGCAGATTTGAAACACTCTTTTTGTTGAATTTGCAAGTGGAGATTTCAAGCGGTTTGAGGCCAAAGGTAGAAAAGGAAATATCTTCGTTTCAAAACTAGACAGAATCATTCTCAGAAACTGCTCTGCGATGTGTGCGTTGAACTCTCAGAGTTTAACTTTTCTTTTCATTCAGCAGTTTGGAAACACTCTGTTTGTAAAGTCTGCACGTGGATATTTTGACCACTTAGAGGCCTTCGTTGGAAACGGGTTTTTTTCCTATAAGGCTAGACAGAAGAATTCCCAGTAACTTCCTTGTGTTGTGTGCATTCAACTCACAGAGATGAACGTTCCCTTAGACAGAGCAGATTTGAAACACTCTATTTGTGCAATTTGCAAGTGTAGATTTCAAGCGCTTTAAGGTCAAAGGCAGAAAAGAAAATATCTTCGTTTCAAAACTAGACAGAATCATTCCCACAAACTGCGTTGTGATGTGTTCGTTGAACTCACAGAGTTTAACCTTTCTGTTCATAGAGCAGTTAGGAAACACTCTGTTTGTAAAGTCTGTAAGTGGATATTCTGACCTCTTGTGGCCTTCGTTGGAAACGGGATTTCTTCATATTCTGCTAGACAGAAGAATTCTCAGTAACTTCCTTGTGTTGTGTGTATTCAACTCACAGAGTTGAACGATCCCTTACACAGAGCAGACTTGAAACACTCTTTTTGTGGAATTTGCAAGTGGAGATTTCAGCCGCTTTGAGGTCAATGGTAGAAAAGGAATTATCTTCGTATAAAGACTAGACAGAATGATTCTCAGAAACTTCTTTGTGATGTGTGCGTTCAACTCACAGAGTTTAACCTTTCTTTTCATAGAGCAGTTAGGAAACACTCTGTATGTAAACTCTGCAAGTGGATATTCAGACCTGTTTGAGGCCTTCGTTGGAAACGGGATTTCTTCATACTATGCTAGACAGAAGAATTCTCAGTAACTTCCTTGTGTTGTGTGTATTCAACTCACAGAGTTGAACGATCCTTTACACAGAGCAGACTTGAAACACTCTTTTTGTGGAGTTTGCAATTGGCGATTTCAGCCGCTTTGAGGTCAATGGTAGAATAGGAAATATCTTCCTATAGAAACTAGACAGAATGATTCTCAGAAACTCCTTTGTGATGTGTGCGTTCAACTCACAAAGTTTAACCTTTCTTTTCATAGAGCAATTAGGAAACACTCTGTTTTTAAAGTCTGCAAGTGGATATTCAGACCTCTTAGCGGCCTTCGTTGGAAACGGGATTTCTTCATATTATGCTAGACAAAAGAATTCTCAGTAACTTCCTTGTGTTGTGTGTATTCAACTGACAGAGTTGAACTTTCATTTAGAGAGAGCAGTTTTGTAACACTGTTTTTGTGGAATTTGCAAGTGGAGATTTCAAGCGCTTTGGGGCCAAAGGCAGAAAAGGAAATATCTTCGAATAAAAACTAGACAGAATCATTCTCAGAAACTGCTCTGCGATGTGTGCGTTCAACTCTCAGAGTTTAACTTTTCTTTTCATTCAGCAGTTTGGAAACACTCTGTTTGTAAAGTCTGCACGTGGATAATTTGACTACTTAGAGGCCTTCGTTGGAAACGGGTTTTTTTCATGTAAGGCTAGACAGAAGAATTCTCAGTAACTTCCTTGAGTTGTGTGTATTCAACTCACAGAGTTGCACGATCCTTTACACAGAGCAGACTTGTAACACTCTTTTTGTGGAATTTGCAAGTGGAGATTTCAGCCGCTTTGAAGTCAAAGGTAGAAAAGGAAATATCTTCCTATAACAACTAGACAGAATCATTCCCACAAACTGCGTTGTGATGTGTTCGTTCATCTCACAGAGTTTAACCTTTCTTTTCATAGAGCAGTTAGGAAACACTCTGTTTGTAAATTCTGTGAGTGGATATTCTGACATCTTGTGGCCTTCGTTGGAAACGGGATTTCTTCATATTCTGCTAGACAGAAGTATTCTCAGTAACTTCCTTGTGATGTGTGTATTCAACTCACAGAGTTGAACGATCCTTTACACAGAGCAGACTTGAAACACTCTTTTTGTGGAATTTGCAAGTGGAGATTTCAGCCGCTTTGAGTTCAATGGTAGAATAGGAAATATCTTCCTATAGAAACTAGACAGAATGATTCTCAGAAACTCCTTTGTGATGTGTGTGTTCAACTCACAGAGTTTAACCTTTCTTTTCATAGAGCAGTTAGTAAACAGTCTGTTTATAAAGTCTGCAAGTGGATATTCAGACCCCTTTGAGGCCTTCGTTGGAAACGGGATTTCTACATATTATGCTAGACAGAAGAATTCTCAGTAACTTCATTGTGTTGTGTGTATTCAACTCACAGAGTTGAACGATCCTTTACACAGAGCAGACTTGAAACACTCTTTTTCTGGAATTTGCAAGTGGAGATTTCAGCCGCTTTGAGGTCAATGGTAGAATAGGAAATATCTTCCTATAGAAACTAGACAGAATGATTCTCAGAAACTCCTTTGTCATGTGTGCGTTCAACTCACAGAGTTTAACCTTTCTTTTCATAGAGCAGTTAGGAAACACTCTGTTTCTAAAGTCTGCAAGTGGATATTCAGACCTCTTTGAGGCCTTCGTTGGAAACGGGTTTTTTTCATATAAGGCTAGAGAGAAGAATTCCCAGTAACTTCCTTGTGTTGTGTGTGTTCAACTCACAGAGTTGAACTTTCATTTACACAGAGCAGATTTGAAACACTCTTTTTGTGGAATTTGCAAGTGGAGATTTCAAGCGCTTTGAGGCCAAAGGCAGAAAAGGAAATATCTTCGTGTAAAAACTAGACAGAATCATTCTCAGAAACTGCTCTGCGATGTGTGTGTTCAACTCTCAGAGTTTAACTTTTCTTTTCATTCAGCAGTTTGGAAGCACTCTGTTTGTAAAGTCTGCACGTGGATAATTTGACCACTTAGAGGCCTTCGTTGGAAACGGGTTTTTTTCCTGTAAGGCTAGACAGAAGAATTCCCAGTAACTTCCTTGTGTTGTGTACATTCAACTCACAGAGTTGAACGTTCCCTTAGACAGAGCAGATTTGAAACACTCCTTTTGTGCAATTGGCAAGTGGAGATTTCAAGCGCTTTAAGGTCAATGGCAGAAAAGGAAATATCTTCGTTTCAAAACTAGACAGAATCATTCCCACAAACTGCGTTGTGAGGTGTTCGTTCAACTCACAGAGTTTAACCTTTCTTTTCATAGAGCAGTTAGGAAACAGTCTGTTTGTAAATTCTGTAAGAGGATATTCTGACATCTTGTGGCCTTCGTTGGAAACGGGATTTCTTCATATTCTGCTAGACAGAAGAATTCTCAGTAACTTCCTTGTGTTGTGTGTATTCAACTCACAGAGTTGAATGATCCTTTACACAGAACAGTCTTGAAACACTCTTTTTGTGGAATTTGCAAGTGGAGATTTCAGCCGCTTTGAGGTCAATGGTAGAATAGGAAATATCTTCCTATAGAAACTAGGCAGAATGATTCTCAGAAACTTCTTTGTGATGTGTGTGTTCAACTCACACAGTTTAACCTTTCTTTTCATAGAGCAGTTAGGAAACACTGTGTTTTTAAACTCTGCAAGTGGATATTCAGACCTCTTTGAGGCCTTCGTTAGAAACGGGTTTCTTCATACTGTGCTAGACAGAAGAATTCTCAGTAACTTCCTTGTGTTGTGTGTATTCAACTCACAGAGTTGAACGATCCTTTACACAGAGCAGACTTGTAACACTCTTTTTGTGGAATTTGCAAGTGGAGATTTCAGCCGCTTTGAAGTGAAAGGTAGAAAAGGAAATATCTTCCTATAAAAACTAGACAGAATGATTCTCAGAAACTCCTTTGTGATGTGTGCGTTCAACTCACAGAGTTTAACGTTTCTTTTCATAGAGCAGTTAGGAAACACTCTGTTTGTAAAGTCTGCAAGTGGATATTCAGACCTCTTTGAGGCCTTCGTAGGAAACGGGTTTTTTTCATATAAGGCTAGACAGAAGAATTCCCAGTAACTTCCTTGTGTTGTGTGTGTTCAACTCACAGAGTTGAACTTTGATTTACACAGGAGCAGATTTGAAACACTCTTTTTGTGGAATTTGCAAGTGGAGATTTCAAGCGCTTTGAGGCCAAAGGCAGAAAAGGAAATATCTTCGTATAAAAACTAGACAGCATCATTCTCAGAAACTGCTCTGCGATGTGTGCGTTCAACTCTCAGAGTTTAACTTTTCTTTTCATTCAGCAGTTTGGAAACACTCTGTTTGTAAAGTCTGCACGTGGATATTTTGACCACTTAGAAGCCTTCGTTGGAAATGGGTTTTTTTCCTGTAAGGCTAGACAGAAGAATTCCCAGTAACTTCCTTGTGTTGTGTGCATTCCACTCACAGAGTTGAACGTTCCCTTAGACAGAGCAGATTTGAAACACTCTATTTGTGTAATTTGCAAGTGTAGATTTCAAGCGCTTTAAGGTCAACGGCAGAAAAGGAAATATCTTCGTTTCAAAACTAGACAGAATGATTCCCACAAACTGCGTTGTGATGTGTTCGTACAACTCACAGAGTTTAACCTTTCTGTTCATAGAGCAGTTAGGAAACACTCTGTTTGTAAAGTCTGTAAGTGGATATTCAGACATCTTGTGGCCTTCGTTGGAAACGGGATTTCTTCATATTCTGCTAGACAGAAGAATTCTCAGAATCTTCCTTGTGTTGTTTGTATTCAACTCACACAGTTGAACGATCCTTTACACAGAGCAGATTTGAAACACTCATTTGGTGGAATTTGTAAGTGGAGGTTTCAGCCGCTTTGAGGTCCATGGTAGAAAAGGAAATATCTTCGTATAACAACTAGACAGAATGATTCTCAAAAACTTCTTTGTGATGTGTGCGTTCAACTAACAGAGTTTAACCTTTCTTTTCATAGAGCAGTTAGGAAACACTCTGTTTGTAAACTCTGCAAGTGGATATTCAGACCTCTTTGAGGCCTTCGTTGGAAACGGGATTTCTTCATACTGTGCTAGACAGAAGAATTCTCAGTAACTTCTTTGTGTTGTGTGTATTCAACTCACAGAGTTGAACGATCCTTTACACAGAGCAGACTTGAAACACTCTTTTTGTGGAATTTGCATGTGGAGATTTCAGCCGCTTTGAGGTCAATGGTAGAATAGGAAATATCTTCCTATAGAAACTAGACAGAATGATTCTCAGAAACTCCTTTGTGATGTGTGCGTTCAACTCACAGAGTTCAACCTTTCTTTTCATAGAGCAGTTGGGAAACACTCTGTTTGTAAAGTCTGCAAGTGGATATTCAGAGTTCTTTGAGGCCTTCGTTGGAAGCGGGATTTCTTCATATTCTGCTAGACAGAAGAATTCTCAGTAACTCCCTTGTGTTGTGTGTATTCAACTCACAGAGTTGAACGATCCTTTACACAGAGCAGACTTGTAACACTCTTTTTGTGGAATTTGCAAGTGGAGATTTCAGCCACTTTGAAGTCAAAGGTAGAAAAGGAAATAACTTCCTATAAAAACTAGACAGAATGATTCTCAGAAACTCCTTTGTTATGTGTGCGTTCAACTCACAGAGTTTAACCTTTCTTTTCATAGAGCAGTTAGGAAACACTCTGTTTGTAAAGTCTGCAAGTGGATATTCAGACCTCCTTGAGGCCTTCGTTGGAAGCGGGATTTCTTCATGTTCAGCTAGACAGAAGAATTCTCAGTAACTTTCCTTGTGTTGTGTGTATTCAACTCACAGAGTTGAACGATCCTTTACACAGAGCAGACTTGAAACACTCTTTTTGTGGAATTTGCAAGTGGAGATTTCAGCCGCTTTGAGGTCAAAGGTAGAAAAGGAAACTATGTTCGTATAAAGAGTAGACAGAATGATTCTCAGAAACTCCTTTGTGATATGTGCGTTCAACTCACAGAGTTTAACCTTTATTTTCATAGAGCAGTTAGGAAACACTCTGTTTGTAAAGTCTGCAAGGGGATATTCAGACCTCTTTGAGGCTTTCGTTGGAAACGGGATTTCTTCATATTCTGCTAGACAGAAGAATTCTCAGTAACTTCCTTGTGTAGTGTGCATTCAACTCACAGAGTTCAACGATCCTTTACACAGAGCTGATTAGAAACACTTTTTTTGTTGAATTTGCAAGTGGAGATTTCAGCCGCTTTGAGGTCAATGGTAGAAAAGGAAATATCTTCGTATAAAAACTAGACAGAATGATTCTCAGAAACTCCTTTGTGATGTGTACGTTCAACTCACAGAGTTTAACCTTTCTTTTCTTAGAGCAGTTAGGAAACACTCTGTTTGTAATGTCTGCAAGTGGATATTCAGACCTCTTTGAGGCCTTCGTTGGAAACGGGTTTTTTTCATATAAGGCTAGACAGAAGAATTCTCAGAAACTTCCTTGTGTTGTGTGTTTTCAACTCACAGAGTTGAACGATCCTTTACACAGAGCAGACTTGAAACACTTCTTTTGTGGAATTTGCAAGTGGAGATTTCATCCGCTTTGAGGTCAATGGTAGAATAGGAAATATCTTCCTATAGAAAGTAGACAGAATGATTCTCAGAAACTCCTTTGTGCTGTGTGCGTTCAGCTCACAGAGTTTAACCTTTCTTTTCATAGAGCAGTTAGGAAACACTCTGTTTGTAAAGTCTGCAAGTGGATATTCAGACCTCTTTGAGGCCTTCGTTGGAAACGGGATTTCTTCATATTCTGCTAGACAGAAGAATTCTCAGAATCTTCCTTGTGTTGTGTGTATTCAACTCACAGAGTTGAAAGACCCTTTACACAGAGCGGACTTGAAACACTCTTTTTGTGGAATTTGCAAGTGGAGATTTCAGCCGCGTTGAGGTCAATGGTAGAAAAGGAAATATCTTCGTATAAAAACTAGACAGAATGATTCTCAGAAACTCCTTTGTGATGTGTGCGTTCAACTCACAGAGTTTAACCTTTCTTTTCATAGAGCAGTTAGGAAACACTCTGTTTGTAAAGTCTGCAAGTGGATATTCAGACCTCTTTGAGGCCTTCGTTGGAAACGGGATTTCCTCATATTATGCTAGACAGAAGAATTCTCAGTAACTTCCTTGTGTTGTGTGTATTCAACTCACAGAGTTCAATGATCCTTTACACAGAACAGACTTGAAACACTCTTGTTGTGGAATTTGCAAGTGGAGAATTCAGCCGCTTTGAGGTCAACGGTAGAAAAGGAAATATCTTCCTATAGAAACTAGACAGAATGATTCTCAGAAACTCCTTTGTGATGTGTGCGTTCAACTCACAGAGTTTAGCCTTTCTTTTCATAGAGCAGTTAGGAAACACTCTGTTTGTAAAGTCTGCAAGTGGATATTCAGACCTCTTTGAGGCCTTCGTTGGAAACGGGATTTCTTCATATTCTGCTAGACAGAAGAATTCTCAGTAACTTCCTTGTGTTGTGTGTATTCAACTCACAGAGTTGAACGATCCTTTACACAGAGCGGACTTGAAACACTCTTTTTGTGGAATTTGCAAGTGGAGATTTCAGCCGCATTGAGGTCAATGGTAGAAAAGGAAATCTCTTCGTATAAAAACTAGACAGAATGATTGTCAGAAACTCCTTTGTGATGTGTGCGTTCAACTCACAGAGTTTAACCTTTCTTTTCATAGAGCAGTTAGGAAACACTCTGTTTGTAAAGTCTGCAAGTGGATATTCAGACATCTTTGAGGCTTTCGTTGGAAACGGGATTTCATCATATTCTGCTAGACAGAAGAATTCTCAGAAACTTCCTTGTGTTTTGTGTTTTCAACTCACGGAGTTGAACGATGCTTTACACAGAGTAGACTTGAAACACTCTTTTTGTGGAATTTGCAATTGGAGATTTCAGCCGCTTTGAGGTCAATGGTAGAAAAGGAAATATCTTCGTATAAAAACTAGACAGAATGATTCTCAGAAACTTCTTTGTGATGTGTGCGTTCAACTCACAGAGTTTAACCTTTCTTTTCATAGAGCAGTTAGGAAACACTCTGTTTCTAAACTCTGCAAGTGGATATTCAGACCTCCTTGAGGCCTTCGTTGGAAACGGGATTTCTTCATACTATGGTAGACAGAAGAATTCTCAGAATCTTCCTTGTGTTGTGTGTATTCAACTCACAGAGTTGAACGATCCTTTACACAGAGCAGACTTGAAACACTCTTTTTGTGGAATTTGCAAGTGGAGATTTCAGCCGCTTTGAGGTCAATGGCAGAAAAGGAAATATCTTCGTATGAAAACTAGACAGAATGATTCTCAGAAACTCCTTTGTGATGTGTGCGTTCAACTCACAGAGTTTAACCTTACTTTTCATAGAGCAGTTAGGAAACACTCTGTTTGTAAAGTCTGCAAGTGGATATTCAGACCTCTTTGAGGCCTTCGTTGGAAACGGGATTTCTTCATATTCTGCTAGACAGAAGAATTCTCAGTAACTTCCTTGTGTTGTGTGTATTCAACTCACAGAGTTGAACGATCCTTTACACAGAGCAGACTTGAAACACTCCTTTTGTGGAATTTGCAAGTGGAGATTTCAGCCGCTTTGAGGTCAATAGTAGAAAAGGAAATATCTTCGTAGAAAAACTAGACAGAATGATTCTCAGAAACTCCTTTGTGATGTGTGCGTTCAACTCACAGAGTTTAACTTTTCTTTTCATAGAGCAGTTAGGAAACATTCTGTTTGTAAAGTCTGCAAGTGGATATTCAGACCTCTTTGTGGCCTTCGTTGGAAACGGGATTTCTTCATATTCTGCTAGACAGAAGAATTCTCAGTAACTTCCTTGTGTTGTGTGTATTCAACTGACAGAGTTGAACTTTCATTTAGAGAGAGCAGATTTGAAACACTGTTTTTGTGGAATTTGCAAGTGGAGATTTCAAGCTCTTTGGGGCCAAAGGCAGAAAAGGAAATATCTTCGTAGAAAAACTAGACAGAATCATTCTCAGAAACTGCTCTGCGATGTGTGCGTTCAACTCTCAGAGTTTAACTTTTCTTTTCATTCAGCAGTTTGGAAACACTCTGTTTGTAAAGTCTGCACGTGGATAATTTGACCACCGAGAGACCTTCGTTGGAAACGGGTTTTTTTCATGTAAGGCTAGACAGAAGAATTCCCAGTAACTTCCTTGTGTTGTGTGCATTCAACTCACAGAGTTGAACGTTCCCTTAGACAGAGCAGATTTGAAACACTCTATTTGTGCAATTTGCAAGTGTAGATTTCAAGATCTTTAAGGTCAACGGCAGAAAAGGAAATATCTTCGTTTCAAAACTAGACAGAATGATTCTCATAAACTCCTTTGTGATGTGTGCGTTTAACTCACAGAGTTTAACTTTTCTTTTCATAGAGCAGTTAGGAAACACTCTGTTTGTAAAGTCTATAAGTGGATATTCTGACATCTTGTGGCCTTCGTTGGAAACGGGATTTCTTCATATTCTGCTAGACAGAATAATTCTCAGTAAATTCCTTGTGTTGTGTGTATTCAAGTCACAGAGTTGAACGATCCTTTACAGAGAGCAGACTTGAAACACTCTTTTTGTGGAATTTGCAAGTGGAGATTTCAGCCGCTTTGAGGTCAATAGTCGAAAAGGAAATATCTTCGTAGAAAAACTAGAAAGAATGATTCTCAGAAAATCTTTTGTGATGTGTGCGTTCAACTCACAGAGTTTTACTTTTCTTCTCATAGAGCAGTTAGGAAACACTCTGTTTGTAAAGTCTGCAAGTGGATATTCAGACCTCTTTGAGGCCTTCGTTGGAAACGGGATTTCTTCATATTATGCTAGACAGAATAATTCTCAGTAACTTCCTTGTGTTGTGTTTATTCAACTCACAGAGTTGAATGATCCTTTACACAGAGCAGACTTGAAACACTCTTTTTGTGGAATTTGCAAGTGGAGATATCAGCCGCTTTGAAGTCAATGGTAGAAAAGTAAATATCTTCGTATAAAGACTAGACAGAATGATTCTCATAAACTCCTTTGTGATGTGTGCGTTCAACTCACAGTAGTTTAACCTTTCTTTTCATAGAGCAGTTAGGAAACACTCTGTTTGTAAAGTCTGCATGTGGATATTCAGACCTCTTTGAGGCCTTCCTTGGAAACGGGATTTCTTCATATTCTGCTAGACAGAATAATTCTCAGTAACTTCCTTGTGTTGTGTGTATTCAACTCACAGAGTTGAACGATCCTTTACAGAGAGCAGACTTGAAAAACTCTTTTTGTGGGATTTGCAAGTGGAGATTTCAGCCGCTTTGAGCTCAATGGTAGAATAGGAAATATCTTCCTAAAGAAACTAGACAGAAAGATTCTCAGAAACTCCTTTGTGATGTGTGCGTTCAACTCACAGAGTTTAACCTTTCTTTTCATAGAGCAGTTAGGAAACACTCTGTTTGTAAAGTCTGCAAGTGGATATTCAGACCTGTTTGAGGCCTTCGTTGGAAACGGGTTTTTTTCATATAAGGCTAGACAGAAGAATTCTCAGTAACTTCCTTCTGTTGTGTGTATTCAACTCACAGAATTGAACGATCCTTTACACAGAGCAGACTTGACACACTCTTTTTGTGGAATGTGCAAGTGGAGATTTCAGCCGCTTTGAGGTCAATGGTAGAAAAGGAAAAATCTTCGTATAGAAACAAGACAGAATGATTCTCATAAACTCCTTTGTGATGTGTGCGTTCAACTCACAGAGTTTAACCTTTCTTTTCATAGAGCAGTTAGGAAACACTCTGTTTGTAAAGTCTGCAAGTGGATATTCAGACCTCCTTGAGACCTTCGTTGGAAACGGGATTTCTTCATATTCTGCTAGACAGAAGAATTCTCAGTAACTTCCTTGTGTTGTGTGTATTGAACTCGCAGAGTTGAACGATCCTTTACACAGAGCAGACTTGAAACACTCTTTTTGTGGAATTTTCAAGTGCAGATTTCAGCCGCTTTGAGGTCAATAGTAGAAAAGGAAATATCTTCGTAGAAAAACTAGACAGAATGATTCTCAGAAACTCCTTTATGATGTGTGCATTCAACTCACAGAGGTTAACCTTTCTTTTCATAGAGCAGTTAGGAAACACTCTTTTTGTAAAGTCTGCAAGTGGATAATCAGACCTCTTTGAGGCCTTCGTTGGAAACGGGATTTCTTCATACTATGCTAGACAGAAGAATTCTCAGTAACTTCCCTGTGTTGTGTGTATTCAACTGACAGAGTTGAACTTTCTTTTAGAGAGAGCAGATTTGAAACACTGTTTTTGTGGAATTTGCAACTGGAGATTTCAAGCGCTTTGGCGCCAAAGGCAGAAAAGGAAATATCTTCGTATAAAAACTAGACAGAATCATTCTCAGAAACTGCTCTGCGATGTGTGCGTTCAACTCTCAGAGTTAAACTTTTCTTTTCATTCAGCAGTGTGGAAACACTCTGTTTGTAAAGTCTGCACGTGGATATTTTGACCGCTTAGAGGCCTTCGTTGGAAACGGTTTTTTTTCATGTAAGGCTAGACAGAAGAATTCCCAGTAACTTCCTTGTGTTGTGTGCATTCAACTCACAGAGTTGAACGTTCCCTTAGACAGAGCAGATTTGAAACACTCTATTTGTGCAATTTGCAAGTGTAGATTTCAAGCGCGTTAAGGTCAACGGCAGAAAAGGAAATATCTTCGTTTCAAAACTAGACAGAATCATTCCCACAAACTGCGTTGTGATGTGTTCGTTCAACTCACAGAGTTTAACCTTTCTGTTCATAGAGCAGTTAGGAAACACTCTGTTTGTAAAGTCTGTAAGTGGATATTCTGAAATCTTGTGGCCTTCGTTTTAAACGGGATTTCTTCATATTCTGCTAGACAGAAGATTTCTCAGTAACTTCCTTGTGTTGTGTGTATTCAACTCACAGAGTTGAATGATCCTTTACACAGAACAGTCTTGAAACACTCTTTTTGTGGAATTTGCAAGTGGAGATTTCAGCCGCTTTGGGGTCAATGGTAGAATAGGAAATACCTTCCTATAGAAACTAGACAGAATGATTCTCAGAAAATCTTTTGTGATGTGTGCGTTCAACTAACAAAGTTTAACTTTTCTTCTCATAGAGCAGTTACGAAACACTCTGTTTGTAAAGTCTGCAAGTGTATATTCAGACCTCTTTGAGGCCTTCGTTGGAAACGGGATTTCTTCATATTATGCTAGACAGAATAATTCTCAGTAACTTCCTTGTGTTGTGTGTATTTAACTCACAGAGTTGAAGGATCCTTTACAGAGAGCAGGCTTGAAACACTCTTTTTGTCGAATTTGCAAGTGGAGATTTCAGCCGCTTTGAGGTCAATGGTAGAATAGGAAATATGTTCTTATAGAAACTAGACAGAATGATTCTCAGAAACTCCTTTGTGATGTGTGCGTTCAACTCAGAGTTTAACCTTTCTTTTCATAGAGCAGTTAGGAAACACTCTGTTTGTAAAGTCTGCAAGTGGATATTCAGACCTCTTTGAGGCCTTCGTTGGAAACGGGATTTCTTCATATTATGCTAGACAGAAGAATTCTCAGTAACTTCCTTGTGTTGTGTTTATTCAACTCACAGAGTTGAATGATCCTTTACACAGAGCAGACTTGAAACACTCTTTTTTTGGAATTTGCAAGTGGAGATTTCAGCCGCTTTGAAGTCAATGGTAGAAAAGTAAATATCTTCGTATAAAGACTAGACAGAATGATTCTCAGAAACTTCTTTGTGATGTGTGCGTTCAACTCACAGAGTTTAACCTTTCTTTTCATAGAGCAGTTAGGAAACACTCTGTTTGTAAAGTCTGCAAGTGGATATTCAGTCCTCCTTGAGGCCTTCGTTGGAAGCGGGATTTCTTCATGTTCTGCTAGACAGAAGAATTCTCAGTAACTTCCTTGTGTTGTGTGTATTCAACTCTCAGAGTTCAACGATCCTTTACACAGAGCAGACTTGAAGCACTCTTTTTGTGGAATTTGCAAGTGGAGATTTTAGCCGCTTTGAGGTCAATGGTAGAATAGGAAATATCTTCCTATAGAAACTAGACAGAATGATTCTCAGAAACTCCTTTGTGATGTGTGCGTTCAACTCACAGAGTTTAACTTTTCTTTTCATAGAGCAGTTAGGAAACACTCTGTTTGTAAAGTCTGCAAGTGGATATTCAGACCTCTTTGAAGCCTTCGTTGGAAACGGGATTTCTTCATATTCTGCTAGACAGAAGAATTCCCAGTAACTTCCTTGTGTTGTGTGTGTTCAACTCACAGAGTTGAACTTTGATTTACACAGAACAGATTTGAAACACTCTTTTTGTGGAATTTGCAAGTGGAGATTTCAAGCGCTTTGAGGCCAAAGGCAGAAAAGGAAATATCTTCGTATAAAAACTAGACAGAATCATTCTGAGAAACTGCTCTGTGATTTGTGCGTTCAACTCTCAGAGTTTAACTTTTCTTTTCATTCAGCAGTTTGGAAACTCTCTCTTTGTAAAGTCTGCACGTGCATATTTTGAACACTTAGAGGCCTTCGTTGGAAACGGGTTTTTTTCATGTAAGGCTAGACAGAAGAATTCCCAGTAACTTCCTTGTGTTGTGTGCATTCAACTCACAGAGATGAACGTTCCCTTAGACAGAGCAGATTTGAAACACTCTATTTGTGCAATTTGCAAGTGTAGATTTCAAGCGCTTTAAGGTCAATGACAGAAAAGGAAATATCTTCGTTTCAAAACTAGACAGAATCATTCCCACAAACTGCGTTTTGATGTGTTCGTTCAACTCACAGAATTTAACCTTTCTTTTCATAGAGCAGTTAGGAAACACTCTGTTTGTAAATTCTGTAAGTGGATATTCTGAAATCTTGCAGCCTTCGTTGGAAACGGGCTTTCTTCATATTCTGCTAGACAGAAGAATTCTCAGTAACTTCCTTGTGTTGTGTGTATTCAACTCACAGAGTTGAACGATCCTTTACACAGAGCAGACTTGAAACACTCTTTTTGTGGAATTTGCAAGTGGAGATTTCAGCCGCTTTGAGGTCAATGGTAGAAATGGAAATATCTTCGTATAAAGACTAGACAGAATGATTCTCAGAAACTCCTTTGTGATGCGTGCGTTCAACTCACAGAGTTTAACCTTTCTTTTCATAGAGCAGTTAGGAAACACTCTGTTTGTAAAGTCTGCAATTGGATATTCAGACCTCTATTAGGCCTTCGTTGGAAACGGGATTTCTTCATATTCTGCTAGACAGAAGAATTCTCAGTAACTTCCTTGTGTTGCGTGTTTTCAAATCACAGAGCTGAACGATCCTTTACAAAGAGCAGACTTGAAACACTCTTTTTGTGGAATTTGCAAGTGGAGATTTCAGCCGCTTTGAGGTCAATAGTAGAATAGGAAATATCTTCCTATAGAAACTAGACAGAATGATTCTCAGAAACTCCTTTGTGATGTGTGCGTTCAACTCACAGAGTTTAACTTTTCTTTTATTAGGGCAGTTAGGAAACACTCTGTTTGTAAAGTCTTCAAGTGGATATTCAGACCTCTTTGAGGCCTTCGTTGGAAACGGGATTTCTTCATATTCTGCTAGACAGAAGAATTCTCAGTAACTTCCTTGTGTTGTGTGTATTCAACTCACAGAGTTGAACGATCCTTTACAGAGAGCAGACTTGAAAAACTCTTTTTGTGGAATTTGCAAGTGGAGATTTCAGCCGCTTTGAGGTCAATGGTAGAATAGGAAATATCTTCCTATAGAAACTAGACAGAATGATTCTCAGAAACTCCTTTGTGATGTGTGCGTTCAACTCACATAGTTCAACCTTTCTTTTCATAGAGTAGTTGGGAAACACTCTGTTTGTAAAGTCTGCAAGTGGATATTCAGACTTCTTTGAGGCCTTCGTTGGAAGCGGGATTTCTTCATATTCTGCTAGACAGAAGAATTCTCAGAAACTTCCTTGTGTTGTGTGTTTTCAACTCACAGAGTTGAACGACCCTTTACACAGAGCAGAATTGAAACACTCTCTTTGTGGAATTTGCAAGTGGAGATTTCAGCCGCTTTGAGGTCAATGGTAGAAAAGGAAATATCTTCGTATAAAAACTAGACAGAATGATTCTCAGAAACTCCTTTGTGATGTGTGCGTTCAACTCACAGAGTTTAACCTTTCTTTTCATAGAGCAGTTGGGAAACACTCTGTTCGTAAACTCTGCAAGTGGATATTCAGACCTCTTTGAGGCCTTCGTTGGAAACGGGATTTCTTCATATTCTGCTAGACAGAAGAATTCTCAGAAACTTCCTTGTGTTGTGTGTATTCAACTCACACAGTTGAACGATCCTTTACACAGAGCAGACTTGAAACACTCTTTTTGTGGAATTTGCAAGTGGAGATTTCAGCCGCTTTGAGGTCAATGGTAGAATAGGAAATATCTTCCTATAGAAACTAGACAGAATGATTCTCAGAAACTCCTTTGTGATGTGTGCGTTCAACTCACAGAGTTTAACCTTTCTTTTCATAGAGCAGTTAGGAAACACTCTGTTTATAATGTCTGCAAGTGGATATTCAGACCTCTTTGAGGCCTTCGTTGGAAACGGGATTTCTTCATATTATGCTAGACAGAAGAATTCTCAGTAACTTCCTTGTGTTGTGTGTATTCAACCCACAGAGTTGAACGATCCTTTACACAGAGCATACTTGGAACACTCTTCTTGTGGAATTTGCAAGTGGAGATTTCAGCCGCTTTGAGATCAATGGTAGAATAGGAAATATCTTCGTATAAAAACTAGACAGAATGATTCTCAGAAAATCCTTTGTGATGTGTGTGTTCAACTCACAGCAGTTTAACCTTTCTTTTCATAGAGCAGTTAGTAAACACTCTGTTTATAAAGTCTGCAAGTGGATATTCAGACACCTTTGAGGACTTCGTTGGAAATGGGATTTCTTCATATTATGCTAGACAGAAGAATTCTCAGTAACTTCCTTGTGTTGTGTGTATTCAACTCACAGACTTGAACGATCCTTTACACAGAGCAGACTTGAAACACTCTTTTTGTGGAATTTGCAAGTGGAGATTTCAGCCGCTTTGAGGTCAATGGTAGAAAAGGTAACTATCTTCGTATAAAGACTAGACAGAATGTTTCTCAGAAACTCCTTTGTGATGTGTGCGTTCAACTCACAGAGTTTAACCTTTCTTTTCATAGAGTAGTTAGGAAACACTCTGTTTGTAAAGTCTGCAAGTGGATATTGAGACCTCTTTGAGGCCTTCGTTGGAAACGGGATTTCTTCATATTCTGCTAGACAGAAGAATTCTCAGTAACTTCCTTGTGTTGTGTGTATTCAACTCACAGAGTTGAACGATCCTTTACACAGAGCAGACTTGGAACACTGTTTTTGTGGAATTTGCAAGTGGAGATTTCAGCCGCGTTGAGGTCAATGGTAGAAAAGGAAATATCTTCGTATAAAAACTAGACAGAATGATTCTCAGAAACTCCTTTGTGATGTGTGCGTTCAACTCACAGAGTTGAAGTTTTCTTTTCTTAGAGCAGTTAGGAAACACTCTGTTTGTAAAGTCTGCAAGTGGATATTCAGACCTCTTTGAGGCCTTCGTTGGAAACGGGGTTTCTTCATATTCTGCTAGACAGAAGAATTCTCAGTAACTTCCTTGTGTTGTGTGTATTCAACTCACAGAGTTGAACGATCCTTTACACAGAGCAGACTTGAAACACTCTTTTTGTGGGATTTGCAAGTGGAGATTTCAGCCGCTTTGAGGTCAATGGTAGAAAAGGAAATATCTTCGTATAAAGACTAGACAGAATGATTCTCAGAAACTCCTTTGTGATGTGTGTGTTCAACTCACAGAGTTTATCCTTTCTTTTCATAGAGCAGTTAGGAAACACTCTGTTTGTAAAGTCTGCAAGTGGATATTCAGACATCCTTGGGGCTTTCGTTGGAAACGGGATTTCTTCATATTCTGCTAGAAAGAAGAATTCTCAGTAACTTCCTTGTGTTGTGTGTATTCAACTCACAGAGTTGAACGATCCTTTACACAGAGCAGACTTCAAACACTCTTTTTGTGGAATTTGCAAGTGGAGATTTCAGCCGCTTTGAGGTCAATGGTAGAAAAGGAAACTATCTTCATATAAAGACTAGACAGAATGATTCTCAGAAACTCTTTTGTGATGTGTGCATTCAACTCACAGAGTTTAACCTTTCTTTTCATAGAGCAGTTAGGAAACACTCTGTTTGTAAAGTCTGCAAGTGGATATTCAGACCTCTTTGAGGCCTTCGTTGGAAACGGGATTTCTTCATATTATGCTAGAAAGAAGAATTCTCAGTAACTTCCTTGTGTTGTGTGTATTCAACTCACAGAGTTGAACGATCCTTTACACAGAGCAGACTTGAAACACTCTTTTTGTGGAATTTGCAATTGGAGATTTCAGCCCCTTTGAGGTCAATGGTAGAATAGGAAATATCTTCCTATAGAAACTAGACAGAATGATTCTCAGAAACTCCTTTGTGATGGGTGTGTTCAACTCACAGAGTTTAACCTTTCTTTTCATAGAGCAGTTAGTAAACACTCTGTTTATAAATTCTGCATGTGGATATTCAGATCCCTTTGAGGCCTTCGTTGGAAACGGGATTTCTTCATATTATGCTAGACAGAAGAATTCTCAGAAACTTCCTTGTGTTGTGTGTTTTCAACTCACAGAGTTGAACGATCCTTTACACAGAGCAGACTTGAAACACTCTTTTTGTGGAATTTGCAAGTGGAGATTTCAGCCGCTTTGAGGTCAATGGTAGAATAGGAAATATCTTCGTATAAAAACTAGACAGAATGATTCTCAGAAACTCCTTTGTGATGTGTGCGTTCAACTCACAGAGTTTAACCTTTCTCTTCATAGAGCAGTTAGGAAACACTCTGTTTGTAAAGTCTGCAAGTGGATATTCAGACCTCTTTGAGGCCTTCGTTGGAAACGGTATTTCTTCATATTCTGCTAGACAGAAGAATTCTCAGTAACTTCCTTGTGTTGTGTGTATTCAACTCACAGAGTTGAATGATCCTTTACACAGAACAGACTTGAATCACTCTTGTTGTGGAATTTTCAAGTGGAGATTTCAGCCGCTTTGTGGTCAACGGTAGAATAGGTAATATCTTCCTATAGAAACTAGACAGAATGATTCTCAGAAACTCCTTTGTGATGTGTGCGTTCAAATCACAGAGTTTAACCTTTCTTTTCATAGAGCAGTTAGGAAACACTCTGTTTGTAAAGTCTGCAAGTGGATATTCAAACCCCTTTGAGGCCTTCGTTGGAAACGGTATTTCTTCATATTCTGCTAGACAGAAGAATTCTCAGTAACTTCCTTGTGTTGTGTGTATTCAACTCACAGAGTTGAACGATCCTTTACACAGAGCAGAATTGAAACACTCTTTTTGTGGAATTTGCAAGTGGAGATTTCAGCCGCGTTGAGGTCAATGGTAGAAAAGGAAATATCTTCGTATAAAAACTAGACAGAATGATTCTCAGAAACTCCTTTGTGATGTGTGCATTCAACTCACAGAGTTTAACCTTTCTTTTCATAGAGCAGTTAGGAAACACTCTGTTTGTAAAGTCTGCAAGTGGATATTCAGACCTCTTTGAGGCCTTCGTTGGAAATGGGATTTCTTCATATTCTGCTAGAGAGAAGAATTCTCAGTAACTTCATTGTGTTGTGTGTATTCAACTCACAGATTTCAACGATCCTTTACACAGAGCAGACTTGAAACACTCTTTTTCTGGAATTTGCAAGTGGAGATTTCAGCCGCTTTGAGGTCAATGGTAGGATAGGAAATATCTTCCTATAGAAACTAGACAGAATGATTCTCAGAAACTCCTTTGTGATGTGTGCGTTCAACTCACAGAGTTTAACCTTTCTTTTCATAGAGCAGTTAGGAAACACTCTGTTTGTGAAGTCTGCAAGTGGATATTCAGACCTCTTTGAGGCCTTCGTTGGAAACGGGTTTTTTTCATATAAGGCTAGACAGAAGAATTCTCAGAAACTTCCTTGTGTTGTGTGTATTCAACTCACAGAGTTGAACGATCCTTTACACAGGGCAGACTTGAAACACTCTTTTTGTGGAATTTGCAAATGGAAATTTCAGCCGCTTTGAGGTCAATGGTAGAAAAGGAAATATCTTCGTATAAAAACTAGACAGAATGATTCTCAGAAACTACTTTGTGCTGTGTGCGTTCAGCTCACAGAGTTTAACCTTTCTTTTCATAGAGCAGTTAGGAAACACTCTGTTTGTAAAGTCTGCAAGTGGATATTCAGACATCTTTGTGGCTTTCGTTGGAAACGGGATTTCTTCATATTCTGCTAGACAGAAGAATTCTCAGAAACTTCCTTGTGTTGTGTGTTTTCAACTCACAGAGTTCAACGATCCATTACACAGAGTAGACTTGAAACACTCTTTTTGTGGAATTGGCAAGTGGAGATTTCAGCCGCTTTGAGGTCAATGGTAGAAAAGGAAATATGCTTCGTATAAAAACTAGACAGAACGATTCTCAGAAACTCCTTTGTGATGTGTGCGTTCAACTCACAGAGTTTAACCTTTCTTTTCATAGAGCAGTTAGGAAACACTCTGTTTGTAAAGTCTGCAAGTGGATATTCAGACCTCTTTGAGGCCTTCATTGGAAACGGGATTTCTTCCTATTCTGCTAGACAGAAGAATTCTCAGTAACTTCCTTGTGTTGTGTGTATTCAACTCACAGAGTTGGACGATCCTTTACACAGAGCAGACTTGAAACACTCTTTTTGTGGAATTTGCAAGTGGAGGTTTCAGCCGCTTTGAGGTCAGTAGTAGAAAAGGAAATATCTTCGTAGAAAAACTAGACAGAATGATTCTCAGAAACTCCTTTGTGATGTGTGCGTTCAGCTCACAGAGTTTAACCTTTCTTTTCATAGAGCAGTTAGGAAACACTCTGTTTGAAAAGTCTGCAAGTGGATATTCTGACCTCCTTCAGGGCTTCGTTGGAAATGGGATTTCTTCATATTATGATGGACAGAAGAATTCTCAGTAACTTCCTTGTAGTGTGTGTATTCAACTCACAGAGTTAAACGATCCTTTACACAGAGCAGACTTGAAACACTCTTGTTGTGGAATTTCCAAGTGGAGATTTCAGCCGCTTTGAGGTCAATGGTAGAATAGGAAATATCTTCCTATAGAAACTAGACAGAAGGATTCTCAGAAACTCCTTTGTGATGTGTGCGTTCATCTCACAAAGTTTAACCTTTCTTTCCATAGAGCAGTTAGGAAACACTCTGTTTGTAAAGTCTGCAAGTAGATATTCAGACCTTTTTCAGGCCTTCGTTGGAAACGGGATTTCTTCATACTCTGCTAGACAGAAGAATTCTCAGAAACTTCCTTGTGTTGTGTGTTTTCAACTCACAGAGTTGAACGATGCTTTACACAGAGTAGACCTGAAACACTCTTTTTGTGTAATTTGCAAGTGGAGATTTCAGCCGCTTTGAGGTCAATGGTAGAAAAGGGAATATCTTCGTATAAAAACTAGACAGAATGATTCTCAGAAACTCCTTTGTGATGTGTGTGTTCAACTCACAGAGTTTAACCTTTCTTTTCATAGAGCAGTTAGGAAACACTCTGTTTGTAATGTCTGCACGTGGATATTTGGACTTCTTTGAGGCCTTCGTTGGAAACGGGTTTTTTTCATTTAAGGCTAGACAGAAGAATTCTCAGAAACTTCCTTGTGTTGTGTGTATTCAACTCACAGAGTTGAACGATCCTTTACACAGAGCAGACTTGAAACACTCTTTTTGTGGAATTTGCAAGTGGAGATTTCAGCCGCTTTGAGTTCAATGGTAGAATAGGAAATATCTTCCTATAGAAGCTAGACAGAATGATTCTCAGAAACTTCTTTGTGATGTGTGCGTTCAACTCACAGAGTTCAACCTTTCTTTTCATAGAGCAGTTAGGAAACACTCTGTTTGTAAACTCTGCAAGTGGATATTCAGACCTGTTTGAGGCCTTCGTTGGAAACGGGATTTCTTCATACTATGCTAGACAGAAGAATTCTCAGTAACTTCCTTGTGTTGTGTGTATTCAACTCACAGAGTTGAACGATCCTTTACACAGAGCAGACTAGAAACATTCTTTTTGTGGAATTTGCAAGAGGAGATTTCAGCCGCTTTGAGGTCAATGGTAGAATAGGAAATATCTTCCTATAGAAACTAGACAGAACGATTCTCAGAAACTCCTTTGTGATGTGTGCGTTCAACTCACAGAGTTTAACCTTTCTTTTCATACAGCAGTTAGGAAACACTCTGTTTGTAAAGTCTGCAAGTGGATATTCAGACCTCTTTGAGGCCTTCGTTGGAAACGGGATTTCTTCCTATTCTGCTAGACAGAATAATTCTCAGTAACTTCCTTGTGTTGTGTGTATTCAACTCACAGAGTTGAACGATCCTTTACACAGAGCAGACTTGAAACTCTCTTTTTGTGGAATTTGCAAGTGGAGATTTCAGCCGCTTTGAGGTCAATAGTAGAAAAGGAAATATCTTCGTAGAAAAACTAGACAGAATGATTCTCAGAAACTCCTTTGTGATGTGTGTGTTCAACTCACAGAGTTTAACCTTTCTTTTCATAGAGCAGTTAGTAAACACTCTGTTTATAAAGTCTGCAAGTGGATATTCAGAACCCTTTGAGGCCTTCGTTGGAAACGGGATTTCTTCATATTATGCTAGACAGAAGAATTCCCAGTAACTTCCTTGTGTTGTGTGTGTTCAATTCACAGAGTTGAACTTTGATTTACACAGAGCAGATTTGAAACACTCTTTTTGTGGAATTTGCAAGTGGAGATTTCAAGCGCTTTGAGGCCAAAGGCAGAAAAGGAAATATCTTCGTATAAAAACTATACAGAATCATTCTCAGAAACTGCTGCGTGATGTGTGTGTTCAACCCTCAGAGTTTAACTTTCCTTTTCATTCAGCGGTTTGGAAACACTCTGTTTGTAAAGTCTGCACGTGGATATTTTGACCACTTAGAGGTCTTCGTTGGAAACGGGTTTTTTTCATGTAAGGCTAGACAGAAGAATTCCTAGTAACTTCCTTGTGTTGTGTACATTCAACTCACAGAGTTGAACGTTCCCTTAGACAGAGCAGATTTGAAACACTCTTTTTGTGCAATTGGCAAGTGGTGATTTCAGCCGCTTTGAGGTCAATGGTAGAAAGGGAAATATCTTCGTATTAAAACTAGACAGAATGATTCTCAGAAACTCCTTTGTGATGTGTGCGTTCAACTCACAGAGTTTAACCTTTCTGTTCATAGAGCAGTTAGGAAACACTCTGTTTGTAAAGTCTGCAAGTGGATATTCAGACCTCCTTGAGGCCTTCGTTGGAAACGGGATTTCTTCATGTTCTGCTAGACAGAAGAATTCTCAGTAACTTCCTTGTGTTGTGTGTATTCAACTCACAGAGTTGAACGATCCTTTACACAGAGCAGACTTGAAACACTCTTTTTGTGGAATTGGCAAGTGGAGATTTCAGCCGCTTTGAGGTCAATGGTAGAAAAGGAAATATCTTCGTATAAAGACTAGACAGAATGATTCTCAGAAACTTCATTGTGATGTGTGCGTTCAACTCACAGAGTTTAACCTTTCTTTTCATAGAGCAGTTAGGAAACACTCTGTTTGTAAAGTCTGCAAGTGGATATTCAGACCTCTTTGAGGCCTTCGTTGGAAACGGGTTTTTTTCATAAAAGGCTAGACAGAAGAATTCTCAGTAACTTCCTTGTGTTGTGTGTATTCAACTGACAGAGTTGAACTTTCATTTAGAGAGAGCAGATTTGAAACACTGTTTTTGTGGAATTTGCAAGTGGAGATTTCAAGCGCTTTGGAGCCAAAGGCAGAAAAGGAAATATCTTCGTATAAAAACTAGACAGAATCATTCTCAGAAACTGCTCTGCGATGTGTGCGTTCAACTCTCAGAGTTTAACTTTTCTTTTCATTCAGCAGTTTGGAAACACTCTGTTGGTAAAGTCTGCACGTGGATATTTTGACCACTTAGAGGCCTTCGTTGGAAACGGGATTTTTTCCTGTAAGGCTAGACAGAAGAATTCCCAGTAACTTCCTTGTGTTGTGTGCATTCAACTCACAGAGTTGAACGTTCCCTTAGACAGAGCAGATTTGAAACATTCTATTTGTGTAATTTGAAAGTGTAGATTTCAAGCGCTTTAAGGTCAATGGCAGAAAAGGAAATATCTTCGTTTCAAAACTAGACAGAATCATTCCCACAAACTGCGTTGTCATGTGTTCGTTCAACTCACAGAGTTTAACCTTTCTTTTCATAGAGCAGTTAGGAAACAGTCTGTTTGTAAATTCTGTAAGTGGATATTCTGACATCTTGTGGCCTTCGTTGGAAACGGGATTTCTTCATATTCTGCTAGACAGAAGAATTCTCAGTAACTTCTTGGTGTTGTGTGTATTCAACTCACAGAGTTGAACGATGCTTTACACAGAGCAGACTTGAATCACTCGTTTTGTGGAATTTGCAAGTGGAGATTTCAGCCGCTTTGAGGCCAAAGGCAGAAAAGGAAATATCTTCGTATAAAAACTAGACAGAATGATTCTCAGAAACTCCTTTGTGATGTGTGCGTTCAACTCACAGAGTTTAACCTTTCTTTTCATAGAGCAGTTAGGAAACACTCTGCTTGTAAAGTCTGCAAGTGCATATTCAGCCCTCTTTGAGGCCTTCGTTGGAAACGGGTTTTTTTCATATAAGGCTAGACAGAAGAATTCTCAGTAACTTCCTTGTGTCGTGTGTATTCAACTCACAGAGTTGAATGATCCTTTACAAAGAGCAGACTTGAAACACTCTTTTTGTGGAATTTGCAAGTGGAGATTTCAGCCGCTTTGAGGTCAGTGGTAGAATAGGAAATATCTTCGTATAAAAACTAGACAGAATGATTCTCAGAAACTCCTTTGTGATGTGTGCGTTCAACTCACAGAGTTTAACCTTTCTTTTCATAGAGCAGTTAGGAAACACTCTGTTTATAAAGTCTGCAAGTGGATATTCAGACCTCTTTGAGGCCTTCGTTGGAAACGGGATTTCTTGATACTATGCTAGACAGAAGAATTCTCAGTAACTTCCTTGTGTTGTGTGTATTCAACTGACAGAGTTGAACTTTCATTTAGACAGAGGAGATTTGAAACACTCTTTTTGTGGAATTTGCAAGTGGAGATTTCAAGCGCTTTGATTCCAAAGGCAGAAAAGGAAATATCTTCGTATAAAAACTAGACAGAATCATTCTCAGAAACTGCTCTGCGATGTGTGAGTTCAACTCTCAGAGTTTAACTTTTCTTTTCATTCAGCAGTTTGGAAACACTCTGTTTGTAAAGTCTGCACGTGGATAACTTGACCACTTAGAGGCCTTCGTTGGAAACGGGTTTTTTTCTTGTAAGGCTAGACAGAAGAATTCCCAGGAACTTCCTTGTGTTGTGTACATTCAACTCACAGAGTTGAACGTTCCCTTAGACAGAGCAGATTTGAAACACTCTTTTTGTGCAATTGGCAAGTGGTGATTTCAGCCGCTTTGAGGTCAATGGTAGAAAAGGAAATATCTTCTTATAAAAACTAGACAGAATCATTCCCAAAAACTGCGTTGTGATGTGTTCCTTCATCTCACAGAGTTTAACCTTTCTTTTCATAGAGCAGTTAGGAAACAGTCTGTTTGTAAATTCTGTAAGTGGATATTCTGACATCTTGTGGCCTTCGTTGGAAACGGGATTTCTTCATATTCTGCTAGACAGAAGAATTCTCAGTAACTTCCTTGTGTTGTGTGCATTCAACTCACAGAGTTGAACGATACTTTACACAGGGCAGACTTAAAACACTCTTTTTGTGGAATTTGCAAGCGGAGATTTCAGCCTCTTTGAGGTTAATGGTAGAAAATGAAATATCTTCGTATAGAAACTAGACAGAATGATTCTCATAAACTCCTTTGTGATGTGTGCCTTCAACTCACAGAGTTTAACCTTTCTTTTCATAGAGCAGTTAGTAAACACTCTGTTTATAAAGTCTGCAAGTGGATATTCAGACCCCTTTGAGGCCTTCGTTGGAAACGGGATTTCTTCATATTATGCTAGACAGAAGAATTCTCAGTAACTTCCTTGTGTTGTGTGTATTCAACTCGCAGAGTTGAACGATCCTTTACACAGAGCAGACTTGAAACACTCTTTTTGTGGAATTTGCAAGTGGAGATTTCAGCCGCTTTGGGTTGAATGGTAGAATAGGAAATATCTTCCTATAGAAACTAGACAGAGTGATTCTCAGAAACTCCTTTGTGATGTCTGCGTTCAACTCACAGAGTTTAACCTTTCTTTTCATAGAGCAGTTAGGAAACACTCTGTTTGTAAAGTCTGCAAGTGGATATTCAGACCTCCTTGAGGCCTTCGTTGGAAACGGTATTTCTTCATATTCTGCTATACAGAAGAATTCCCAGTAACTTCCTTGTGTTGTGTGTGTTCAACTCTGTGAGTTGAACTTTCATTTACACAGAGCAGATTGGAAACACTCTTTTTGTGGAATTTGCAAGTGGAGATTTCAAGCGCTTTGAGGCCAAAGGCAGAAAAGGAAATATCCTTCGTATAAAAACTAGACAGAATCATTCTCAGAAACTGCTCTGCGATGTGTGCGTTCAACCCTCAGAGTTTAACTTTTCTTTTCATTCAGCAGTTTGGAATCACTCTGTTTGTAAAGTCTGCACGTGGATATTTTGACCACTTAGAGGCCTTCGTTGGAAACTGGTTTTTTTCCTGTAAGGCTAGACAGAAGAATTCCCAGTAAATTCCATGTGTTGTGTGCATTCAACTCACAGAGTTGAACGTTCCCTTAGACAGAGCAGATTTGAAACACTCTATTTGTGCAATTTGCAAGTGTAGATTTCAAGCGCTTTAAAGGTCAATGGCAGAAAAGGGAATATCTTCGTTTCAAAACTAGACAGAATCATTCCCACAAACTGAGTTGTGATGTGTTCGTTCAACTCACAGAGTTTAACCTTTCTGTTCATAGAGCAGTGAGGAAACACTCTGTTTGTAAAGTCTGTAAGTGGATATTCTGACATCTTGTGGCCTTCGTTGGAAACAGGATTTCTTCATATTCTGCTAGACAGAATAATTCTCAGTAACTTCCTTGTGTTGTGTGTATTCAACTGTCAGAGTTGAACGATCCTTTACAGAGAGCAGACTTGAAACACTCTTTTTGTGGAATTTGCAAGTGGAGATTTCAGCCGCTTTGAGGTCAATGGTAGAATAGGAAATATCTTCCTATAGAAACTAGACAGAATGATTCTCAGAAACTCCTTTGTGATGTGTGCGTTCAACTCACAGAGTTTAACCTTTCTGTTCATAGAGCAGTTAGGAAACACTCTGTTTGTAAAGTCTGCAAGTGGATATTCAGACCTCCTTGAGGTCTTCGTTGGAAACGGGATTTCTTTATATTCTGCTAGACAGAAGAATTCTCAGTAACTTCCTTGTGTTGTGTGTATTCAACTGACAGAGTTGAACTTTCATTTAGAGAGAGCTGATTTGAAACACTGTTTTTGTGGAATTTGCAAGTGGAGATTTCAAGCGCTTTGGGGCCAAAGGCAGAAAAGGAAATATCTTTGTATAAAAACTAGACAGAATCATTCTCAGAAACTGCTCTGCGATGTGTGCGTTCAACTCTCAGAGTTTAACTTTTCTTTTCATTCAGCAGTTTGGAAACACTCTTTTTTTAAAGTCTGCACGTGGATAATTTGACCACTTAGAGGCCTTCGTTGGAAACGGGTTTTTTTCATGTAAGGCTAGACAGAAGTATTCCCAGTAACTTCCTTGTGTTGTGTGCATTCAACTCACAGAGTTGAACGTTCCCTAGGACAGAGCAGGTTTGAAACACTCTATTTGTGCAATTTGCAAGTGTAGATTTCAAGCGCATTAAGGTCAATGGCAGAAAAGGAAATATCTTCGATTCAAAACTAGACAGAATCATTCCCACAAACTGCGTTGTGATGTGTTCGTTCAACTCACAGAGTTTAACCTTTCTGTTCATAGAGCAGTTAGGAAACACTCTGTTTATACAGTCTGCAAGTGGATATTCAGACCTCCTTGAGGCCTTCGTTGGAAACGGGATTTCTTCATATTCTGCTAGACAGAAGAATTCTCAGTAACTTCCTTGTGTTGTGTGTATTCAACTCACACAGTTGAACGATCCTTTACACAGAGCAGACTTGAAACACTCTTTTTGTGGAATTTGCAAGTGGAGATTTCATCCGCTTTGAGGTCAATGGTAGAATAGGAAATATCTTCCTATAGAAACTAGACAGAATGATTCTCATAAACTCCTTTGTGATGTGTGCGTTCAACTCACAGAGTTTAACCTTTCTTTTCATAGAGCAGTTAGGAAACACTCTGTTTGTAAAGTCTGCAAGTGGATATTCAGACCTCTTTGAGTCCTTCGTTTGAAACGGGATTTCTTCATATTCTGCTAGACAGAAGAATTCTCAGTAACTTCCTTGTGTTGTGTGTATTCAACTCACAGATTTGAACGATCCTTTACACAGAGCAGACTTGTAACACTCTTTTTGTGGAATTCGCAAGTGGAGATTTCAGCAGCTTTGAAGTCAAAGGTAGAAAAGGAAATATCTTCCTATAAAAACTAGACAGAATGATTCTCAGAAACTCCTTTGGGATGTGTGCGTTCAACTCACAGAGTTTAACCTTTCTTTTAATAGAGCAGTTAGGAAACACTCTGGTTATAAAGTCTGCAAGTGGATATTCAGACCTCTTTGAGGCCTTCGTTGGAAACGGGATTTCTTCATATTCTGCTAGACAGAAGAATTCCCAGTAACTTCCTTGTGTTGTGTGTGTTCAACTCACAGAGTTGAACTTTCATTTACACAGAGCAGATTTGAAACACTCTTTTTGTGGAATTTGCAAGTGGAGATTTCAAGCGCTTTGAGGCCAAAGGCAGAAAAGGAAATATCTTCATTTCAAAACTAGACAGAATCATTCTCAGAAACTGCTCTGCGATGTGTGCGTTCAACTCTCAGAGTTTAACTTTGCTTTTCATTCAGCAGTTTGGAAACACTCTGTTTGTAAAGTCTGCACGTGGATAATTTGACCACTTAGAGGCCTTCGTTGGAAACGGGTTTTTTTCATGTAAGGCTAGAGAGAAGTATTCCCAGGAACTTCCTTCTGTTGTGTACATTCAACTCACAGAGTTGAACGTTCCCTTAGACAGAGCAGATTTGAAACACTCTTTTTGTGCAATTGGCAAGTGGTGATTTCAGCCGCTTTGAGGTCAATGGTAGAAAAGGAAATATCTTCGTATAAAAACTAGACAGAATGATTCTCAGAAACTTCATTGTGACGTGTGCGTTCAAGTCACAGAGTTTAACCTTTCTTTTCATAGAGCAGTTAGGAAACACTCTGTTTGTAAAGTCTGCAAGTGGATATTCAGACCTCTTTGAGGCCTTCGTTGGAAACGGGATTTCTTCATACTGTGCTAGACAGAAGAATTCTCAGTAACTTCCTTGTGTTGTGTGTATTCAACTCACAGAGTTGAACGATCCTTTACAGAGAGCAGACTTGAAACACACTTTTTGTGGAATTTGCAAGTGGAGATTTCAGCCGCTTTGAGGTCAATGGTAGAAAAGGAAATATCTTCGTATAAAGACTAGACAGAATGATTCTCAGAAACTCCTTTGTGATGTGTGCGTTCAACAAACAGAGTTTAACTTTTCTTTTCATAGAGCAGTTAGGAAACACTCTGTTTGTAAAGTCTGCAAGTGGATATTCAGAGCTCTTTGAGGCCTTCGTTGGAAACGGGATTTCTTCATATTCTGCTAGACAGAAGAATTCTCAGTAACTTCCTTGTGTTGTGTGTGTTCAACTCACAGAGTTCAACGATGCTTTACACAGAGTAGACTTGAAACACACTTTTTGTTGAATTTGCAAGTGGAGATTTCAGCCGCTTTGAGGTCAATGGTAGAATAGGAAATATCTTCCTATAGAAACTAGACAGAATCATTCTCAGAAACTGCTCTGCGATGTGTGCGTTCAACTCTCAGAGTTTAACTTTTCTTTTCATTCAGCAGTGTGGAAACACTCTGTTTGTAAAGTCTGAAGGTGGATATGTTGACCACTTAGAGGCCTTCGTTGGAAACGGGTTTTTTTCCTGTAAGGCTAGACAGAGGAATTCTCAGTAACTTCCTTGTGTTGTGTGTATTCAACTCACAGAGTTGAACGATCCTTTACACAGAGCAGACTTGAAACACTCTTTTTGTGGAATTTGCAAGTGGAGATTTCAGCCGCTTTGAGTTCAATGGTAGAATAGGAAATATCTTCCTATAGAAACTAGACAGAATGATTCTCAGAAACTCCTTTGTGATGTGTGCGTTCAACTCACAGAGTTTAACGTTTCTTTTCATAGAGCAGTTAGGAAACACTCTGTTTGTAAAGTCTGCAAGTGGATATTCAGACCTCCTTGAGGCTTTCGTTGGAAACGGGATTTCTTCCTATTCTGCTAGACAGAAGAATTCTCAGTAACTTCCTTCTGTTGTGTGTATTCAACTGACAGAGTTGAAGTTTCATTTAGAGAGAGCAGATTTGAAACACTGTTTTTGTGGAATTTGCAAGTGGAGATTTCAAGCGCTTTGGGGCCAAAGGCAGAAAAGGAAATATCTTCGTATAAAAACTAGACAGAATCATTCTCAGAAACTGCTCTGCGATGTGTGCGTTCAACTCTCAGAGTTTAACATTTCTTTTCATTCAGCAGTTTGGAAACACTCTGTTTGTAAAGTCTGCACGTGGATATTTTGACCACTTAGAGGCCTTCGTTGCAAACGGGTTTTTTTCCTGTAAGGCTAGACAGAAGAATTCTCAGTAACTTCCTTGTGTTGTGTGTATTCAACTCACAGAGTTGAACGATCCTTTACACAGAGCAGTCTTGAAACACTCTTGTTGTGGAATTTGCAAGTGGAGATTTCAGCCGCTTTGAGGTCAATGGTAGAATAGGAAATATGTTCCTATAGAAACTAGACAGAATGATTCTCAAAAACTCCTTTGTGATGTGTGCGTTCAACTCACAGAGTTCAACCTTTCTTTTCCTAGAGCAGTTGGGAAACACTCTGTTTGTAAAGTCTGCAAGTGGATATTCAGACATCCTTGAGGCTTTCGTTGGAAACGGGATTTCTTCATGTTCTGCTAGACAGAAGAATTCTCAGTAACTTCCTTGTGTTGTGTGTATTCAACTGACAGAGTTGAACATTCATTTAGAGAGAGCAGATTTGAAACACTGTTTTTGTGGAATTTGCTAGTGGAGATTTCAAGAGCTTTGGGGCCAAAGGCAGAAAAGGAAATATCTTCGTATAAAAACTAGACAGAAATCATTCTCAGAAACTGCTCTGCGATGTGTGCGTTCAACTCTCAGAGTTTAACTTTTCTTATCATTCAGCAGTTTGGAAACACTCTGTTTGTAAAGTCTGCACGTGGATAATTTGACCACTTAGAGGCCTTCCTTGGAAACGGGTTTTTTTCATGTAAGGCTAGACAGAAGAATTCCCAGTAACTTCCTTGTGTTGTGTACATTCAACTCACAGAGTTGAACGTTCCCTTAGAGAGAACACATTTGAAACACTCTTTTTGTGCAATTGGCAAGTGGTGATTTCAGCCGCTTTGGGGTCAATGGTAGAAAACGAAATATCTTCGTATAAAAACTAGACAGAGTGATTCTCAGAAACTCCTTTGTGATGTGTGCATTCAACTCACAGAGTTTAACCTTTCTTTTCATAGAGCAGTTAGGAAACACTCTGTTTGTAAAGTCTGCAAGTGGATATTCAGACCTCTTTGAGGCCTTCGTTGGAAACGGGATTTTTTCATATAAGGCTAGACAGAAGAATTCTCAGTAACTTCCTTGTGTTGTGTGTATTCAACTCACAGGAGTTGAACGATCCTTTACACAGAGCAGACTTGAAACACTCTTTTTGCGGAATTTGCAAGTGGAGATTTCAGCCGCTTTGAGGTCAATGGTAGAATAGGAAATATCTTCCTATAGAAACTAGACAGAATGATTCTCAGAAACTCCTTTGTGATGTGTGCGTTCAACTCACACAGTTTAACCTTTCTTTTCATAGAGCAGTTGGGAAACACTCTGTTTGTAAAGTCTGCAAGTGGATATTCAGACCTCCTTGCGGCCTTCGTTGGAAACGGGATTTCTTCATATTATGCTAGACAGAAGAATTCTCAGTAACTTCCTTGTGTTGTGTGTATTCATCTGACACAGTTGAACTTTCATTTAGAGAGAGCAGATTTGAAACACTATTTTTGTGGAATTTGCAAGTGGAGATTTCAAGCGCTTTGGGGCCAAAGGCAGAAAAGTAAATATCTTCGCATACAAACTAGACAGAATCACTCTCAGAAACTGCTCTGTGATGTGTGCGTTCAACTCTCAGAGTTTAACTTTTCTTTTCATTCAGCAGTTTGGAAACACTCTGTTTGTAAACTCTGCACGTGGATATTTTGACCACTTAGAGGCCTTCTTTGGAAACGGGTTTTTTTCATGTAAGGATAGACAGAAGAATTCTCAGTAACTTCCTTGTGTTGTGTGCTTTCAACTCACGGAGTTGAACGATCCTTTACACAGAGCAGATTAGAAACACTCTTTTTGTGGAATTTGCAAGTGGAGATTTCAGACACTTTGAGGTCAATGATAGAAAAGGAAATATCTTCGTATAAAAACTAGACAGAACGATTCTCAGAAACTCCTTTGTGATGTATGCGTTCAACTCACAGAGTTTAACCTTTCTTTTCATAGAGCAGTTAGGAAACACTCTGTTTGTAAAGTCTGCAAGTGGATATTCAGACCTCTTTGAGGCCTTCGTTGGAAACGGGATTTCTTCATATTCTGCTAGACAGAAGAATTCTCAGTAACTTCCTTGTGTTGTGTGTATTCAACTGACAGAGTTGAACTTTCATTTAGAGAGAGCAGATTTGAAAAACTGTTTTTGTGGAATTTGCAAGTGGAGATTTCAAGCGCTTTGGGGCCAAAGGCAGAAAAGGAAATATCTTCGTATAAAAACTAGACAGAATCATTCTCAGAAACTGCTCTGCGATGTGTGCGTTCAGCTCTCAGAGTTTAACTTTTCTTTTCATTCAGCAGTTTGGAAACACTCTGTTTGTAAAGTCTGCACGTGGATATTTTGACCACTTAGAGGCCTTCGTTGGAAACGGGTTTTTTTCATGTAAGGCTAGACAGAAGAATTCTCAGTAACTTCCTTGTGTTGTGTGTATTCAACTCACAGAGTTGAACGATTCTTTACACAGAGCAGACTTGTAACACTCTTTTTGTGGAATTTGCAAGTGGAGATTTCAGCCGCTTTGAAGTCAAAGGTAGAAAAGGAAATATCTTCCTATAAAAACTACACAGAGTGATTCTCAGAAACTCCTTTGTGATGTGTGCGTTCAACTCACAGAGTTTAACCTTTCTTTTCATAGAGCAGATAGGAAACACTCTGTTTGTAAAGTCTGCAAGTGGATATTCAGACCTCCTTGAGGCCTTCATTGGAAACGGGATTTCTTCATATTCTGCTAGACAGAAGAATTCCCAGTAACTTCCTTGTGTTGTGTGTGTTCAACTCACAGAGTTGAACTTTCATTTACACAGAGCAGATTTGAAACACTCTTTTTGTGGAATTTGCAAGTGGAGGTTTCAAGCGCTTTGAGGCCAAAGGCAGAAAAGGAAATACCTTCGTATAAAAACTAGACAGAATCATTCTCAGAAACTGCTCTGCGATGTGGGCGTTCAACTCTCAGAGTTTAACTTTTCTTTTCATTCAGCAGTTTGGAAACACTCTGTTTGTAAAGTCTGCACGTGGATATTTTGACCATTTAGAGGCCTTCGTTGGAAACGGGTTTTTTTCTTGTAAGGCTAGACAGAAGAATTCCCAGTAACTTCCTTGTGTAGTGTACATTCAACTCACAGAGTTGAACGTTCCCTTAGACAGAGCAGATTTGAAACACTCTTTTTGTGCAACTGGCAAGTGGAGATTTCAAGCGCTTTGAGGTCAATGGCAGAAAAGGAAATATCTTCGTTTCAAAACTAGACAGAATCATTCCCACAAACTGCGTAGTGATGTGTTCGTTCAACTCACAGAGTTTAACCTTTCTGTTCATAGAACAGTTAGGAAACACTCTGTTTGTAAAGTCTGCAAGTGGATATTCAGACCTCCTTGAGGCCTTCGTTGGAAACGGGATTTCTTCATATTCTGCTAGACAGAAGAATTCTCAGTAACTTCCTTGTGTTGTGTGTATTCAACTCACAGAGTTGAACGATCCTTTACACAGAGCAGACTTGAAACCCTCTTTTTGTGGAATTTGCAAGTGGAGATTTCAGACGCTTTGAGGTCAATGGTAGAAAAGGAAATATCTTCTTATAAAGACTAGACAGAATGATTCTCAGAAACTCCTTTGTGATGTGTGTGTTCAACTCACAGAGTTTAACCTTTCTTTTCATAGAGCAGTTAGGAAACACTCTGTTTGTAAAGTCTGCAAGTGGATATTCAGACCTCTTTGAGGCCTTCGTTGGAAACGGGTTTTTTTCATATAGGGCTAGACAGAAGAATTCTCAGTAACTTCTTTGTGTTGTGTGTATTCAACTCACGGAGTTGAACGATCCTTTACACAGAGCAGACTTGAAACACTCTTTTTGTGGAATTTGCAAGTGGAGATTTCTGCCGCTTTGAGGTCAATGGTAGAATAGGAAATATCTTCCTATAGAAAATACACAGAATGTTTCTCAGAAACTCCTTTGAGATGTGTTTGTTCAACTCACAGAGTTTAACCTTTCTTTTCATAGAGCAGTTAGGAATCACTCTGTTTGTAAAGTCTGCAAGTGGATATTCAGACCTCTTTGAGGCCTTCGTTGGAAACGGGTTTTTTTCATATAAGGCTAGACAGAAGAATTCCCAGTAACTTCCTTGTATTGTGTGTGTTCAACTCACAGAGTTGAACTTTCATTTACACAGAGCAGATTTGAAACACTCTTTTTGTGGAATTTGCAAATGGAGGTTTCAAGCGCTTTGAGGCCAAAGGCAGAAAAGGAAATATCTTCGTATAAAAACTAGACAGAATCATTCTCAGAAACTACTCTGCGATGTGTGCGTTCAACTCTCAGAGTTTAACTTTTCTTTTCATTCAGCAGTTTGGAAACACTCTGTTTGTAAAGTCTGCACGTGGATATTTTGACCACTTAGAGGCCTTCGTTGGAAATGGGTTTTTTTCCTGTAAGGCTAGACAGAAGAATTCCCAGTAACTTTCCTTGTGTTGTGTACATTCAACTCACAGAGTTGAAAGTTCCCTTAGACACAGCAGATTTGAAACACTCTTTTTGTGCAATTGGCAAATGGAGATTTCAAGCGCTTTAAGGTCAATGGCAGAAAAGGAAATATCTTCGTTTCAAAACTAGACAGAATCATTCCCACAAACTGCGTTGTGATGTGTTCGTTCAACTCACAGACTTTAAACTTTCTTTTCATAGAGCAGTTAGGAAACAGTCTGTTTGTAAATTCTGTAAGTGGATATTCTGACATCTTGTGGCCTTCGTTGGAAACGGGATTTCTTCATATTCTGCTAGACAGAAGAATTCTCAGTAACTTCCTTGTGTTGTGTGTATTCAACTTACAGAGTTGAATGATCCTTTACACAGAGCAGACTTGAAACACTCTATTTGTAGAATTTGCAATTGGAGATTTCAGCCGCTTTGAGGTCAGTAGTAGAAAAGGTAATATCTTCGTAGAAAAACTAAACAGAATGATTCTCATAAACTCCTTTGTGATGTGTGCATTCAACTCACAGAGTTTCACCTTTCTTTTCATAGAGCAGTTAGGAAACACTCTGTTTGTAAAGTCTGCAAGTGGATATTCCGACCTCCTTGAGGCCTTCCTTGGAAACGGGATTTCTTCATATTCTGCTAGACAGAAGAATTCTCACTAACTTCCTTGTGTTGTGTGTATTCAACTCACAGAGTTGAACGATCCTTTACACAGAGCAGACTTGAAACACTCTTTTTGTGGAATTTGCAAGTGGAGATTTCAGCCGCTTTGAGGTCAATGGTAGAAAAGGAAATATCATCGTATAAAGACTAGACAGAATGATTCTCAGAAACTCCTTTGTGATGTGTGCGTTCAACTCACAGAGTTTAACTTTTCTTTTCATAGACCAGTTAGGAAACACTCTGTTTGTAAAGTCTGCAAGTGGATATTCAGACCTCCTTTGTGGCCTTCGTTGGAAACGGGATTTCTTCATATTATGCTAGACAGAAGAATTCCCAGTAACTTCCTTGTGTTGTGTGTGTTCAACTCACAGTAGTTGAACTTCCATTTACACAGAGCAGATTTGAAACACTCTTTTTGTGGAATTTGCAAGTGGAGATTTCAAGCGCTTTGAGGCCAAAGGCAGAAAAGGAAATATCTTCCTTTCAAAACTAGACAGAATCATTCTCAGAAACTGCTCTGTGATGTGTGCGTTCAACTCTCAGAGTTTAACTTTTCTTTTCATTCAGCAGTTTGGAAACACTCTGTTTGTAAAGTCTGCACGTGGATAATTTGACAACTTAGAGGCCTTCTTTGGAAACGGGTTTTTTTCATGTAAGGCTAGACAGAAGAATTCTCAGTAACTTCCTTGTGTTGTGTGTATTCAACTCACAGAGTTGAACGATCCTTTACACAGAACAGACTTGTAACACTCTTTTTGTGGAATTTGCAAGTGGAGATTTCAGCCGCTTTGAAGTCAAAGTTAGAAAAGGAAATATCTTCCTATAAAAACTAGACAGAATCATTCCGACAAACTGCGTTGTGATGTGTTCGTTCAACTCACAGAGTTTAACCTTTCTGTTCATAGAGCAGTTAGGAAACACTCTGTTTGTAAAGTCTGTTAAGTGGATATTCTGACATCTTGTGGCCTTCGTTGGAAACGGGATTTCTTCATATTCTGCTAGACAGAAGAATTCTCAGAATCTTCCCTTGTGTTGTGTGTATTCAACTCACAGAGTTGAACGATGGTTTACACAGAGCAGAGTTGAAACACTCTTTTTGTGGAATTTGAAAGTGGAGATTTCAGCCGCTTTGAGGTCAAAGGTAGAAAAGGAAATATCTTCGTATAAAAACTAGACAGAATGATTCTCAGAAACTCCTTTGTGATGTGTGCGTTCAACTCACAGAGTTTAACTTTTCTTTTCATAGAGCAGTTAGGAAACATTCTGTTTGTAAAGTCTGCAAGTGGATATTCAGACCTCTTTGTGGCCTTCGTTGGAAACGGGATTTCTTCATATTATGCTAGACAGAAGAATTCTCAGAATCTTCCTTGTGTTGTGTGTATTCAACTCACAGAGTTGAACGATGGTTTACACAGAGCAGATTTGAAACACTCTTTTTGTGGAATTTGCAAGTGGAGATTTCAGCCGCTTTTTGGTCAATGGTAGAAAAGGAAATATCTTCGTATAAAAACTAGACAGAATGATTCTCAGAAACTCCTTTGTGATGTGTGCGTTCAACTCACAGAGTTTAACCTTTCTTTTCATAGAGCAGTTAGGAGACACTCTGTTTGTAAAGTCTGCAAGTGGATATTGAGACATCCTTGAGGCTTTCGTTGGAAACGGGATTTCTTCATATTCTGCTAGAAAGAGGAATTCCCAGTAACTTCCTTGTGTTGTGTGTGTTCAACTCACAGAGTTGAACTTTGATTTACACAGAGCAGATTTGAAACACTCTTTTTGTGGAATTTGCAAGTGGAGATTTCAAGCGCTTTGAGGCCAAAGGCAGAAAAGGAAATATCTTCGTATAAAAACTAGACAGAATCATTTTCAGAAACTGCTCTGCGATGTGTGCGTTCAACTCTCAGAGTTTAACTTTTCTTTTCATTCAGCAGTGTGGAAACACTCTGTTTGTAAAGTCTGCACGTGGATATTTTGACCACTTAGAGGCCTTCGTTGGAAACGGGTTTTTTTCCTGTAAGGCTAGACAGAAGAATTCCCAGTAACTTCCTTGTGTTGTGTGCATTCAACTCACAGAGTTGAACGTTCCCTTAGACAGAGCAGATTTGAAACACACTATTTGTGCAATTTGCAAGTGTAGATTTCAAGCGCTTTAAGGTCAATGGCAGAAAAGGAAATATCTTCGTTTCAAAACTAGACAGAATCATTCCCACAAACTGCGTTGTGATGTGTTCGTTCAACTCACAGAGTTTAACCTTTCTTTTCATAGAGCAGTTAGGAAACAGTCTGTTTGTAAATTATGTAAGTGGATATTCTGACATCTTGTGGCCTTCGTTGGAAACAGGATTTCTTCATATTCTGCTAGACAGAAGAATTCTCAGAATCTTCCTTGTGTTGTGTGTATTCAACTCACAGAGTTGAAGGATCCTTTACACAGAGCAGATTTGAAACACTCTTTTGGTGGAATTTGCAAATGGAGATTTCAGCCGCTTTGAGGTCAATGGTAGAAAAGGAAATATCTTCGTATAAAAACTAGACAGAATGATTCTCAGAAACTTCTTTGTGATGTGTGCGTTCAACTCACAGAGTTTAACCTTTCTATTCATAGAGCAGTTAGAAAACACTCTGTTTGTAAACTCTGCAAGTGGATATTCAGACCTCTTTGAGGCCTTCGTTGGAAACGGGATTTCTTCATACTATGTTAGACAGAAGAATTCTCAGTAACTTCCTTGTGTTGTGTGTATTCAACTCACAGAGTTGAACGATCCTTTACACAGAGCAGACTTGAAACACTCTTTTTGTGGAATTTGCAAGTGGAGATTTCAGCCGCTTTGTGGTCAATAGTAGAATAGGAAATATCTTCCTATAGAAACTAGACAGAAAGATTCTCAGAAACTACTTTGTGATGTGTGCGTTCAACTCACAGAGTTCAACCTTTCTTTTCATAGAGCAGTTAGGAAACACTCTGTGTGTAAAGTCTACAAGTGGATATTCAGACCTCCTTGAGGCCTTCGTTGGAAACGGGATTTCTTCATATTCTGCTAGACAGAAGAATTCCCAGTAACTTCCTTGTGTTGTGTGTGTTCAACTCACAGAGTTGAACTTTCATTTACACAGAGCAGATTTGAGACACTCTTTTTGTGAAATTTGCAAATGGAGATTTCAAGCGCTTTGAGGCCAAAGGCAGAAAAGGAAATATCTTCGTATAAAAACTAGACAGAATCATTCTCAGAAACTGCTCTGCGATGTGTGCGTTCAACTCTCAGAGTTTAACTTTTCTTTTCATTCAGCAGTTTGGAAACACTCTGTTTGTAAAGTCTGCACGTGCATAATTTGACCACTTAGAGGCCTTCGTTGGAAACGGGTGTTTTTCATGTAAGGCTAGACAGAAGAATTCCCAGTAACTTCCTTGTGTTGTGTGCATTCCACTCACAGAGATGAACGTTCCCTTAGACAGAACAGATTTGAAACACTCTATTTGTGCAATTTGCAAGTGTAGATTTCAAGCGCTTTAAGGTCAATGGCAGAAAAGGAAATATCTTCGTTTCAAAACTAGACAGAATCATTCCCACAAACTGCGTTGTGATGCGTTCGTTCAACTCACAGAGTTTAACCTTTCTTTTCATAGAGCAGTTAGGAAACAGTCTGTTTGTCAATTCTGTAAGTGGATATTCTGACATCTTGTGGCCTTCGTTGGAAACGGGATTTCTTCATATTCTGCTAGACAGAAGAATTCTCAGTAACTGCCTTGTGTTGTGTGTATTCAACTCACAGAGTTGAACGATCGTTTACACAGAGCAGACTTGAAACGCTCTTTTTGTGGAACTTGCAAGTGGAGATTTCAGCCGCTTTGAGGTCAATGGTAGAATAGGAAATATCTTCCTATAGAAACTAGACAGAATGATTCTCAGAAACTCCTTTGTGATGTGTGCGTTCAACTCACAGAGTTTAACCTTTCTTTTCATAGAGCAGTTAGGAAACACTCTGTTTGTAAAGTCTGCAAGTGGATATTCAGACCTCCTTGAGGCCTTCGTTGGAAACAGGATTTCTTCATATTATGCTAGACAGAAGAATTCTCAGTAACTTCCTTGTGTTGTGTGTATTCAATTCACAGAGTTGAACGATCCTTTACACAGAGCAGACTTGAAACACTCTTTTTGTGTAATTTGCAAGTGGAGATTTCAGCCGCTTTGAGGTCAATGGTAGAAAAGGAAATATCTTCGTATAAAAACTAGACAGAATGATTCTCAGAAACTCCTTTGTGATGTGTGCGTTCAACTCACAGAGTTTAACCTTTCTTTTCATAGAGCAGTTAGGAAACACTCTGTTTGTAAAGTCTGCAAGTGGATATTCAGACCTCTTTGAGGCCTTCGTTGGAAACGGGTTTTTTACTTATAAGGCTAAACAGAAGAATTCCCAGTAACTTCCTTGTGTTGTGTGTGTTCAACTCACAGAGTTGAACTTTCATTTACACAGAGCAGATTTGAAACACTCTTTTTGTGGAATTTGCAAATGGAGATTTCAAGCGCTTTGAGGCCAAATGCAGAAAAGGAAATATCTTCGTATAAAAATTAGACAGATAATCATTCTCAGAAACTGCTCTGCGATGTGTGCGTTCAACTCTCAGAGTTTAACTTTTCTTTTCATTCAGCAGTTTGGAAACACTCTGTTTGTAAAGTCTGCACGTGGATATTTTGACCACTTAGAGGCCTTCGTTGGAAACGGGTTTTTTTCCTGTAAGGCTAGACAGAAGAATTCCCAGTAACTTCCTTGTGTTGTGTGCATTCAACTCACAGAGTTGAACGTTCCCTTAGACAGAGCAGATTTGAAACACTCTATTTGTGCAATTTGCAAGTGTAGATTTCTAGCGCTTTAAGGTCAATGACAGAAAAGGAAATATCTTCGTTTCAAAACTAGACAGAATCATTCCCACAAACTGCGTTGTGATGTGTTTGTTCAACTCACAGAGTTTAACCTTTCTTTTCATAGAGCAGTTAGCAAACAGTCTGTTTGTCAATTCTGTAAGTGGATATTCTGACATCTTGTGGCCTTCGTTGGAAACGGGATTTCTTCATATTCTGCTAGACAGAATAATTCTCTGTAACTTCCATGTGTTGTGTGTATTCAACTCACAGAGTTGAACGATCCTTTACACAGAGCAGACTTGAAACACTCTTTTTGTGGAATTTGCAAGTGGAGATTTCAGCCGCTTTGAGGTCAATGGTAGAATAGGAAATATCTTCCTATAGAAACTAGACAGAATGATTCTCATAAACTCCTTTGTGATGTGTGCGTTCAACACACAGAGTTTAACCTTTCTGTTCATAGAGCAGTTAGGAAACACTCTGTTTGTAAAGTCTGTAAGTGGATATTCTGACACCTTGTGGCCTTCGTTGGAAACGGGATTTCTTCATATTCTGCTAGACAGAAGAATTCTCAGTAACTTTCCTTGTGTTGTGTGTATTCAACTCACAGAGTTGAACGATCCTTTACACAGAGCAGACTTGAAACACTCTTTTTGTGGAATTTGCAAGTGGAGATTTCAGCCGCTTTGAGTTCAATGGTAGAATAGGAAATATCTTCCTACAGAAACTAGACAGAATGATTCTCAGAAACTCCTTTGTGATGTGTGCGTTCAACTCACAGAGTTTAACTTTTCTTTTCATAGAGCAGTTAGGAAACACTCTGTTTGTAAAGTCTGCAAGTGGATATTCAGACCTCTTTGAGGCCTTCGTTGGAAACGGGTTTTCTTCATATTCTGCTAGACAGAAGAATTCTCAGTAACTTCCTTGTGTTGTGTGTATTCAACTGACAGAGTTGAACTTTCATTTAGAGAGAGCAGATTTGAAACCCTGTTTTTGTGGAATTTGCAAGTGGAGATTTCAAGCACTTTGGGGCCAAAGGCAGAAAAGGAAATATCTTCGTATAAAAACTAGACGGAATCATTCTCAGAAACTGCTCTGGGATGTGTGCGTTCAACTCTCAGAGTTTAACTTTTCTTTTCATTCAGCAGTTTGGAAACACTCTGTTTGTAAAGTCTGCACGTGGATAACTTGACCACTTGGAGGCCTTCGTTGGAAACGGGTTTTTTTCATGTAAGGCTAGACAGAAGAATTCTCAGTAACTTCCTTGTGTTGTGTGTATTCAACTCACAGAGTTGAATGATCCTTTACACAGAACAGTCTTGAAACACTCTTTTTGTGGAATTTGCAAGTGGAGATTTCAGCCGCTTTGAGGTCAATGGTACAATAGGAAATACCTTCCTATAGAAACTAGACAGAATGATTCTCAGAAACTCCTTTGTGATTTGTGCGTTTAACTCACAGAGTTTAACCTTTCTTTTCATAGAGCAGTTAGGAAACACTCTGTTTGTAAAGTCTACAAGTGGATATTCAGACCTCTTTGAGGCCTTCGTTGGAAACGGGTTTTTTTCATATAAGGCTAGACAGAAGAGTTCTCAGTAACTTCCTTGTGTTGTGTGTATTCAACTCACAGAGTTGAACTTTCATTTAGAGAGAGCAGATTTGAAACACTGTTTTTGTGGAATTTGCAATTGGAGATTTCAAGTGCTTTGGGGCCAAAGGCAGAAAAGGAAATATCTTCGTATAAAAACTAGACAGAGAATCATTATCAGAAACTGCTGCGTGATGTGTGCGTTCAACTCTCAGAATTTAACTTTTCTTTTCATTCAGCGGTTTGGAAACACTCTGTTTGTAAAGTCTGCACGTGGATATATTGACCACTTAGAGGCCTTCGTTGGAAACGGGTTTTTTTCATGTAAGGCTAGACAGAAGAATTCCCAGCAACTTCCTTGTGTTGTGTGCATTCAACTCACAGAGTTGAACGTTCCCTTAGACAGACCAGATTTGAAACACTCTATTTGTGCAATTTGCAAGTGTAGATTTCAAGCGCTTTGAGGTCAATGGCAGAAAAGGAAATATCTTCGTTTCAAAACTAGACAGAATCATTCCCACAAACTGCGTTGTGATGTGTTCGTTCAACTCACAGAGTTAAACTTTTCTTTTCATAGAACAGTTAGGAAACACTCTGTTTGTAAAGTCTGTAAGTTGATATTCTGACATCTTGTGGCCTTATTGGTAACGGGATTTCTTCATATTCTGCTAGACAGAAGAATTCTCAGTAACTTCCTTGTGTTGTGTGTATTCACCTCACAGATTTGAACGATCCTTTACAAAGAGCAGACTTGAAACACTCTTTTAGTGGAATTTGCAAGTGGAGGTTTCAGCCTCTTTGAGGTCAATGGTAGAATAGGAAATATCTTCCTATAGAAACTAGACAGAATGATTCTCACAAACTCCTTTGTGATGTGTGCGTTCAACTCACAGAGTTTAACCTTTGTTTACATAGAGCAGTTAGGAAACACACTGTTTGTAAAGTCTGCAAGTGGATATTCTGACCTCCTTGAGGCCTTCGGTGGAAACGGGATTTCTTCATATTCTGCTAGACAGAAGAATTCTCAGTAACTTCCTTGTGTTGTGTGTATTCAACTCAAAGAGTTGAACGACACTTTACACAGAGCAGACTTGAAACACTCTTTTTGTGGAATTTGCAATTGGAGATTTCAGCCGCTTTGAGGTCAATGGTAGGATAGGAAATATCTTCCTATAGAAACTAGACAGAATGATTCTCAGAAACTCCTTTGTGATGTGTGCGTTCAACTCACAGAGTTTAACCTTTCTTTTCTTAGAGCAGTTAGGAAACACTCTGTTTGTAAAGTCTGCAAGTGGATATTCAGACCTCCTTGAGGCCTTCGTTGGAAATGGGATTTCTTCATATTCTGCTAGACAGAAGAAATTCCCAGTAACTTCCTTGTGTTGTGTGTGTTCAACTCACAGAGTTGAACTTTCATTTACACAGAGCAGATTTGAAACACTCTTTTTGTGGAATTTGCAAATGGAGATTTCAAGCGCTTTGAGGCCAAAGGCAGAAAAGGAAATATCTTTGTATAAAAACTAGACAGAATCATTCTCAGAAACTGCTGCGTGATGTGTGCGTTCAACTCTCAGAGTTTAACTTTTCTTTTCATTCAGCGGTTTGGAAACACTCTGTTTGTAAAGTCTGCACGTGGAAATTTTGACCACTTAGGGGCCTTCGTTGGAAACGGGTTTTTTTCATGTAAGGCTAGACAGAAGTATTCCCAGTAACTTCCTTGTGTTGTGTGCATTCAACTCACAGAGTTGAACGTTCCCTTAGACAGAGCAGGTTTGAAACACTCTATTTGTGCAATTTGCAAGTGTAGATTTCAAGCGCTTTAAGGTCAATGGCAGAAAAGGAAATATCTTCGTTTCAAAACTAGACAGAATCATTCCCACAAACTGCGTTGTGATGTGTTCGTTCAACTCACAGAGTTTAACCTTTCTGTTCATAGAGCAGTTAGGAAACACTCTGTTTTTAAAGTCTGCCAGTGGATATTCAGACCTCTTTGAGGCCTTCGTTGGAAACGGGATTTCTTCATATTCTGCTAGACAGAAGAATTCTCAGTAACTTCCTTGTGTTGTGTGTATTCAACTCACAGAGTTGAACGATCCTTTACACAGAGGAGACTTGAAACACTCTTTTTGTGGAATTTGCAAGTGGAGATTTCACCCGCTTTGAGGTCAATGGTAGAATAGGATATATCTTCCTATAGAAAATAGACAGAATGATTCTCAGAAACTCTTTTGGGATGTGTGCGTTCAACTCACAGAGTTTAACCTTTCTGTTCATAGAGCAGTTAGGAAACACTCTGTTTGTAAAGTCTGCAAGTGGATATTCAGACCTCCTTGAGACCTTCGTTGGAAACGGGATTTCTTCATATTCCGCTAGACAGAAGAATTCTCAGTAACTTCCTTGTGTTGTGTGTATTCAACTCACAGAGTTGAACGATCCTTTACACAGAGCAGACTTGTAACACTCTTTTTGTGGAATTTGCAAGTGGAGATTTCAAGCGCTTTGAGGCCAAATGCAGAAAAGGAAATATCTTCGTTTCAAAACTAGACAGAATGATTCTCAGAAACTCCTTTGTGATGTGTGTGTTCAACTCACAGAGTTTAACCTTTCTTTTCATAGAGCAGTTAGGAAACACTCTGTTTATAAAGTCTGCAAGTGGATATTCAGACCCCTTTGAGGTCCTTCGTTGGAAACGGGATTTCTTCATATTATGCTAGACAGAAGAATTCTCAGTAACTTCCTTGTGTTGTGTGTATTCCACTCACAGAGTTGAACTTTCATTTATAGAGAGCAGATTTGCAACACTGTTTTTGTGGAATTTGCAAGTGGAGATTTCAAGCGCTTTGGGGCCAAAGGCAGAAAAGGAAATATCTTCGTATAAAAACTAGACAGAATCATTCTCAGAAACTGCTCTGCGATGTGTGCGTTCAACTCTCAGAGTTTGACTTTTCTTTTCATTCAGCAGTTTTGAAACACTCTGTTTGTAAAGTCTGCACGTGGATATTTTGACCACTTAGAGGCCTTCGTTGGAAACGGGTTTTTTTCCTGTAAGGCTAGACAGAAGAATTCCCAGTAACTTCTTTGTGTTGTGTGCATTCAACTCACAGAGTTGAACGTTCCTTTAGACAGAGCAGATTTGAAACACTCTTTTTGTGCAATTTGCAAGTGGAGATTTCAAGCGCTTTGAGGTCAATGGCAGAAAAGGAAATAACTTCGTTTCAAAACTAGACAGTATCATTCCCACAAACTGCATTGTGATGTGTGCGTTCAACTCACAGAGTTTAACCTTTCTTTTCATAGAGCCGTTTGTAAGCGCTCTGTTTGTCAAGTCTGCAAGTGGATATTCTGACCTCTTTGAGGACTTCGTTGGAAACAGGATTTCGTCCTATAATACTAGACAGAAGAATTCTCAGTAACTTCCTTGTGTTGTGTGTATTCAACTCACAGAGTTGAACGATCCTTTACACAGAGCAGACTTGAAACACTCTTTTTCTGGAATTTGCAAGTGGAGATTTCAGCCGATTTGAGGTCAATGGTAGAATAGGAAATATCTTCCTATAGATACTAGACAGAATGATTCTCAGAACCTCCTTTGTGATGTGTGCGTTCAACTCACAGAGTTTAACCTTTCTTTTCATAGAGCAGTTAGGAAACACTCTGTTTGTAAAGTCTGCAAGTGGATATTCAGACATCCTTGAGGCTTTCCTTGGAAACGGGATTTCTTCATATTCTGCTAGAAAGAAGAATTCTCAGAAACTTCGTTGTGTTGTGTGTTTTCAAATCACAGAGTTCAACGATCCTTTACACAGAGTAGACTTGAAACACTCTTTTTGTGGAATTGGCAGGGTGGAGATTTCAGCTGCTTTGAGGTCAATGGTAGAAAAGGAAATATCTTCGTATAAAAACTAGACAGAATGATTCTCGGAAACTCCTTTGTGAAGTGTGTGTTCAACTCACAGAGTTTAACCTTTCTTTTCATAGAGCAGTTAGGAAACACTCTGTTTGTAAAGTCTGCAAGAGGATATTCAGACCTCTTTGAGGCCTTCGTTGGAAACGGGTTTTTTTCATATAAGGCTAGACAGAAGAATTCCCAGTAACTTCCTTGTGTTGTGTGTGTTCAACTCACAGAGTTGAACTTTCATTTACACAGAGCAGATTTGAAACACTCTTTTTGTGGAATTTGCAAGTGGAGATTTCAAGCGCTTTGAGGCCAAAGGCAGAAAAAGAAATATCTTCGTTTCAAAACTAGACAGAATGATTCTCAGAAACTTCTTTGTGATGAGTGCGTTCAACTCACAGATTTTAACCTTTCTTTTCATAGAGCAGTTAGGAAACACTCTGTTTGTAAAGTCTGCACGTGGATATTTTGACCTCTTTTAGGCCTTCCTTGGAAACGGGTTTTTTTCATGTAAGCCTAGACAGAAGAATTCCGAGTAACTTCCTTGTGTTGTCTGCATTCAACTCACAGAGTTGAACGTTCCCTTAGACAGAGCAGATTTGAAACACTCTATTTGTGCAATTTGCAAGTGTAGATTTCAAGCTCTTTAAGGTCAATTGCAGAAAAGGAAATATCTTCGTTTCAAAACTAGACAGAATCATTCCCACAAACTGCGTTGTGATGTGTTCGTTCAACTCACAGAGTTTAACCTTTCTGTTCATAGAGCAGTTAGGAAACACTCTGTTTGTAAAGTCTGTAAGTGGATATTCTGACATCTTGTGGCCTTCGTGGGAAACGGGATTTCTTCATATTCTGCTAGACAGAAGAATTCTCAGAATCTTCCTTGTGTTGTGTGTATTCAACTCACACAGTTGAACGATTGTTTACACAGAGCAGATTTGAAACACTCTTTTTGTGGAATTTGCAAGTGGAGATTTCAGCCGCTTTGAGGTCAATGGTAGAAAAGGAAATATCTTCATATAAAAACTAGACAGAATGATTCTCAGAAACTCCTTTGTGATGTGTGCGTTCAACTCACAGAGTTTACCCTTTCTGTTCATAGAGCAGTTAGGAAACACTCTGTTTGTAAATTCTGCAAGTGGATATTCAGACCTACTTGAGGTCTTCGGTGGAAACGGGATTTCTTCATATTCTGCTAGACAGAAGAATTCTCACTAACTTCCTTGTGTTGTGTGTATTCAACTCACAGAGTTGAACGATCCTTTACACAGAGCAGACTTGAAACACTCTTTTTGTGGAATTTGCAAGTGGAGCTTTCAGCCGCTTTGAGGTCAATAGTAGAAAAGGAAATATCTTCGTAGAAAAACTAGACAGAAAGATTCTCAGAAACTCCTTTGTGATGTGTGCGTTCAACTCACAGAGTTTAACCTTTCTTTTAATAGAGCAGTTGGGAAACACTCTGTTTGTATACTCTGCAAGTGGATATTCAGACCTCTTTGAGGCCTTCGTTGGAAACGGGATTTCTTCATATTCTGCTAGACAGAAGAATTCTCAGTAACTTCCTTGTGTTGTGTGTATTCAACTGACAGAGTTGAACTTTCATTTAGACAGAGCAGATTTGAAACACTCTTTTTGTGGAATTTGCAAGTGGAGATTTCAAGCGCTTTGAGGCCAAAGGGAGAAAAGGAAATATCTTCGTATAAAAACTAGACAGAATCATTCTCAGAAACTGCTCTGCGATGCGTGCGTTCAGCTCTCAGAGTTTACCTTTTCTTTTCATTCAGCAGTTTGGAAACACTCTGTTTGTAAAGTCTGCACGTGGATATTTTGAACACTTAGAGGCCTTCGTTGGAAACCGGTTTTTGTCATGTAAGGCTAGACAGAAGAATTCCTAGTAACTTCCTTGTGTTGTGTACATTCAACTCACAGAGTTGAACGTTCCCTTAGACAGAGCAGATTTGAAACACTCTTTTTGTGCAATTGGCAAGTGGTGATTTCAGCCGCTTTGAGGTCAATGGTAGAAAAGGAAATATCTTCGTATTAAAACTAGACAGAATCATTCCCACAAACTGCGTTGTGATGTGTTCGTTCAACTCACAGAGTTTAACCTTTCTGTTCATACGGCAGTTAGGAAACACTCTGTTTGTAAAGTCTGTAAGTGGATATTCTGACATTTTGTGGCCTTCGTTGGAAAGGGGATTTCTTCATATTCTGCTAGACAGAAGAATTCTCAGAATCTTCCTTGTGTTGTGTGTATTCAACTCACAGAGTTGAACGATGGTTTACACAGAGCAGATTTGAAACACTCTTTTGGTTGAATTTGCAAGTGGAGATTTCAGCCGCTTTGAGGTCAATGGTAGAAAAGGAAATATCTTCGTATAAAAACTAGACAGAATGATTCTCAGAAACTTCTTTGTGATGTGTGCGTTCAACTCACAGAGTTTAACCTTTCTTTTCATAGAGCAGTTAGGAAACACTCTGTTTGTAAAGTCTGCAAGTGGATATTCAGACCTCTTTGAGGCCTTCGTTGGAAACGGGATTTCTTCATACAATGCTAGACAGAAGAATTCTCAGTAACTTCCTTGTGTTGTGTGTATTCAACTCACAGAATTGAACGATCCTTTACACAGAGCAGACTTGAAACACTCTTTTTGTGGAATTTGCAAGTGGAGATTTCAGCCGCTTTGAGTTCAATGGTAGAATAGGAAATATCTTCCTATAGAAACTAGACAGAATGATTCTCAGAAACTCCTTTGTGATGTGTGCGTTCAACACACAGAGTTTAACTTTTCTTTTCATACAGCAGTTAGGAAACACTCTGTTTGTAAAGTCTGCAAGTGGATATTCAGACCTCTTTGAGGCCTTCGTTGGAAACGGGATTTCTTCATATTATGCTAGACAGAAGAATTCTCAGTAACTTCCTTGTGTTGTGTGTATTCAACTGACAGAGTTGAACTTTCATTTAGAGAGAGCAGATTTGAAACACTGTTTTTTTGGAATTTGCAAGTGGAGATTTCAAGCGCTTTGGGGCCAAAGGCAGAAAAGGAAATATCTTCGTATAAAAACTAGACAGAATCATTCTCAGAAACTGCTCTGCGATGTGTGCGTTCAACTCTCAGAGTTTAACTTTTCTTTTCATTCAGCAGTTTGGAAACACTCTGTTTGTAAAGTCTGCACGTGGATAATTTGACCACTTAGAGGCCTTCGTTGGAAACGGGATTTCTTCATACTGTGCTAGACAGAAGAATTCCCAGTAACTTCCTTGTGTTGTGTGCATTCAACTCACAGAGTTGAACGTTCCCTTAGACAGAGCTGATTTGAAACACTCTATTTGTGCAATTTGCAAGTGTAGATTTGAAGCGCTTTCAGGTCAATGGCAGAAAAGGAAATATCTTCGTTTCAAAACTAGACAGAATCATTCCCACAAACTGCGTTGTGATGTGTTCGTTCAACTCACAGAGTTTAACCTTTCTTTTCATAGAGCAGTTAGGAAACACTCTGTTTGTAAAGTCTGCAAGTGGATATTCAGACCTCTTTGAGGCCTTCGTTGGAAACGGGATTTCTTCATGTTCTGCTAGACAGAAGAATTCTCAGAATCTTCCTAGTGTTGTGTGTATTCAACTCACAGAGTTGAACGATGGTTTACACAGAGCAGATTTGAAACACTCTTTTTGTGGAATTTGCAAGTGGAGATTTCAGCCGCTTTGAGGTCAATGGTAGAAAAGGAAATATCTTCGTATAAAAACTAGACAGAATGATTCTCAGAAACTCCTTTGTGATGTGTGCGTTCAACTCACAGAGTTTAACCTTTCTTTTCATAGAGCAGTTAGGAAACACTCGGTTTGTAAAGTCTGCAAGTGGATATTCAGACCTCTTTGAGGCCTTCGTTGGAAACGGGTTTTTTTCATATAAGGCTAGACAGAAGAATTCTCAGAATCTTCCTTGTGTGGTGTGTATTCAACTCACAGAGTTGAACGATCCTTTACACAGAGCAGACTTGAAACACTCTTTTTGTGGAATTTGCAAGTGGAGATTTCAGCCGCTTTGAGGTCCATGGTAGAAAAGGAAATATCTTCGTATAAAAACTAGACAGAATGATTCTCAGAAACTCCTTTGTGATGTGTGCGTTCAACTCACAGAGTTTAACCTTTCTTTTTATAGAGCAGTTAGGAAACACTCTGTTTGTAAAGTCTGCAAGTGGATATTCAGACCTCCTTGAGGCCTTCTTTGGAAACGGGATTTCTTCCTATTATACTAGACAGAAGAATTCTCAGTAACTTCTTTGTGTTGTGTGTATTCAACTGACAGAGTTGAACTTTCATTTAGAGAGAGCAGATTTGGAACACTGTTTTTGTGGAATTTGCAAGTGGAGATTTCAAGCGCTTTGGGGCCAAAGGCAGAAAAGGATATATCTTCGTATAAAAACTAGACAGAATCATTCTCAGAAACTGCTGCGTGATGTGTGCGTTCAACTCTCAGAGTTTAACTTTTCTTTTCATTCAGCGGTTTGGAAACACTCTGTTTGTAAAGTCTGCACATGGATATTTTGACCACTTAGAGGCCTTCGTTGGAAACGGGTTTTTTTCATGTAAGGCTAGACAGACGAATTCCCAGTAACTTCCTTGTGTTGTGTACATTCAACTCAGAGAGTTGAACGTTCCATTAGACAGAGCAGATTTGAAACACTCTTTTTGTGCAATTGGCAAGTGGAGATTTCAAGCGCTTTAAGGTCAATGGCAGAAAAGGAAATATCTTCGTTTCAAAACTAGACAGAATCATTCCCACAAACTGCGTTGTGATGTGTTCGTTCAACTCACAGAGTTTAACCTTTCTGTTCATAGAGCAGTTAGGAAACACTCTATTTGTAAAGTCTGTAAGTGGATATTCTGACATCTTGTGGCCTTCGTTGGAAACGGGATTTCTTCATATTCTGCTAGACAGAAGAATTCTCAGAATCTTCCTTGTGTTGTGTGTATTCAACTCACAGAGTTGAACGATCCTTTACACAGAGCAGACTTGAAACACTCTTTTTGTGGAATTTGCAAGTGGAGATTTCAGCCGCTTTGAGGTCCATGGTAGAAAAGGAAATATCTTGGTATAAAAACTAGACAGAATGATTCTCAGAAACTCCTTTGTGATGTGTGCGTTCAACTCACAGAGTTTAACCTTTCTTTTCATAGAGCAGTTAGGAAACACTCTGTTTGTAAAGTCTGCAAGTGGATATTCAGACCTCCTTGAGGCCTTCGTTGGAAACGGGATTTCTTCATATTATGTTAGACAGAAGAATTCTCAGTAACTTCCTGGTGTTGTGTGTATTCAACTCACAGAGTTGAACGATCCTTTACACAGAGCAGACTTGAAACACTCTTTTTGTGGAATTTGCAAGTGGAGATTTCAGCCGCTTTGAGGTCAATGGTAGAATAGGAAGTATCTTCCTATAGAAACTAGACACAATGATTCTCAGAAACTCCTTTGTGATGTGTGCATTCAACTCACAGAGTTTAACTTTTCTTTTCATAGAGCAGTTAGGAAACACTCTGTTTGTAAAGTCTGCAAGTGGATATTCAGACCTCTTTGACGCCTTCGTTGGAAACGGGATTTCTTCATATTCTGCTAGACAGAAGAATTCCCAGTAACTTCCTTGTGATGTGTGTGTTCAACTCACAGAGTTGAACTTTCATTTACACAGAGCAGATTTGAAACACTCTTTTTGTGGAATTTGCAAATGGAGATTTCAAGCGCTTTGAGGCCAAAGGCAGAAAAGGAAATATCTTCGTATAAAAACTAGACAGAATCATTCTCAGCAAACTGCTCTGCGATGTGTGCGTTCAACTCTCAGAGTTTAACTTTTCTTTTCATTCAGCAGTTTGGAAACACTCTGTTTGTAAAGTCTGCACGTGGATAATTTCACCACTTAGAGGTCTTCGTTGGAAACGGGTTTTTTTCATGTAAGGATAGACAGAAGAATTCCCAGTAACTTCCTTCTGTTGTGTACATTCAACTCACAGAGTTGAACGTTCCCTTAGACAGAGCAGATTTGAAACACTCTTTTTGTGCAATTGGCAAGTGGAGATTTCAAGCGCTTTAAGGTCAATGGCAGAAAAGGAAATATCTTCGTTTCAAAACTAGACAGAATCATTCCCACAAACTGCGTTGTGATGTGTTCGTTACCTCACAGAGTTTAACCTTTCTTTTCATAGAGTAGTTAGGAAACACTCAGTTTGTAAAGCCTGCAAGTGGATATTCAGACCTCTTTGAGGCCTTCGTTGGAAACGGGATTTCTTCATATTATGCTAGACAGAAGAATTCTCAGTAACTTCCTTGTGTTGTGTGTATTCAACTCATGGAGTTGAACGATCCTTTACACAGAGCAGACTTGTAACACTCTTTTTGTGGAATTTGCAAGTGGAGATTTCAGCCACTTTGAAGTCAAAGGTAGAAAAGGAAATAACTTCCTATAAAAACTAGACAGAATGATTCTCAGAAACTCCTTTGTGATGGGTGCGTTCAACTCACAGAGTTTAACCTTTCTTTTCATAGAGCAGTTAGGAAACACTCTGTTTGTAAAGTCTGCAAGTGGATATTGAGACATCTTTGAGGCCTTCGTTGGAAACAGGATTTCTTCATATTCTGATAGACAGAAGAATTCTCAGTAACTTCCTTGTGTTGTGTGTATTCAACTCACAGAGTTGAACGATCCTTTACACAGAGCAGTCTTGAAACAGTCTTTTTGTGGATTTTGCAAGTGCAGATTTCTGCCGCTTTGAGGTCAATGGTAGAATAGGAAATATCTTCCTATAGAAACTAGACAGAATGATTCTCAGAAACTCCTTTGTGATGTGTGCGTTCAACTCACAGAGTTCAACCTTTCTTTTCATAGAGCAGTTGGGAAACACTCTGTTTGTAAAGTCTGCAAGTGGATTTTCAGACTTCTTTGAGGCCATCGTTGGAAGCGGGATTTCTTCATATTCTGCTAGACAGAAGAATTCTCAGAATCTTCCTTGTGTTGTGTGTATTCAACTCACAGAGTTGAACGATCCTTTACACAGAGCAGACTTGAAACACTCTTTTTGTGGAATTTGCAAGTGGAGATTTCAAGCGCTTTGAGGCCAAAGGCAGAATAGGAAATATCTTCGTATAAAAACTAGACAGAATCATTCTCAGAAACTGCTCTGTGATGTGTGCGTTCAACTCTCAGAGTTTAACTTTTCTTTTCATTCAGCAGTTTGGAAACACTCTGTTTGTAAAGTCTGCACGTGGATATTTTGCCCACTTAGAGGCCTTCGTTGGAAACGGGTTTTTTTCATGTAAGGGTAGACAGAAGAATTCCCAGTAACTTCCTTGTGTTGTGTACATTCAACTCACAGAGTTGAACGTTCCCTTAGACAGAGCAGATTTGAAACACTCTTTTTGTGCAATTGGCAAATGGAGATTTCAAGCGCTTTAAGTTCAATGGCAGAAAAGGAAATATCTTCGTTTCAAAACTAGACAGAATGATTCTGAGAAACTCCTTTGTGATGTGTGCGTTCAACTCACAGAGTTTAACCTTTCTTTTCAAAGAGCAGTTAGGAAACACTCTGTTTGTAAACTCTGCAAGTGGATATTCAGACCTCCTTGAGGCCTTCGTTGGAAACGGGGTTTCTTCCTATTATGCTAGACAGAAGAATTCTCAGTAACTTCCTTGTGTTGTGTGTATTCAACTCAAAGAGTTGAACGATCCTTTACACAGAGCAGAGTAGAAACACTCTTTTTGTGGAATTTGCAAGTGGAGATTTCAGACTCTTTGAGGTCAATGGTAGAATAGGAAATATCTTCCTATAGAAACTAGACAGAATGATTCTCAGAAACTTCTTTGTGATGTGTGCGTTCAACTCACAGAGTTTAACCTTTCTTTTAATAGAGCAGTTAGGAAACACTCTGTTTGTAAACTCTGCAAGTGGATATTCAGACCTCTTTGAGGCCTTCGTTGGAAACGGGATTTCTTCATACTATGCTAGACAGAAGAATTCTCAGTAACTTCCTTGTATTGTGTGTATTCAACTCACAGAGTTGAACGATCCTTTACACAGAGCAGACTTGTAACACACTTTTTGTGGAATTTGCAAGTGGAGATTTCAGCCGCTTTGAAGTCAAAGGTAGAAAAGGAAATATCTTCCTATAAAAACTAGACAGAATGATTCTCATGAACTCCATTGTGATGTGTGCGTTCAACTCACAGAGTTTAACCTTTCTTTTCATAGAGCAGTTAGGAAACACTCTGTTTGTAAAGTCTGCAAGTGGATATTCAGACCTCCTTGAGGCCTTCGTTGGAAAAGGGATTTCTTCATATTCTGCTAGACAGAAGAATTCTCAGTAACTTCCTTGTGTTGTGTGTATTCAACTGACAGAGCTGAACTTTCATTTAGAGAGAGCACATTTGAAACACTGTTTTTGTGGAATTTGCAAGTGGAGATTTCAAACGCTTTGGGGCCAAAGGCAGAAAAGGAAATATCTTCGTATAAAAACTAGACAGAATCATTCTCAGAAACTGCTCTGCGATGTGTGCGTTCAACTCTCAGAGTTTAACTTTTCTTTTCATTCAGCAGTTTGGAAACACTATGTTTGTAAAGTCTGCACGTGGATATTTTGACCACTTAGAGGCCTTCGTTGGAAACGGGTTTTTTTCTTGTAAGGCTAGACAGAAGAATTCCCAGTAACTTCCTTGTGTTGTGTACATTCAACTCACAGAGTTGAACGTTCCCTTAGACAGAGCAGATTTGAAACACTCTTTTTGTGCAATTGGCAAATGGAGATTTCAAGCGCTTTAAGTTCAATGGCAGAAAAGGAAATATCTTCGTTTCAAAACTAGACAGAATCATTCCCACAAACTGCGTTGTGATGTGTTCGTTCAACTCACAGAGTTTAACCTTTCTTTTCATAGAGCAGTTAGGAAACAGTCTGTTTGTCAATTCTGTAAGTGGATATTCTGACATCATGTGGCCTTCGTTGGAAACGGGATTTCTTCATATTCTGCTAGACAGAAGAATTCCCAGTAACTTCCTTGTGTTGTGTGTATTCAACTCACAGAGTTGAACGATCCTTTACACAGAGCAGACTTGTAACACTCTTTTTGTGGAATTTGCAAGTGGAGATTTCAGCCACTTTGAAGTCAAAGGTAGAAAAGGAAATAACTTCCTATAAAAACTAGACAGAAATGATTCTCAGAAACTCCTTTGTGATGTGTGCGTTCAACTCACAGAGTTTAACCTTTCTTTTCATAGAGCAGTTAGGAAACACTGTGTTTGTAAAGTCTGCAAGTGGATATTCAGACCTCTTTGAGGCCTTCGTTGGAAACGGGTTTTTTTCATATAAGGCTAGACAGAAGAATTCTCAGAATCTTCCTTGTGTTGTGTGTATTCAACTCACAGAGTTGAACGATAGTTTACACAGAGCAGATTTGAAACACTCATTTGGTGGAATTTGCAAGTGGAGATTTCAGCCGCTTTGAGGTAAATGGTAGAAAAGGAAATATCTTCGTATAACAACTAGACAGAATGATTCTCAGAAACTCCTTTGTGATGTGTGCGTTCAACTCACAGAGTTTAACCTGTCTTTTCATAGAGCAGTTAGGAAACACTCTGTTTGTAAAGTCTGCAAGTGGATATTCAGACATCCTTGAGGCTTTCGTTGGAAACGGGATTTCTTCATATTCTGCTAGAAAGAAGAATTCCCAGTAACTTCCCTTGTGTTGTGTGTGTTCAACTCACAGAGTTGAACTTTCATTTAGACAGAGCAGATTTGAAACACTCTTTTTGTGGAATTTGCAAATGGAGATTTCAAGCGCTTTGAGGCCAAAGGCAGAAAAGGAAATATCTTCGTATAAAAACTAGACAGAATCATTCTCAGAAACTGCTGCGAGATGTGTGCGTTCAACTCTCAGAGTTTAACTTTTCTTTTCATTCAGCGGTTTGGAAACACTGTGTTTGTAAAGTCTGCACGTGGATATTTTGACCACTTAGAGGCCTTCGTTGGAAACGGGTTTTTTTCATGTAAGGCTAGACAGAAGAATTCTCAGTAACTTCCTTGTGTTGTGTGTATTCAACTCACAGAGTTGAACGATCCTTTACACAGAGCAGACTTGAAACACTCTTTTTGTGGAATTTCCAAGTGGAGATTTCAGCCGCTTTGAGGTCAATGGTAGAAAAGGAAATATCTTCGTATAAAGACTAGACAGAATGATTCTCAGAAACTCCTTTGTGATGTGTGCGTTCAACTCACAGAGTTTAACTTTTCTTTTCATAGAGCAGTTAGGAAACACTCTGTTTGTAAAGTCTGCAAGTGGATATTCAGACCTCTTTGAGGCCTTCGTTGGAAACGAGATTTCTTCATATTCTGCTAGACAGAAGAATTCTCAGTAACTTCCTTGTGTTGTGTGTATTCAACTGACAGAGTTAAACTTTCATTTAGAGAGAGCAGATTTGAAACACTGTTTTTGTGGAATTTGCAAGTGGAGATTTCAAGCGCTTTGTGGCCAAAGGTAGAAAAGGAAATATCTTCGTATAAAAACTAGACAGAATCATTCTCAGAAACTGCTCTGCGATGTGTGCGTTCAACTCTCAGAGTTTAACTTTGCTTTTCATTCAGCAGTTTGGAAACACTCTGTTTGTAAAGTCTGCACGTGGATAACTTGACCACTTAGAGGCCTTCGTTGGAAACGGGTTTTTTTCATGTAAGGCTAGACAGAATAATTCTCAGTAACTTCCTTGTGTTGTGTGTATTCAACTCACAGAGTTGAACGATCCTTTACAGAGAGCAGAATTGAAACACTCTTTTTGTGGAATTTGCAAGTGGAGATTTCAGCCGCTTTGAGGTCAATGGTAGAATAGGAAATATCTTCCTATAGAAAATAGACAGAATGATTCTCATAAACTCCTTTGTGATGTGTGCGTTCAACTCACAGGGTTTAACCTTTCTTTTCATAGAGCAGTTAGGAAACACTCTGTTTGTAAAGTCTGCAAGTGGATATTCAGACCTACTTTGAGGCCTTCGATGGAAACGGGATTTTTTCATATTCTGCTAGACAGAAGAATTCCCAGTAACTTCCTTGTGTTGTGTGTGTTCAACTCACAGAGTTGAACTTTCATTTACACAGAGCAGATTGGAAACATTCTTTTTGTGGAATTTGCAAGTGGAGATTTCAAGCGCTTTGAGGTCAAAGGCAGAAAAGGAAATATCTTCGTATAAAAACTAGACAGAATCATTCTCAGAAACTGCTCTGCGATGTGTGCGTTCAACTCTCAGAGTTTAACTTTTCTTTTCATTCAGCATTTTGGAAACACTCTGTTTGTAAAGTCTGCACGTGGATATTTTGACCACTTAGAGGCCTTCGTTGGAAACGGGTTTCTTTCCTGTAAGGCTAGACAGAAGAATTCGCAGTAACTTCCCTTGTGTTGTGTACATTCAACTCACAGAGTTGAACGTTCCCTTAGACAGAGCAGATTTGAAACAGTCTTTTTGTGCAATTGGCAAGTGGAGATTTCAAGCGCTTTAAGTTCAATGGCAGAAAAGGAAATATCTTCGTTTCAAAACTAGACAGAATCATTCCCACAAACTGCGTTGTGATGTGTTGGTTCATCTCACAGAGTTTAACCTTTCTTTTCATAGAGCAGTTAGGAAACACTCTGTTTGTAAATTCTGTAAGTGGATATTCTGACATCTTGTGGCCTTCGTTGGAAACGGGATTTCTTCAAATTCTGCTAGACAGAAGAAGTCTCAGTAACTTCCTTGTGTTGTGTGTATTCAACTCACAGAGTTGAACGATACTTTACACAGAGCAGACTTGAAACACTCTTTTTGTGGAATTTGCAACTGGAGATTTCAGCCGCTTTGAGGTCAATGGTAGAATAGGAAATATCTTCCTATAGAAACTAGACAGAATGATTCTCAGAAACTCCTTTGTGATGTGTGCGTTCAACTCACAGAGTTTAACTTTTCTTTTCATAGAGCAGTTAGGAAACACTCTGTTTCTAAGGTCTGCAAGTGGATATTCAGACCTCTTTGACGCCTTCGTTGGAAACGGGATTTCTTCATATTCTGCTAGACAGAAGAATTCTCAGTAACTTCCTTGTTTTGTGTGTATTCAACTCACAGAGTTGAACCATCCTTTACACAGAGCAGACTTGAAACACTCTTTTTGTGGAATTTGCAAGTGGAGATTTCAGCCGCTTTGAGCTCAATGGTAGAATAGGAAATATCTTCCTATAGAAACTAGACAGAATGATTCTCATAAACTCCTTTGTGATGTGTGCGTTCAAATCACAGAGTTTAACCTTTCTTTTCATAGAGCAGTTAGTAAATACTCTGTTTATAAAGTCTGCAAGTGGATATTCAGACCCCTTTGAGGCCTTCGTTGGAAACGGGATTTCTTCATATTATGCTAGACAGAAGAATTCCCAGTACCTTCCTTGTGTTGTGTGTGTTCAACTCACAGAGTTGAACTTTCATTTACACAGAGCAGATTTGAAACACTCTTTTTGTGGAATTTGCAGGTGGAGATTTCAAGCGCTTTGAGGCCAAAGGCAGAAAAGGAAATATCTTCGTATAAAAACTAGACAGAATCATTCTCAGAAACTGCTGCGTGATGTGTGCGTTCAACTCTCAGAGTTTAACTTTTCTTTTCATTCAGCGGTTTGGAAACACTCTGTTTGTAAAGTCTGCACGTGGACATTTTGACCACTTAGAGGCCTTCGTTGGAAACGGGTTTTTTTCATGTATGGCTAGACAGAAGAATTCCCAGTAACTTCCTTGTGTTGTGTACATTCAACTCACAGAGTTGAACGTTCCCTTAGACAGAGCAGATTTGAAACACTCTTTTTGTGCAATTGGCAAGTGGTGATTTCAGCCGCTTTGAGGTCAATGGTAGAAAAGGAAATATCTTCGTATAAAAACTAGACAGAATGATTCTCAGAAACTTCATTGTGACGTGTGCGTTCAACTCACAGAGTTTAACCTTTCTTTTCATAGAGCAGTTAGGAAACACTCTGTTTGTAAAGTCTGCAAGTGGATATTCGGACCTCTTTGAGGTCTTCGTTGGAAACGGGATTTCTTCATACTGTGCTAGACAGAAGAATTCTCAGTAACTTCCTTGTGTTGTGTGTATTGAACTCGCAGAGTTGTACGATCCTTTACACAGAGCAGACTTGAAACACTCTTTTTGTGGAATTTGCAAGTGGAGATTTCAGCCGCTTTGAGGTCAATAGTAGAAAAGGAAATATCTTCGTAGAAAAACTAGACAGAATGATTCTCAGAAACTCCTTTGTGATGTGTGTGTTCAACTCACAGAGTTTAACCTTTCTTTTCATGGAGCAGTTAGGAAACACTCTGTTTGTAAAGTCTGCAAGAGGATATTCAGACCTCTTTGAAGCCTTCGTTGGAAACGGGTTTTTTTCATATAAGGCTAGACAGAAGAATTCTCAGTAACTTCCTTGTGTTGTGTGTATTCAACTCACAGAGTTGAACGATCCTTTACAGAGAGCAGACTTGAAACACTCTTTTTGTGGAATTTGCAAGGGGAGATTTCAGCCGCTTTGAGGTCAATAGTAGAAAAGGAAATATCTTCGTATAAAGACTAGACAGAATCATTCTCAGAAAATGCTCTGTGATGTGTGCGTTCAACTCTCAGAGTTTAACTTTTCTTTTCATTCAGCACTTTGGAAACACTCTGTTTGTAAAGTCTGCACGAGGATATTTTGACCACTTAGAGGTCTTTGTTGGAAACGGGTTTTTTTCACGTAAGGCTAGACAGAAGAATTCCCAGTAACTTTCCTTGTGTTGTGTACATTCAACTCACAGAGTTGAACGTTCCCTTAGACAGAGCAGATTTGAAACACTCTTTTTGTGCAATTGGCAAGTGGAGATTTCAAGGGCTTTAAGGTCAATGGCAGAAAAGGAAATATCTTCGTTTCAAAACTAGACAGAATCATTCCCACAAACTGCGTTGTGATGTGTTCGTTCAACTCACAGAGTTTAACCTTTCTGTTCATAGAGCAGTTAGGAAACACTCTGTTTGTAAAGTCTGCAAGTGGATATTCAGACTTCCTTGAGGCCTTCGTTGGAAACGGGATTTCTTCATATTCTGCTAGACAGAAGAATTCTCAGGAACTTCCTTGTGTTGTGTGTATTCAACTCACAGAGTTGAACGATCCTTTACACAGAGCAGACTTGAAACACTCTTTTTGTGGAATTTGCAAGTGGAGATTTCAGCCGCTTTGAGGTCAATGGTAGAAAAGGAAATATCTTCCTATAGAAACTAGACAGAATGATTCTCAGCAAACTTCTTTGTGATGTGTGCGTTCAACTCACAGAGTTTAACCTTTCTTTTCATAGAGCAGTTAGGAAACACTCTGTTTGTAAACTCTGCAAGTGGATATTCAGACCTCTTTGAGGCCTTCGTTGGAAACGGGATTTCTTCATACTATGCTAGACAGAAGAATTCTCAGTAACTCCCTTGTGTTGTGTGTATTCAACTCACAGAGTTGAACGATCCTTTACACAGAGCAGACTTGAAACACTCTTTTTGTGGAATTTGCAAGTGGAGATTTCAGCCGCTTTGAGTTCAATGGTAGAATAGGAAATATCTTCCTATAGAAACTAGACAGAATGATTCTCAGAAACTCCTTTGTGATGTGTGCGTTCAACTCACAGAGGTTAACCTTTCTTTTCATAGAGCAGTTAGGAAACACTCTGTTTGTAAAGTCTGCAAGTGGATATGCAGACCTCCTTGAGGCCTTTGTTGGAACGGGATTTCTTCATATTATGCTATACAGAAGAATTCTCAGAAACTTCCTTGTGTTGTGTGTATTCAACTCACAGAGTTGAACGATCCTTTACACAGAGCATTCTTGAAACACTCTTCTTGTGGAATTTGCAAGTGGAGATTTCAGCCGCTTTGAGGTCAATGGTAGAATAGGAAATATCTTCCTATAGAAACTAGACAGAATCATTCTCAGAAACTGCTCTGTGATGTGTGCGTTCAACTCTCAGAGTTTAACTTTTCTTTTCATTCAGCAGTTTGGAAACACTCTGTTCGTAAAGTCTGCACGTGGATAATTTGACCACTTAGAGGCCTTCGTTGGAAACGGGTTTTTTTCATGTAAGGCTAGACAGAAGAATTCCCAGTAACTTCCTTGTGTTGTGTACATTCAACTCACAGAGTTGAACGTTCCCTTAGACAGAGCAGATTTGAAACACTCTTTTTGTGCAATTGGCAAGTGGAGATTTCAAGAGCTTTAAGGTCAATGGCAGAAAAGGAAATATCTTCGTTTCAAAACTAGACAGAATGATTCTCAGAAACTCCTTTGTGATGTGTGCGTTCAACTCACAGAGTTTAACCTTTCTGTTCATAGAGCAGTTAGGAAACACTCTGTTTGTAAAGTCTGTAAGTGGATATTCTGACATCTTGTGGCCTTCGTTCGAAACGGGATTTCTTCATATTCTGCTAGACAGAAGAATTCTCAGTAACTTCCTTGTGTTGTGTGTGTTCAACTCACAGAGTTGAACGATCCTTTACACAGAGCAGACTTGTCACACTCTTTTTGTGGAATTTGCAAGTGGAGATTTCAGCCGCTTTGAAGTCAAAGGTAGAAAAGGAAATATCTTCCTATAAAAACTAGACAGAATGATTCTCAGAAACTCCTTTGTGATGTCTGCGTTCAACTCACAGAGTTTAACCTTTCTTTTCATAGAGAAGTTAGGAAACACTCTGTTTGTAAAGTCTGCAAGTGGATATTCAGACCTCTTTGAGGCCTTCGTTGGAAACGGGTTTTTTTCATATAAGGCTAGACAGAAGAATTCTCAGAAACTTCCTTGTGTTGTGTGTATTCAACTCACAGAGTTGAACGATCATTTACACAGAGCAGACTTGAAACACACTTTTTTTGGTATTTTCAATGGGAGATTTCAGCCGCTTTTAGGTCAATGGTAGAAAAGGAAATATCTTCGTATAAAGACTAGACAGAATGATTCTCAGAAACTCCTTTGTGATGTGTGCGTTCAACTCACAGAGTTTAACCTTTCTTTTCATAGAGCAGTTAGGAAACGCTCTGTTTGTAAAGTCTGCAAGGGGATATTCAGACCTCTCTGAGGCCTTCGTTGGAAATGGGATTTCTTCATATTATGCTAGACAGAAGAATTCTCAGTAACTTCCTTGTGTTGTGTGTATTCAACTGACAGAGTTGAACTTTCATTTAGAGAGAGCAGATTTGAAACACTGTTTTTGTGGAATTTGCAAGTGGAGATTTCAAGCGCTTTGGGGCCAAAGCCAGAAAAGGAAATATCTTCGTATAAAAACTAGACAGAATCATTCTCAGAAACTGCTCTGCGATGTGTGCGTTCAACTCTCAGAGTTTAACTATTCTTTTCATTCAGCAGTTTGGAAACAATCTGTTTGTAAAGTCTGCACGTGGATAACTTGACCACTTAGAGGCCTTCGTTGGAAACGGGTTTTTTTCATGTAAGGCTAGACAGAAGAATTCTCAGAAACTTCCTTGTGTTGTGTGTTTTCAACTCACAGAGTTCAACGATCCTTTACACAGAGTAGACTTGAAACACTGTTTTTGTGGAATTGGCAAGTGGAGATTTCAGCCGCTTTGAGGTCAATGGTAGAATAGGAAATATCTTCGTATAAAAACTAGACAGAGAATGATTCTCAGAAACTCCTTTGTGATGTGTGTGTTCATCTCACAGAGTTTAACCTTTCTTTTCATAGAGCAGTTAGTAAACACTCTGTTTATAAAGTCTGCAAGTGGATATTCAGACCCCTTTGAGGCCTTCGTTGGAAACGGGATTTCTTCATATTATGCTAGACAGAAGAATTCCCAGTAACTTCCTTGTGTTGTGTGTGTTCAACTCACAGAGTTGAACTTTCATTTACACAGAGCAGATTTGAAACACTCTTTTTGTGGAATTTGCAAGTGGAGATTTCAAGCGCTTTGAGGCCAAGGGCAGAAAAGGAAATATCTTCGTATAAAAACTAGACAGAATCATTCTCAGAAACTGCTCTGCGATGTGTGCGTTCAACTCTCAGAGTTTAACTTTTCTTTTCATTCAGCAGTTTGGAAACACTCTGTTTGTAAAGTCTGCACGTGCATAATTTGACCACTTAGAGGCCTTCGTTGGAAACGGGTTTTTTTCATGTAAGGCTAGACAGAAGAATTCTCAGTAACATCCTTGTGTTGTGTGTATTCAACTCACAGAGTTGAACGATCCTTTACACAGAGCAGACTTGAAACACTCTTTTTGTGGAATTTGCAAGTAGAGATTTCAGCCGCTTTGAGGTCAATGGTAGAATAGGAAATATCTTCCTATAGAAACTAGACAGAGTGATTCTCAGAAACTCCTTTGGGATGTCTGCGTTCAACTCACAGAGTTTAACCTTTCTTTTCATAGAGCAGTTAGGAAACACTCTGTTTGAAAAGTCTGCAAGTGGATATTCAGACCTCCTTGAGGCCTTCGTTGGAAACGGGATTTCTTCATATTCTGCTATACAGAAGAATTCTCAGCAACTTCCTTGTGTTGTGTGTATTCAACTCACAGAGTTGAACGATCGTTTACACAGAGCAGACTTGAGACACTCTTTTTGTGGAATTTGCAAGTGGAGATTTCAGCCTCTTTGAGGTCAATGGTAGAAAAGGAAATATCTTCATGTAAAAACTAGACAGAATCATTCTCAGAAACTGCTGCGTGATGTGTGCGTTCAACTCTCAGAGTTTAACTTTTCTTTTCATTCAGCGGTTTGGAAACACTCTGTTTGTAAAGTCTGCACGTGGATATTTTGACCACTTAGAGGCCTTCGTTGGAAACGGATTTTTTTCATGTAAGGCTAGACAGAAGAATTCCCAGTAACTTCCTTGTGTTGTGTACATTCAACTCACAGAGTTGAACGTTCCCTTAGACAGAGCAGATTTGAAACACTCTTTTTGTGCAATTGGCAAACGGAGATTTCAAGCGCTTTAAGTTCAATGGCAGAAAAGGAAATATCTTCGTTTCAAAACTAGACAGAATCATTCCCACAAACTGCGTTGTGATGTGTTCGTTCAACTCACAGAGTTTAACCTTTCTTTTCATATAGCAGTTAGGAAACACTCTGTTTGTAAAGTCTGCAAGTGGATATTCAGACCTCTTTGAGGCCCTCGTTGGAAACGGGATTTCTTCATATTATGCTAGACAGAAGAATTCTCAGTAACTTCCTTGTGTTGTGTGTATTCAACTCACGGAGTTGAACGATCCTTTACACAGAGCAGACTTGTAACACTCTTTTTGTGGAATTTGCAAGTGGAGATTTCAGCCGCTTTGACGTCAATGGTAGAAAAGGAAATACCTTCGAATAAAAACTAGACAGAATGATTCTCAGAAACTCCTTTGTGATGTGCGCGTTCAACTCACAGAGTTTAACCTTTCTTTTCATAGAGCAGTTAGGAAACACTCTGTTTGTAAAGTCTGCAAGTGGATATTCAGACATCCTTGAGGCTTTCGTTGGAAACGGGATTTCTTCATATTCTGCTAGAAAGAAGAATTCTCAGTAACTTCCTTGTGTTGTGTGTATTCAACTCACAGAGTTGAACGATCCTTTACACAGAGCAGACTTGAAACACTCTTTTTGTGGAATTTGCAAGTGGAGATTTCAAGCGCTTTGAAGCCAAAGGCAGAAAAGGAAATATCTTCGTATAAAAACTAGACAGAATGATTCTCAGAAACTCCTTTGTGATGTGTGCGTTCAAGTCACAGAGTTTAACCTTTCTTTTCATAGAGCAGTTAGGAAACACTCTGTTTGTAAAGTCTGCAAGTGGATATTCAGACCTCTTTGAGGCCTTCGTTGGAAACGGGATTTCTTCATATTCTGCTAGACAAAAGAATTTCTCAGTAACTTCCCTTGTGTTGTGTGTATTCAACTGACAGAGTTGAACTTTCATTTAGAGAGAGCAGATTTGAAACACTGTTTTTGTGGAATTTGCAAATGGAGATTTCAAGCGCTTTGGGGCCAAAGGCAGAAAAGGAAATATCTTCGTATAAAAACTAGACAGAATCATTCTCAGAAACTGCTGCGTGATGTGTGCGTTCAACTCTCAGAGTTTAACTTTTCTTTTCATTCAGCGGTTTGGAAACACTCTCTTTGTAAAGTCTGCACGTGGATATTTTGACCACTTAGAGGCCTTCGTTGGAAACGGGTTTTCTTCATGTAAGGCTAGACAGAAGAATTCCCAGTAACTTCCTTGTGTTTTGTACATTCAACCCACAGAGTTGAACGTTTCCTTAGACAGAGCAGATTTGAAACACTCTTTTTGTGCAATTGGCAATTGGTGATTTCAGCCGCTTTCAGGTCAAAGGTAGAAAAGGAAATATCTTCCTATAAAAACTAGACAGAATCATTCCCACAAACTGCGTTGTGATGTGTTCGTTCAAATCACAGAGTTTAACCTTTCTGTTCATAGAGCAGTTAGGAAACACTCTGTTTGTAAAGTCTGCAAGTAGATATTGAGACCTCCTAGAGGCCTTCGTTGGAAACGGGATTTCTTCATATTCTGCTAGACAGAAGAATTCTCAGTAACTCCTTTGTGTTGTGTATATTCAACTCACAGAGTTGAACGATCCTTTACACAGAGCAGACTTGAAACACTCTTTTTGTGGAATTTGCAAGTGGAGATTTCAGCCTCTTTGAGGTCAATGGTAGAATAGGAAATATCTTCCTATAGAAACTAGACAGAATGATTCTCAGAAACTCCTTTGTGATGTGTGCGTTCAACTCACAGAGTTTAACCTTTCTTTTCATAGAGCAGTTAGGAAACACTCTGTTTGTAAAGTCTGCAAGTGGATATTCAGACCTCCTTGAGGCCTTCTTTGGAGACGGGATTTCTTCATATTATGCTAGACAGAAGAATTCCCAGTAACTTCCTTGTGTTGTGTGTGTTCAACTCACAGAGTTGAACTTTGATTTACACAGAGCAGATTTGAAACACTCTTTTTGTGGAATTTGCAAGTGGAGATTTCAAGCGCTTTGAGGCCAAAGGCAGAAAAGGAAATATCTTCGTATAAAAACTAGACAGCATCATTCTCAGAAACTGCTCTGCGATGTGTGCGTTCAACTCTCAGAGTTTAACTTTTCTTTTCATTCAGCAGTTTGGAAACCCTCTGTTTGTAAAGTCTGCACGTGGATATTTTGACCATTTAGAGGCTTTCGTTGGAAACGGGTTTTTTTCTTGTAAGGCTAGACAGAAGAATTCCCAGTAACTTCCCTTGTGTTGTGTGCATTCAACTCACAGAGTTGAACGTTCCCTTAGACAGAGCAGATTTGAAACACTCTATTTGTGCAATTTGCAAGTGTAGATTTCAAGCGCTTTAAGGTCAATGGCAGAAAAGGAAATATCTTCGTTTGAAAACTAGACAGAATGATTCCCACAAACTGCGTTGTGATGTGTTCGTTCAACTCACAGTAGTTTAACCTTTCTGTTCATAGAGCAGTTAGGAAACACTCTGTTTGTAAAGTCTGTAAGTGGATATTCTGACATCTTGTGGCCTTCGTTGGGAACGGGATTTCTTCATATTCTGCTAGACAGAAGAATTCTCAGTAACTTCCTTGTGTTGTGTGTATTCAACTCACACAGTTGAACGATCCTTTACACATAGCAGACTTGTAACACTCTTTTTGTGGAATTTGCAAGTGGAGATTCCTGCCGCTTTGAAGTCAAATGTAGAAAAGGAAATATCTTCCTATAAAAACTAGACAGAATGATTCTCAGAAACTCCTTTGTGATGTGTGCGTTCAACTCACAGAGTTTAACCTTACTTTTCATAGAGCAGTTAGGAAACACTCTGTTTGTAAAGTCTGCAAGTGGATATACAGACATCTTTGAGGCCTTCGTTGGAAACGGGATTTCTTCATGTTCTGCTAGACAGAAGAATTCTCAGTAACTTCCGCGTGTTGTGTGTATTGAACTCACAGAGTTGAACGATCCTTTACACAGAGCAGAGTTGAAACACTCTTTTTGTGGAATTTGCAAGTGGAGATTTCAGCCGCTTTGAGGTCAATGGTAGAAAAGGAAATATCTTCCTATAAAAACTAGACAGAATGATTCTCAGAAACTCCTTTGTGATGTGTGCGTTCAACTCACAGAGTTCAAACTTTCTTTTCATAGAGCAGTTGGGAAACACTCTGTTTGTAAAGTCTGCAAGTGGATATTCAGACTTCTTTGAGGACTTCGTTGGAAGCGGGATTTCTTCGTATTCTGCTAGACAGAAAAATTCCCAGTAACTTCCTTGTGTTGTGAGTGTTCAACTCACAGAGTTGAACTTTCATTTACACAGAGCAGATTTGAAACACTCTTTTTGTGGAATTTGCAAGTGGAGATTTCAAGCGCTTTGAGGCCAAAGGCAGAAAAGGAAATATCTTCTTATAAAAACTAGACAGAATCATTCTCAGAAACTGTGGCGTGATGTGTGCGTTCAACTCTCAGAGTTTAACTTTTCTTTTCATTCAGCGGTTTGGAAACACTCTGTTTGTAAAGTCTGCACGTGGATATTTTGACCACTTAGAGGCCTTCGTTGGAAACGGGGTTTTTTCATATTCTGCTAGACAGAAGAATTCCCAGTAACTTCCTTGTGTTGTGTACATTCAACTCACAGAGTTGAACGTTCCCTTAGACAGAGCAGATTTGAAACACTCTTTTTGTGCAATTGGCAAATGGAGATTTCAAGCGCTTTAAGGTCAATGGCAGGAAAGGAAATATCTTCGTTTCAAAACTAGACAGAATCATTCCCACAAACTGCGTTGTTATGTGTTCGTTCAACTCACAGTAGTTTAACCTTTCTTTTCATAGAGCAGTTAGGAAACAGTCTGTTTGTAAATTCTGTAAGTGGATATTCTGACATCTTGTGGCCTTCGTTGGAAACGGGATTTCTTCATATTCTGCTAGACAGAAGAATTCTCAGTAAATTCCTGGTGTTGTGTGTATTCAACTCACAGAGTTGAACGATCCTTTACACAGAGCAGACTTGAAACACTCTTTTTGTGGAATTTGCAAGTGGAGATTTCAGCCGCTTTGAGGTCAATTGTAGAAAAGGAAATATCTTCGTATAGAAACTAGACAGAATGATTCTCAGAAACTTCTTTGTGATGTGTGCGTTCAACTCACAGAGTTTAACCTTTCTTTTCATACAGCAGTTAGGAAACACTCTGTTTGTAAACTCTGCAAGTGGATATTCAGACCTCTTTGAGGCCTTCGTTGGAAACGGGATTTCTTCATACTATGCTAGACAGAAGAATTCTCAGTAACTTCCTTGTGTTGTGTGTATTCAACTCACAGAGTTGAACGATGATTTACACAGAGCAGACTTGAAACACTCTTTTTGTGGAATTTGCAACTGGAGATTTCAGCCGCTGTGTGGTCAATGGTAGAATAGGAAATATCTTCCTATAGAAACTAGACAGAATGATTCTCAGAAACTGCTTTGTGCTCTGTGCGTTCAACTCACAGAGTTTAACCTTTCTTTTCATAGAGCAGTTAGGAAACACTCTGTTTGTAAAGTCTGCAAGTGGATATTCTGACCTCTTTGGGGCCTTCGTTGGAAAAGGGATTTCTTCATATTATGCTAGACAGAAGAATTCCCAGTAACTTCCTTGTGTTGTGTGTGTTCAACTCACAGAGTTGAACTTTCATTTACACAGAGCAGATTTGAAACACTCTTTTTTTGGAATTTGCAAGTGGAGATTTCAAGCGCTGTGAGGCCAAAGGCAGAAAAGGAAATATCTTCGTATAAAAACTAGACAGAATCATTCTCAGAAACTACTCTGCGATGTGTGCGTTCAACTCTCAGAGTTTAACTTTTCTTTTCATTCAGCAGTTTGGAAACACTCTGTTTGTAAAGTCTGCACGTGGATATTTTGACCACTTAGAGGCCTTCGTTGGAAACGGGTTTTTTTCCTGTAAGGCTAGACAGAAGAATTCCCAGTAACTTCCTTGTGTTGTGTACATTCAACTCACAGAGTTGAACGTTCCCTTAGACAGAGCAGATTTGAAACACTCTTTTTGTGCAATTGGCAAATGGAGATTTCAAGCGCTTTAAGGTCAATGGCAGGAAAGGAAATATCTTCGTTTCAAAACTAGACAGAATCATTCCCACAAACTGCGTTGTGATGTGTTCGTTCAACTCACAGAGTTTAACCTTTCTGTTCATAGAGCAGTTAGGAAACACTCTGTTTGCAAAGTCTGCAAGTGGATATTCAGACCTCCTTGAGGCCTTCGTTGGAAACGGGATTTCTTCATATTCTGCTAGACAGAAGAATTCTCAGAATCTTCCTTGTGTTGTGTGTATTCAACTCACAGAGTTGAACGATGGTTTACACAGAGCAGATTTGAAACACTCTATTTGTGGAATTTGCAAGTGGAGATTTCAGCCGCTTTGAGGTCCATGGTAGAAAAGGTAATATCTTCGTATAAAAACTAGACAGAATGATTCTCAGAAACTCCCTTGTGATGTGTGCGTTCAACTCACAGAGTTTAACCTTTCTTTTCATAGAGCAGTTAGGAAACACTCTGTTTGTAAAGTCTGCAAGTGGATATTCAGACCTCCTTGAGGCCTTCGTTGGAAACGGGATTTCTTCATATGATGCTAGACAGAAGAATTCTCAGTAACTTCCTTGTGTTGTGTGTATTCAACTCACAGAGTTGAACGATCCTTTACACAGAGCAGACTTGAAACACTCTATTTGTGGAATTTGCAAGTGGAGATTTCAGCCGCTTTGAGGTCAATGGTAGTATAGGAAATATCTTCCTATAGAAACTAGACAGAATGATTCTCAGAAACTCCTTTGTGATGTGTGCAGTTCAACTCACAGAGTTTAACCTTTCTTTTCATAGAGCAGTTAGGAAACACTCTGTTTGTAAAGTCTGCAAGTGGATATTCAGACCTCCTTGAGGCCTTCGTTGGAAACGGGATTTCTTCCTATTATGCTAGACAGAAGAATTCCCAGTAACTTCCTTGTGTTATGTGTGTTCAACTCACAGAGTTGAACTTTCATTTACACAGAGCAGATTTGAAACACTCTTTTTGTGGAATTTGCAAGTGGAGATTTCAAGCGCTTTGAGGCCAAAGGCAGAAAAGGAAATATCTTCGTATAAAAACTAGACAGAATCATTCTCAGAAACTGCTCTGCGATGTGTGCGTTCAACTCTCAGAGTTTAACTTTTCTTTTCATTCAGAAGTTTGGAAACACTCTGTTTGTAAAGACTGCACGTGGATAACTTGACCACTTAGAGGCCTTCGTTGGAAACGGGTTTTTTTCATATAAGGCTAGACAGAAGTATTCCCAGTAACTTCCTTGTGTTGTGTGCATTCAACTCACAGAGATGAACGTTCCCTTAGACAGAGCAGATTTGAAACACTCTATTTGTGCAATTTGCAAGTGTAGATTTCAAGCGCTTTAAGGTCAATGGCAGAAAAGGAAATATCTTCGTTTCAAAACTAGACAGAATCATTCCCACAAACTGCGTTGTGATGTGTTCGTTCAACTCACAGAGTTTAACCTTTCCGTTCATAGAGCAGTTAGGAAACACTCTGTTTGTAAAGTCTGTAAGTGGATATTCTGACATCTTCTGGCCTTCGTTGGAAACGGGATTTCTTCATATTCTGCTAGACAGAAGAATTCTCAGAATCTTCCTTGTGTTGTGTGTATTCAACTCACAGAGTTGAACGATGGTTTACACACAGCAGATTTGAAACACTCTTTTTGTGGAATTTGCAAGTGGAGATTTCAGCCTCTTTGAGGTCAATGGTAGAAAAGGAAATATCTTCGTATAAAAACTAGACAGAATGATTCTCAGAAACTTCTTTGTGATGTGTGCGTTCAACTCACAGAGTTTAACCTTTCTTTTCATAGAGCAGTTAGGAAACACTCTGTTTGTAAAGTCTGCAAGTGGATATTCAGACCTCTTTGAGGCCTTCGTTGGAAACGGGATTTCTTCATGCTATGCTAGACAGAAGAATTCTCAGTAACTTCCTTGTGTTGTGTGTATTCAACTCACAGAGTTGAACGATCCTTTACACGGAGCATACTTGAAACACTCTTGTTGTGGAATTTGCAAGTGGAGATTTCAGCCTCTTTGAGGTCAATGGTAGAATAGGAAATATCTTCCTATAGAAACTAGACAGAATGATTCTCAGAAACTCCTTTGTGATGTGTGCGTTCAACTCACAGAGTTTAACTTTTCTTTTCATAGAGCAGTTAGGAAACACTCTGTTTGTAAGGTCTGCAAGTGGATATTCAGACCTCTTTGAGGCCTTCGTTGGAAACGGGATTTCTTCATATTATGCTAGACAGAAGAATTCTCAGTAACTTCCTTGTGTTGTGTGTATTCAACTGACAGAGTTGAACTTTCATTTAGAGAGAGCAGATTTGAAACACTGTTTTTGTGGAATTTGCAAGTGGAGATTTCAAGCGCTTTGGGGCCAAAGGCTGAAAAGGGAATATCTTCGTATAAAAACTAGACAGAATCATTCTCAGAAACTGCTGCGTGATGTGTGCGTTCAACTCTCAGAGTTTAACTTTTCTTTTCATTCAGCGGTTTGGAAACACTCTGTTTGTAAAGTCTGCACGTGGATATTTTGACCACTTAGAGGCCTTCGTTGGAAACGGGTTTTTTTCATGTAAGGCTAGAGAGAAGAATTCCCAGTAACTTCCCTTGTGTTGTGTACATTCAACTCACAGAGTTGAACGTTTCCTTAGACACAGCAGATTTGAAACACTCTTTTTGTGCAATTGGCAAGTGGTGATTTCAGCCGCTTTGAGGTCAATGGTATAAAAGGAAATATCTTCATATAAAAACTAGACAGAATCATTCCCACAAACTGCGTTGTGATGTGTTTGTTCAACTCACAGAGTTTAACCTTTCTTTTCATAGAGCAGTTAGGAAACAGTCTGTTTGTCAATTCTGTAAGTGGATATTCTGACATCTTGTGGCCTTCGTTGGAAACGGGATTTCTTCATATTCTGCTAGACAGAAGAATTCTCAGTAACTTCCTTGTGTTGTGTGTATTCAACTCACAGAATTGAACGATCCTTTACACAGAGCAGACTTGAAAAACTCTTTTTGTGGAATTTGCAAGTGGAGATTTCAGCCGCTTTGAGGTCAATGGTAGAATAGGAAATATCTTCCTATAGAAACTAGACAGAATCATTCCCACAAACTGCGTTGTGATGTGTTCGTTCAACTCACAGAGTTTAACCTTTCTGTTCATAGAGCAGTTAGGAAACACTCTCTTTGTAAAGTCCGTAAGTGGATATTCTGACATCTTCTGGCCTTCGTTGGAAACGGGATTTCTTCATATTCCGCTAGACAGAAGAATTCTCAGTAACTTCCTTGTGTTGTGTGTATTCAACTCACAGAGTTGAACGATCCTTTACACAGAGCATAGTTGAAACACTCTTTTTGTGGAATTTGCAAGTGGAGATTTCAGCCGCTTTGAGGTCAATGGTAGAAAAGGAAATATCTTCGTATAAAGACTAGACAGAATGATTCTCAGAAACCCCTTTGTGATGTGTACGTTCAACTCACAGAGTTTAACCTTTCTTTTCATAGAGCAGTTAGGAAACACTCTGTTTGTAAAGTCTGCAAGTGGATATTCAGACCTCTTTGAGGCCTTCGTTGGAAACGGGATTTCTTCATATTCTGCTAGACAGAGAATTCCCAGTAACTTCCTTGTGTTGTGTGTGTTCAACTCACAGAGTTGAACTTTCATTTACACAGAGCAGATTTGAAACACTCTTTTTGTGGAATTTGCAGGTGGAGATTTCAAGCGCTTTGGGGCCAAAGGCAGAAAAGGAAATATCTTCGTATAAAAACTAGACAGAATCATTCTCAGAAACTACTCTGTGATGTGTGCGTTCAACTCTCAGAGTTTAACTTTTCTTTTCATTCAGCAGTTTGGAAACACTCTGTTTGTAAAGTCTGCACGTGGATATTTTGACCACTTAGAGGCCTTCGTTGGAAACGGGTTTTTTTCATTTAAGGCTAGACAGAAGAATTCCCAGTAACTTCCTTGTGTTGTGTATATTCAACTCACAGAGTTGAACGATCCCTTAGACAGAGCAGATTTGAAACACTCTTTTTGTGCAATTGGCAAGTGGAGACTTCAAGCGCTTTAAGGTCAATGGCAGAAAAGGAAATATCTTCGTTTCAAAACTAGACAGAATCATTCCCAAAAACTGCGTTGTGATGTGTTCGTTCATCTCAGAGAGTTTAACCTTTCTTTTCATAGAGCAGTTAGGAAACAGTCTGTTTGTAAATTCTGTAAGTGGATATTCTGACATCTTGTGGCCTTCGTTGGAAACGGGATTTCTTCATATTCTGCTAGACAGAAAGGAATTCTCAGTAACTTCCTTGTGTTGTGTTTATTCAACTCACAGAGTTGAATGATCCTTTACACAGAGCAGACTTGAAACACTCTTTTTGTGGAATTTGCAAGTGGAGATTTCAGCCGCTTTGAGGTCAATGGTAGAAAAGTAAATATCTTCGTATAAAGACTAGACAGAATGATTCTCAGAAACTCCTTTGTGATGTGTGCGTTCAACTCACAGAGTTTAACCTTTCTTTTCATAGAGCAGTTAGGAAACACTCTGTTTGTAAAGTCTGCAAGTGGATATTCAGACCTCTTTGAGGCTTTCCTTGGAAACGGGAGTTCTTCATATTCTGCTAGACAGAAGAATTCTCAGTAACTTCCTTGTGTTGTGTGTATTCAACTCACAGAGTTGAACGATCCTTTACACAGAGCAGACTTGAAACACTGTTTTTGTGGAATTTGCAAGTGGAGATTTCGGCCGCGTTGAGGTCAAAGGTAGAAAAGGGAATATCTTCGTAAAGAAACTAGACAGAATGATTCTCAGAAACTCCTTTGAGATGTGTGTGTTCAACTCACAGAGTTTAACCTTTCTTTTCATAGAGCAGTTAGGAATCACTCTGTTTGTAAAGTCTGCAGGTGGATATTCAGACCTCTTTGAGGCCTTCGTTGGAAACGGGTTTTTTTCATATAAGGCTAGACAGAAGAATTCTCAGTAACTTCCTTGTGTTGTGTGTATTCAACTGACAGAGTTGAACTTTCATTTAGAGAGAGCAGATTTGAAACACTGTTTTTGTGGAATTTGCAAGTGGAGATTTCAAGCGCTTTGGGGCCAAAGGCAGAAAAGGAAATATCTTCGTATAAAAACGAGACAGAATCATTCTCAGAAACTGCTCTGCGATGTGTGCGTTCAACTCTCAGTAGTTTAACTTTTCTTTTCATTCAGCAGTTTGGAAACACTCTGTTTGCAAAGTCTGCACGTGGATATTTTGACCACTTAGAGGCCTTCGTTGGAAACGGGTTTTTTTCATGTAAGGCTAGACAGAAGAATTCTCAGTAACTTCCTTGTGTTGTGTGTATTCAACTCACAGAGTTGAACGATCCTTTACACAGAGCCTACTTGAAACACTGTTTTTGTGGAATTTGCAAGTGGAGATTTCAGCCGCTTTGAGGTCAATGGTAGAAAAGGAAATATCTTCCTATAGAAACTAGACAGAATGATTCTCAGAAACTCCTTTGTGATGTGTGCGTTCAACTCACGGAGTTTAACCTTTCTTTTCATAGAGCAGTTAGGAAACACTCTGTTTGTAAAGTCTGCAAGTGGATATTCAGACCTCTTTGAGGCCTTCGTTGGAAACGGGATTTCTTCATATTCTGATAGACAGAAGAATTCCCAGTAACTTCCTTGTGTTGTGTGTGTTCAACTCACAGAGTTGAACTTTGATTTACACAGAGTAGATTTGAAACACTCTTTTTGTGGAATTTGCAAGTGGAGATTTCAAGCGCTTTGAGGCCAAAGGCAGAAAAGGAAATATCTTCGTATAAAAACTAGACAGAATCATTCTCAGAAACTGCTGCGTGATGTGTGCGTTCAACTCTCACAGTTTAACTTTTCTTTTCATTCAGCGGTTTGGAAACACTCTGTTTGTAAAGTCTGCACGTGGATATTTTGACCACTTAGAGGCCTTCGTTAGAAACTGGTTTTTTTCATGTAAGGCTAGACAGAAGAATTCCCAGTAACTTCCTTGTGTTGTGTGCATTCAACTCACAGAGATGAACGTTCGCTTGGACAGAGCAGATTTGAAACACTCTATTTGTGCAATTTGCAAGTGTAGATTTCAAGGGCTTTAAGGTCAATGGCAGAAAAGGAAATATCTTCGTTCCAAAACTAGACAGAATCATTCCCACTAACTGCGTTGTGATGTGTTCGTTCATCTCACAGAGTTTAACCTTTCTTTTCGTAGAGCAGTTAGGAAACAGTCTGTTTGTAAATTCTGTAAGTGGATATTCTGACATCTTGTGGCCTTCGTTGGAAACGGGATTTCTTCATATTCTGCTAGACAGAAGAATTCTCAGTAACTTCATTGTGTTGTGTGTATTCAACTCACAGACTTCAACGATCCTTTACACAGAGCAGACTTGAAACACTCTTTTTCTGGAATTTGCAAGTGGAGATTTCAGCCGCTTTGAGGTCAATGGTAGAATAGGAAATATCTTCCTATAGAAACTAGACAGAATGATTCTCAGAAACTCCTTTGTGATGTGTGCGTTCAACTCACAGAGTTCAACCTTTCTTTTCATAGAGCAGTTGGAAAACACTCTGTTTGTAAAGTCTGCAAGTGGATATTCAAACTTCTTTGAGGCCTTCGTTGGAAGCGGGATATCTTCATATTCTGCTAGACAGAAGAATTCTCAGTAACTTCCTTGTGTTTTGTGTATTCAACTCACAGAGTTCAACGATCCTTTACAGAGAGCAGACTTGAAACACTCTTTTTGTGGAATTTGCAAGTGGAGCTTTCAGCCGCTTTGAGGTCAATGGTAGAAAAGGAAACATCTTCGTATAAAAACTAGACAGAATGATTCTCAGAAACTCCTTTGTGATGTGTGCGTGCAACTCACAGAGTTTAACCTTTCTTTTCATAGAGCAGTTAGGAAACACTGTGTTTGTAAAGTCTGCAAGTGGATATTCAGACCTCCTTGAGGCCTTCGTTGGAAACGGGATTTCTTCATATTATGCTAGACAGAAGAATTCTCAGTAACTTCCTTGTGTTGTGTGTATTCAACTGACAGAGTTGAACATTCATTTAGAGAGAGCAGATTTGAAACACTGTTTTTGTGGAATTTGCAAGTTGAGATTTCAAGAGGTTTGGGGCCAAAGGCAGAAAAGGAAATATCTTCGTATAAAAACTAGACAGAATCATTCTCAGAAACTGCTGCGTGATGTGTGCGTTCAACTCTCAGAGTTTAACTTTTCTTTTCATTCAGCGGTTTGGAAACACTCTGTTTGTAAAGTCTGTAAGTGGATATTTTGACCCCTTAGAGGCCTTCGTTGGAAATGGGTTTTTTTCATGTAAGGCTAGACAGAAGAATTCCCAGTAACTTCCTTGTGTTGTGTGCATTCAACTCACAGACTTGAACGTTCCCTTAGACAGAGCAGATTTGAAACACTCTATTTGTGCAATTTGCAAGTGTAGATTTCAAGCGCTTTCAGGTCAATGGCAGAAAAGGAAATATCTTCCTTTCAAAACTAGACAGAATCATTCCCACAAACTGCGTTGTGATGTGTTCGTTCAACTCACAGAGTTTAACCTTTCTTTTCATAGAGCAGTTAGGAAACACTCTGGTTGTAAAGTCTGCAAGTGGATATTCAGACCTCTTTGAGGCCTTCGTTGGAAACGGGATTTCTTCATATTCTGCTAGACAGAATAATTCTCAGTAACTTCCCTTGTGTTGTGTGTATTCAACTCACAGAGTTCAACGATCCTTTACAGAGAGCAGACTTGAAACACTCTTTTTGTGGAATTCGCAAGTGGAGATTTCAGCCGCTTTGAGGTCAATGGTAGAAAAGGATATATCTTCGTATAAAGACTAGACAGAATGATTCTCAGAAACTCCTTTGTGATGTGTGCGTTCAACTCACAGAGTTTAACCTTTCTTTTCATAGAGCAGTTAGGAAACACTCTGTTTGTAAAGTCTGCAAGTGGATATTCAGAGCTCCTTGAGGCCTTCTTTGGAAACGGGATTTCTTCATATTATGCTAGACAGAAGAATTCTCAGTAACTTCCTTGTGTTTTGTGTATTCAACTCACAGAGTTCAACGATCCTTTACACAGAGCAGACTTGAAACACTCTTTTTGTGGAATTTGCAAGTGGAGATTTCAGCCGCTTTGAGGTCAATGGTAGAAAAGGAAATATCTTCGTATAAAAACTAGACAGACAATGATTCTCAGAAACTCCTTTGTGATGTGTGTGTTCAACTCACAGAGTTTAACCTTTCTTTTCATAGAGCAGTTAGGAAACACTCTGTTTGTAAAGTCTGCAAGAGGATATTCAGACCTCTTTGAGGCCTTCGTTGGAAACGGGTTTTTTTCATATAAGGCTAGACAGAAGAATTCCCAGTAACTTCCTTGTGTTGTGTGTGTTCAACTCAGAGAGTTGAACTCTCATTTACACAGAGCAGATTTGAAACACTCTTTTTGTGGAATTTGCAAGTGGAGATTTCAAGCGCTTTGAGGCGAAAGGCAGAAAAGGAAATATCTTCGTATAAAAACTAGACAGAATTATTCTCAGAAACTGCTCTGCGATGTGTGCGTTCAACTCTCAGAGTTTAACTTTTCTTTTCATTCAGCAGTTTGGAAACACTCTGTTTGTAAAGTCTGCACGTGGATAACTTGACCACTTAGAGGCCTTCGTTGGAAACGGGTTTTTTTCATGTAAGGCTAGACAGAAGAATTCTAAGTAACTTCCTCGTGTTGTGTGTATTCAACTCACAGAGTTGAGCGACGCTTTACACAGAGCAGACTTGAAACACTCTTTTTGTGGAATTTGCAATTGGAGATTTCAGCCGCTTTGAGGTCAATGGTTGAAAAGGAAATATCTTCGTTTCAAAACTAGACAGAATGATTCTCAGAAACTCCTTTGTGATGTGTGCGTTCAACTCACAGAGGTTAACCTTTCTTTTCATAGAGCAGTTAGGAAACACTCTGTTTGTAATGTCTGCAAGTGGAGATTCAGACCTGCTTGAGGCCTTCGTTGGAAACGGGATTTCTTCATATTATGCTAGACAGAAGAATTCTCAGTAAGTTCCTTGTAGTGTGTGTATTCAACTCACAGAGTTAAACGATCCTTTACACAGAGCATACTTGAAACACTCTTTTTGTGGAATTTGCAAGTGGAGATTTCAGCCGCTTTGAGGTCAATGGTAGAATAGGAAGTATCTCCCTATAGAAATTAGACAGAATGATTCTCAGAAACTCCTTTGTGATGTGTGCGTTCAACTCACACAGTTTAACCTTTCTTTTCATAGAGCAGTTAGGAAACACTCTGTAAAGTCTGCAAGTGGATATTCAGACCTCCTTGAGGCCTTCGTTGGAAACGGGATTTCTTCATATTATGCTAGACAGAAGAGTTCTCAGTAACTTCCTTGTGTTGTGTGTATTCAACTCACAGAGTTGAACGATCCTTTACACAGAGCAGACTTGAAACACTCTTTTTGTGGAATTTGCAAGTGGAGATTTCAGCCGCGTTGAGGTCAATGGTAGAAAAGGAAATATCTTCGTATAAAAACTAGACAGAATGATTCTCAGAAACTCCTTTGTGATGTGTGTGTTCAACTCACAGAGTTTAACCTTTCTTTTCATAGAGCAGTTAGGAAACACTCTGCTTGTAAAGTCTCCAAGTGGATATTCAGCCCTCTTTGAGGCCATCGTTGGAAACGGGTTTTTTTCATATAAGGCTAGACAGAAGAATTCCCAGTAACTTCCTTGTGTTGTGTGTGTTCAACTCACAGAGTTGAACTTTCATTTACACAGAGCAGGTTTGAAACACTCTTTTTGTGGAATTTGCAAATGGAGATTTCAAGCGCTTTGAGGCCAAAGGCAGAAAAGGAAATATCTTCGTATAAAAACTAGACAGAATCATTCTCAGAAACTGCTGCGTGATGTGTGCGTTCAACTCTCAGAGTTTAACTTTTCTTTTCATTCAGCGGTTTGGAAACACTCTGTTTGTAAAGTCTGCACGAGGATATTTTGACCCCTTAGAGGCCTTCGTTGGAAACGGGTTTTTTTCATGTAAGGCTAGACAGAAGAATTCTCAGTAACTTCCTTGTGTTGTGTGTATTCAACTCACAGAGTTGAAGGATCCTTTACAGAGAGCAGGATTGAAAAACTCTTTTTGTCGAATTTGCAAGTGGAGATTTCAGCCGCTTTGAAGCCAATGGTAGAATAGGAAATATCTTCTTATAGAAACTAGACAGAATGATTCTCAGAAACTCCTTTGTGATGTGTGCGTTCAACTCACAGAGGTTAACCTTTCTTTTCATAGAGCAGTTAGGAAACACTCTGTTTGTAAAGTCTGCAAGTGGAGATTCAGACCTGCTTGAGGCCTTCGTTGGATACGGGATTTCTTCATATTATGCTAGACAGAAGAATTCCCAGTAACTCCCTTGTGTTGTGTGTGTTCAACTCACAGAGTTGAACTTTCATTTACACAGAGCAGATTTGAAACACTCTTTTTGTGGAATTTGCAAATGGAGATTTCAAGCGCTTTGAGGCCAAAGGCAGAAAAGGAAATAACTTCGTTTCAAAACTAGAGAGAAATCATTCTCAGAAACTGCTCTGCGATGTGTGCGTTCAACTCTCAGCAGTTTAACTTTTCTTTTCATTCAGCAGTTTGGAAACACTCTGTTTGTAAAGTCTGCACGTGGATAATTTGACCACTTAGAGGCCTTCGTTGGAAACGGGTTTTTTTCATGTAAGGCTAGACAGAAGAATTCCCAGTAACTTCCTTGTGTTGTGTACATTCAACTCACAGAGTTGAACGTTCCCTTAGACAGAGCAGATTTGAAACACTCTTTTTGTGCAATTGGCAAGTGGAGATTTCAAGCGCTTTAAGGTCAATGGCAGAAAAGGAAATATCTTCGTTTCAAAACTAGAGAGAATCATTCCCACAAACTGCGTTGTGATGTGTTCATTCAACTCACAGAGTTTAACCTTTCTTTTCATAGAGCAGTTAGGAAACAGTCTGTTTGTAAATTCTGTAAGTGGATATTCTGACATCTTGTGGCCTTCGTTGGAAACGGGATTTCTTCATATTCTGCTAGACAGAAGAATTCTCAGAAACTTCCTTGTGTTGTGTGTATTCAACTCACAGAGTTGAACGATCCTTTACTCAGAGCAGACTTGAAACACTCCTTTTGTGGAATTTGCAAGAGAAGATTTCAGCCGCTTTTAGGTCAATGGTAGAATAGGAAATATCTTCCTATAGAAACTAGACAGAATGATTCTCAAAAACTTCTTTGTGATGTGTGCGTTCAACTCACAGAGTTTAACCTTTCTTTTCTTAGAGCAGTTAGGAAACACTCTGTTTGTAAACTCTGCAAGTGGATATTCAGACCTCTTTGAGGCCTTCGTTGGAAACGGGATTTCTTCATACTATGCTAGACAGAAGAATTCTCAGAAAGTTCGTTGTGTTGTGTGTTTTCAACTCACAGAGTTCAACGATCCTTTACACAGAGTAGACTTGAAACACCCTTTTTGTGGAATTGGCAGGGTGGAGATTTCAGCCGCTTTGAGGTCAATGGAAGAAAAGGAAATATCTTCGTATAAAAACTAGACAGAATGATTCTCAGAAAATCTTTTGTGATGTGTGTGTTCAACTCACAGAGTTTAACTTTTCTTCTCATAGAGCAGTTAGGAAACACTCTGTTTGTAAAGTCTGCAAGTGGATATTCAGACCTCTTTGAGGCCTTCGTTGGAAACGGGATTTCTTCATATTATGCTAGACAGAAGAATTCTCAGTAACTTCCTTGTGTTGTGTGTATTCAACTCACAGAGTTCAACGATCCTTTACACAGAGCAGACTTGAAACACTCTTTTTGTGGAATTTGCAAGTGGAGATTTCAGCCGCTTTGAGGTCAATGGCAGAAAAGGAAATATCTTCGTATAAAAACTAGACAGAATGATTCTCAGAAACTCCTTTGTGATGTGTGCGTTCAACTCACAGAGTTTAACCTTTCTTTTCATAGAGCAGTTAGGAAACACTCTATTTGTACAGTCTGCAAGTGGATATTCAGACCTCCTTGAGGCCTTCGTTGGAAACGGGATTTCTTCATATTCTGCTAGACAGAAGAATTCTCAGTAACTTCCTTGTGTTGTGTGTATTCAACTCACAGAGTTGAACGATCGTTTACACAGAGCAGACTTGAAACATTCTTTTTGTGGAATTTGCAAGTGGAGATTTCAGCCGCTTTGTGGTCAATGGTAGAATAGGAAATATCTTCCTATAGAAACTAGACAGAATCATTCTCAGAAACTGCTCTGCGATGTGTGCGTTCAACTCTCAGAGTTTAACTTTTCTTTTCATTCAGCAGTTTGGAAACACTCTGTTTGTAAAGTCTGCACGTGGATAACTTGACCACTTAGAGGCCTTCGTTGGAAAAGGGTTTTTTTCATGTAAGGCTAGACAGAAGAATTCTCAGTAACTTCCTTGTGTTGTGTTTATTCAACACACAGAGTTGAATGATCCTTTACCCAGAGCAGACTTGAAACACTCTTTTTGTGGAATTTGCAAGTGGAGATTTCAGCCGCTTTGAGGTCAATGGTAGAATAGGAAATATCTTCTTATAGAAACTAGACAAAATGATTCTCAGAAACTCCTTTGTGATGTGTGCGTTCAACTCACAGAGTTTAACCTTTCTGTTCATAGAGCTGTTAGGAAACACTCTGTTTGTAAAGTCTGCAAGTGGATATTCAGACCTCCTTGAGGCCTTCGTTGGAAACGGGATTTCTTCATATTCTGCTAGACAGGAGTAATTCCCAGTAACTTCCTTGTGTTGTGTGTGTTCAACTCATAGAGTTGAACTTTGATTTACACAGAGCAGATTTGAAACACTCTTTTTGTGGAATTTGCAAGTGGAGATTTCAAGCGCTTTGAGGCCAAAGGCAGAAAAGGAAATATCTTCGTATAAAAACTAGACAGAATCATTCTCAGAAACTGCTCTGCGATGTGTGCGTTCAACTCTCAGAGTTTAACTTTTCTTTTCATTCAGAAGTTTGGAAACACTCTGTTTGTAAAGTCTGCACGTGGATAACTTGACCACTTAGAGGCCTTCGTTGGAAACGGGTTTTTTTCACGTAAGGCTAGACAGAAGAATTCCGAGTAACTTCCTTGTGTTGTGTGCATTCAAATCACAGAGTTGAACGTTCCCTTAGACAGAGCAGATTTGAAACACTCTATTTGTGCAATTTGCAAGTGTAGATTTCAAGCGCTTTAAGGTCAATGGCAGAAAAGGAAATATCTTCGTTTCAAAACTAGACAGAAATCATTCCCACAAACTGCGTTGTGATGTGTTCATTCAACTCACAGAGCTTAACCTTTCTGTTCATAGAGCAGTTAGGAAACACTCTGTTTGTAAAGTCTGTAAGTGGATATTCTGACATCTTGTGGCCTTCGTTGGAAACGGGATTTCTTCATATTCTGCTAGACAGAAGAATTCTCAGTAACTTCCTTGTGTTGTGTGTATTCACCTCACAGAGTTGAACGATCCTTTACACAGAGCAGACGTGTAACACTCTTTTTGTGTAATTTGCAAGTGGAGATTTCAGCCGCTTTGAAGTCAAAGGTAGAAAAGGAAATATCTTCCTATAAAAACTAGACAGAATGATTCTCAGAAACTCCTTTGTGATGTGTGCGTTCAACTCACAGAGTTTAACCATTCTTTTCATAGAGCAGTTAGGAAAAACTCTGTTTGTAAAGTCTGCAAGTCGATATTCAGACCTCCTTGAGGCCTTCGTTGGAAACGCGATTTCTTCATATTCTGCTAGACAGAAGAATTCTCAGTAACTTCCTTGTGTTGTGTGTATTCAACTCACAGAGTTGAACTATCCTTTACAGAGAGCAGACTTAAAACACTCTTTTTGTGGAATTTGCAAGTGGAGATTTCAGCCGCTTTGAGGTCAATAGTAGAAAAGCAAATATCTTCGTAGAAAAACTAGACAGAATGATTCTCAGAAACTCCTTTGTGATGTGTGCGTTCAACTCACAGAGTTTAACCTTTCTTTTCTTAGAGCAGTTAGGAAACACTCTGTTTATAAAGTCTGCAAGTGGATATTCAGACCTCTTTGAGGCCTTCGTTGGAAACGGGATTTCTTCATATTCTGGTAGACAGAAGAATTCCCAGTAACTTCCTTGTGTTGTGTGTGTTCAACTCACAGAGTTGAACTTTCATTTACACAGAGCAGATTTGAAACACTCTTTTTGTGGAATTTGCAAGTGGAGATTTCAAGCGCTTTGAGGCCAAAGGCAGACAAGGAAATATCTTCGTATAAAAACTAGACAGAATCATTCTCAGAAACTGCTCTGTGATGTGTGCGTTCAACTCTCAGAGTTTAACTTTTCTTTTCATTCTACAGTTTGGAAACACTCTGTTTGTAAAGTCTGCACGTGGATATTTTGACCACTTAGAGGCCTTCGTTGGAAACGGGTTTTTTTCATGTAAGGCTAGACAGAAGAATTCCCAGTAACTTCCTTGTGTTGTGTGCATTCAACTCACAGAGTTGAACGTTCCCTTAGACAGAGCAGATTTGAAACACTCTATTTGTGCAATTTGCAAGTGTAGATTTCAAGCGTTTTAAGGTCAATGGCAGAAAAGGAAATATCTTCGTTTCAAAACTAGACAGAATCATTCCCACAAACTGCGTTGTGATGTGTTCGTTCAACTCACAGAGTTTAACCTTTCTGTTCATAGAGCAGTTAGGAAACACTCTGTTTGTAAAGTCTGCAAGTGGACATTCAGACCTCCTTGAGGCCTTCGTTGGAAACGGGATTTCTTCATATTCTGCTAGACAGAAGAATTCTCAGAATCTTCCTTGTGTTGTGTGTATTCAACTCACAGAGTTGAACGATCCTTTACACAGAGCAGACTTGAAACACTCTTTTTGTGGAATTTGCAAGTGGAGATTTCAGCCGCTTTGAGGTCCATGGTAGAAAAGGAAATATCTTTGTATAAAAACTAGTCAGAATGATTCTCAGAAACTTCTTTGTGATGTGTGCGTTCAACTCACAGAGTTTAACCTTTCTTTTCATAGAGCAGTTAGGAAACACTCTGTTTGTAAACTCTGCAAGTGGATATTCAGACCTCTTTGAGGCCTTCGTTGGAAACTGGATTTCTTCATACTATGCTAGACAGAAGAATTCTCAGTAACTTCCTTGTGTTGTGTGTATTCAACTCACAGAGTTGAACGATCCTTTACACAGAGCAGACTTGAAACACTCTTTTTGTGGAATTTGCAAGTGGAGATTTCAGCCGCTTTGAGGTCAATGGTAGAATAGGAAATATCTTCCTATACAAACTAGACAGAATGATTCTCAGAAACTCCTTTGTGATGTGTGCCTTCAACTCACAGAGTTTAACCTTTCTTTTCATAGAGCAGTTAGGAAACACTCTGTTTGTAAAGTCTGCAAGTGGATATTCCGACATCCTTGAGGCTTTCGTTGGAAACGGGATTTCTTCATATTCTGCAAGAAAGAAGAATTCTCAGTAACTTCCTTGTGTTGTGTGTATTCAACTGACAGAGTTGAACTTTCATTTAGAGAGAGCAGATTTGAAACACTGTTTTTGTGGAATTTGCAAATGGAGATTTCAAGCGCTTTGGGGCCAAAGGCAGAAAACGAAATATCTTCGTATAAAAACTAGACAGAATCATTCTCAGAAACTGCTCTGCGATGTGTGCGTTCAACTCTCAGAGTTTAACTTTTCTTTTCATTCAGCGGTTTGGAAACACTCTGTTTGTAAAGTCTGCACGTGGATAATTTGGCCACTTAGAGGCCTTCGTTGGAAACGTGTTTTTTTCATGTAAGGCTAGACAGAAGAATTCTCAGTAACTTCCTTGTGTTGTGTGGATTCAACTCACAGAGTTGAACGATCCTTTACACAGAGCGGACTTGAAACACTCGTTTTGTGGAATTTGCAAGTGGAGATTTCAGCCGCTTTGAGGTCAATGGTAGAAAAGGAAATATCTTCGTACAAAAACTAGACAGAACGATTCTCAGAAACTCCTTTGTGATGTGTGCGTTCAACTCACAGAGTTTAACCTTTCTTTTCATAGAGCAGTTAGGAAACACTCTGTTTGTAACGTCTGCAAGTGGATATTCAGACCTCCTTGAGGCCTTCGTTGGAAACGGGATTTCTTCCTATTCTGCTAGACAGAAGAATTCCCAGTAACTTCCTTGTGTTGTGTGTGTTCAACTCACAGAGTTGAACTTTCCTTTACACAGAGCAGATTTGAAACACTCTTTTTGTGGAATTTGCAGGTGGAGATTTCAAGCGCTTTGAGGCCAAAGGCAGAAAAGGAAATATCTTCGTATAAAAACTAGACAGAATCATTCTCAGAAACTGCTCTGCGATGTGTGCATTCAACTCTCAGAGTTTAATTTTTCTTTTCATTCAGCAGTTTGGAAACATTCTCTTTGTAAAGTCTGCACGTGGATATTTTGACCACTTAGAGGCCTTCGTTGGAAACGGGTTTTATTCCTGTAAGGCTAGACAGAAGAATTCCCAGTAACTTCCTTGTGTTGTGTACATTCAACACACAGATTTGAACGTTCCCTTAGACAGAGCTGATTTGAAACACTCTTTTTGTGCAATTGGCAAGTGGAGATTTCAAGCGCTTTAAGGTCAATGGCAGAAAAGGAAATATCTTCGTTTCAAAACTAGACAGAATCATTCCCACAAACTGCGTTGTGATGTGTTCGTTCAACTCACAGAGTTTAACCTTTCTGTTCATAGAGCAGTTAGGAAACACTCTGTTTGTAAAGTCTGAAAGTGGATATTCTGACATCTTGTGGCCTTCGTTGGAAACAGGATTTCTTCATATTCTGCTAGACAGAAGAATTCTCAGAATCTTCCCTTGTGTTGTGTGTATTCCACTCACAGAGTTGAACGATGGTTTACACAGAGCAGATTTGAAACACTCTTTGTGTGGAATTTGCAAGTGGAGATTTCAGCCGCTTTGAGGTCAATGGTAGAAAAGGAAATATCTTCGTATAAAAACTAGACAGAATGATTCTCAGAAACTCCTATGTGATGTGTGCGTTCAACTCACAGAGTTTAACTTTTCTTTTCAGAGAGCAGTTAGGAAACACTCTGTTTGTAAAGTCTGCAAGTGGATATTCAGACCTCTTTGAGGCCTTCGTTGGAAACGGGATTTCTTCATATTATGCTAGACAGAAGAATTCTCAGTAACTTCCTCGTGTTGTGTGTATTCAACTCACAGAGTTGAACGATCCTTTACACAGAGCAGATTAGAAACACTCTTTTTGTGGAATTTGCAAGTGGAGATTTCAGCCGCTTTGAGGTCAATGGTAGAAAAGGAAATATCTTCATAGAAAAACTAGACAGAATGATTCTCAGAAACTTCATTGTGATGTGTGCGTTCAACTCACAGAGTTTAACCTTTCTTTTCATAGAGCAGTTAGGAAACACTCTGTTTGTAAACTCTGCAAGTGTATATTCAGACCTCTTTGAGGACTTCGTTGGAAACGGGATTTCTTCATACTGTGCTAGACAGAAGAATTCTCAGTAACTTCCTTCTGTTGTGTGTATTCAACTGACAGAGTTGAACTTTCATTTAGAGAGGGCAGATTTGAAACACTGTTTTTGTGGAATTTGCAAGTGGAGATTTCAAGCGCTTTGGGGCCAAAGGCAGAAAAGGAAATATCTTCGTATAAAAACTAGACAGAATCATTCTCAGAATCTGCTCTGTGATGTGTGCGTTCAACTCTCAGAGTTTAACTTTTCTTTTCATTCTACAGTTTGGAAACACTCTGTTTGTAAAGTCTGCACGTGGATATTTTGACCACTTAGAGGCCTTCGTTGGAAACGGGTTTTTTTCATGTAAGGCTAGACAGAAGAATTCCCAGTAACTTCCTTGTGTTGTGTGCATTCAACTCACAGAGTTGAACGTTCCCTTAGACAGAGCAGATTTGAAACACTCTATTTGTGCAATTTGCAAGTGTAGTTTTCAAGCTCTTTAAGGTCAACGGCAGAAAAGGAAATATCTGCGTTTCAAAACTAGACAGAATCATTCCCACAAACTGCGTTGTGATGTGTTCGTTCATCTCACAGAGTTTAACCTTTCTTTTCATAGAGCAGTTAGGAAACAGTCTGTTTGTAAATTCTGTAAGTGGATAATTTGACATCTTGTGGCCTTCGTTGGAAACGGGATTTCTTCATATTCTGCTAGACAGAAGAATTCTCAGTAACTTCCTTGTGTTGTGTGTATTCAACTCACAGAGTTGAACGATCCTTTACACAGAGCAGACTTGAAACACTGTTTTAGTGGAATTTGCAAGTGGAGATTTCAGCCGCTTTGAGGTCAATGGTAGAATAGGAAATATCTTCCTATAGAAACTAGACCGAATGATTCTCAGAAACTGCTTTGTGATTTGTGCGTTCAACTCACAGAGTTTAACCTTTCTTTTCATAGAGAAGTTAGGAAACACTCTGTTTGTAAAGTCTGCATGTGGATATTCAGACCTCCTTGAGGCCTTCGTTGGAAACGTGATTTCTTCATATTATGCTAGACAGAAGAATTCTCAGTAACTTCCTTGTGTTGTGTGTATTCACCTCACCGATTTGAACGATCCTTTACACAGAGCAGACTTGAAACACTCTTTTTGTGGAATTTGCAAGTGGAGATTTCAGCCGCTTTGAGGTCAATGGTAGAATAGGAAATATCTTCCTATAGAAATTAGACAGAATGTTTCTCAGAAACTCCTTTCTGATGTGTGTGTTCAACTCACAGAGTTTAACCTTTCTTTTCATAGAGCAGTTAGGAAACACTCTGTTTGTAAAGTCTGCAAGTGGATATTCAGACCTCTTTGAGGCCTTCGTTGGAAACGGGTTTTTTTCATGTAAGGCTAGACAGAAGAATTCCCAGTAACTTCCTTGTGTTGTGTGTGTTCAACTCACGGAGTTGAGCTTTCATTTACACAGAGCAGATTTGAAACACTCTTTTTGTGGAATTTGCAAGTGGAGATTTCAAGCGCTTTGAGGCCAAAGGCAGAAAAGGAAATATCTTCGTATAAAAACTAGACAGAATCATTCTCAGAAACTGCTGCGTGATGTGTGCGTTCAACTCTCAGAGTTTAACTTTTCTTTTCATTCAGCGGTTTGGAAACACTCTGTTTGTAAAGTCTGCACCTGGATATTTTGACCACTTAGAGGCCTTCGTTGGAAACGGGTTTTTTTCATGTAAGGCTAGACAGAAGAATTCCCAGTAACTTCCTTGTGTTGTGTACATTCAACTCACAGAGTTGAACAGTTCCCTTAGACAGAGCAGATTTGAAACACTCTTTTTGTGCAATTGGCAAGTGGAGATTTCAAGCGCTTTAAGGTCAATGGCAGAAAAGGAAATATCTTCGTTTCAAAACTAGAGAGAATCATTCCCACAAACTGCGTTGTGATGTGTTCGTTCAACTCACAGAGTTTAACTTTTCTGTTCATAGAGCAGTTAGGATACACTCTGTTTGTAAAGTCTGTAAGTGGATATTCTGACATCTTGTGGCCTTCGTTTTAAACGGGATTTCTTCATATTCTGCTAGACAGAAGAATTCTCAGAATCTTCCTTGTGTTGTGTGTATTCAACTCACAGAGTTGAACGATGGTTTACACAGAGCAGATTTGAAACACTCTTTTTGTGGAATTTGCAAGTGGAGATTTCAGCCGCTTAGAGGTCAATGGTAGAAAAGGAAATATCTTCGTATAAAAACTAGACAGAATGATTCTCAGAAACTCCTTTGTGATGTGTGCGTTCAATTCACAGAGTTTAACCTTTCTATTCATAGAGCAGTTAGGAAACACTGTGTTTGTAAAGTCTGCAAGTGGATATTCAGACCTCTTTGAGGCTTTCGTTGGAAACGGGATTTCTTCATATTCTGCTAGACAGAAGAATTCTCAGTAACTTCCTTGTGCTGTGTGTATTCAACTCACAGAGTTGAACGATCCTTTTCAGAGAGCAGACTTTAAACACTCTTTTTGTGGAATTTGCAAGTGGAGATTTCAGCCGCTTTGAGGTCAATGGTAGAAAAGGAAATATCTTCGTATAAAGACTAGACAGAATGATTCTCAGAAACTCCTTTGTGATGTGTGCGTTCAACTCACAGAGTTTAACCTTTCTGTTCATAGAGCATTTAGGAAACACTCTGTTTGTAAAGTCTGCAAGTGGATATTCAGACCTCCTTGAGGCCTTCGTTGGAAACGGGATTTCTTCATATTCTGCTAGACAGAAGAATTCTCAGTAACTTCCTTGTGTTGTGTGTATTCAACTGACAGAGTTGAACTTTCATTTAGAGAGAGCAGATTTATAACACTGTTTTTGTGGAATTTGCAAGTGGAGATTTCAGCCGCTTTGGGGCCAAAGGCCGAAAAGGAAATATCTTCGTATAAAAACTAGACAGAAATCATTCTCAGAAACTGCTCTGCGATGTGGGTGTTCAACTCTCAGAGTTTAACTTTTCTTTTCATTCAGCAGTTTGGAAACACTCTGTTTGTAAAGTCTGCACGTGGATATTTTCACCACTTAGAGGCCTTCGTTGGAAACGGGTTTTTTTCCTGTAAGGCTAGACAGAAGAATTCCCAGTAACTTCCTTGTGTTGTGTACATTCAACTCACAGAGTTGAACGTTCCCTTAGACAGAGCAGATTTGAAACACTCTTTTTGTGCAATTGGCAAATGGAGATTTCAAGCGCTTTAAGTTCAATGGCAGAAAAGGAAATATCTTCGTTTCAAAACTAGACAGAATCATTCCCACAAACTGCGTTGTGATGTGTTCGTTCAACTCACAGGGTTTAACCTTTCTTTTCATAGAGCAGTTAGGAAACAGTCTGTTTGTCATTTCTGTAAGTGGATATTCTGACATCTTGTGGCCTTCGTTGGAAACGGGATTTCTTCATATTCTGCTAGACAGAAGAATTCTCAGCAACTTCCTTGTGTTGTGTGTATTCAACTCACAGAGTTGAACGATCCTTTGAGCAGACTTGAAACACTCTTTTTGTGGAATTTGCAAGTGGAGATTTAAGCCGCTTTGAGGTCAATTGTAGAAAAGGAAGTATCTTCGTATAAAAACTAGACAGAATGATTCTGAGAAACTCCTTTGTGATGTGTGCGTTCAACTCACAGAGTTTAACCTTTCTTTTCATAGAGCAGTTAGGAAACACTCTGTTTGTGAAGTCTGCAAGTGGATATTCAGACATCTTTGAGGCTTTCGTTGGAAACTGGATTTCTTCATATTCTGCTATACAGAAGAATTCTCAGAAACTTCCTTGTGTTGTGTGTATTCAACTCACAGAGTTGAACGATCATTTACACAGAGCAGACTTGAGACACTCTTTTTGTGGAATTTGTAAGTGGACATTTCAGCCGCTTTGAGGTCAATGGTAGAAAAGGAAATATCTTCATATAAAAACTAGACAGAATGATTCTCAGAAACTCCTTTGTGATGTGTGCGTTCAACTCACAGAGTTTAATCTTTCTTTTCATAGAGCAGTTAGGAAACACTCTGTTTGTAAAGACTGCAAGTGGATATTCAGACCTCTTTGAGGCCTTCGTTGGAAACGGGTTTTTTTCATATAAGGCTAGACAGAGAAGATTCTCAGTAACTTCCTTGTGTTGTGTGTATTCAACTCACAGAGTTGAACTTTCATTTACACAGAGCAGATTTGAAACACTCTTTTTGTGGAATTTGCAAATGGAGATTTCAAGCGCTTTGAGGCCAAAGGCAGAAAAGGAAATATCTTCGTATAAAAACTAGACAGATCATTGCTCAGAAACTGCTCTGGGATGTGTGCGTTCAACTCTCAGAGTTTAACTTTTCTTTTCATTCAGCAGTGTGGAAACACTCTGTTTGTAAAGTCTGCACGTGGATATTTTGACCACTTAGAGGCCTTCGTTGGAAACGGGTTTTTTTCCTGTAAGGCTAGACAGAAGAATTCCCAGTAACTTCCTTGTGTTGTGTACATTCAACTCACAGAGTTGAACGTTCCCTTAGACAGAGCAGATTTGAAATACTCTTTTTGTGCAATTGGCAAGTGGAGATTTCAAGCGCTTTAAGGTCAATGGCAGAAAAGGAAATATCTTGGTTTCAAAACTAGACAGAATGAATCCCACAAACTGCGTTGTGATGTGTTCGTTCAACTCACAGAGTTTAACCTTTCTGTTCATAGAGCAGTTAGGAAACACTCTGTTTGTAAAGTCTGTAAGTGGATATTCTGACATTTTGTGGCCTTGGTTGGAAATGGGATTTCTTCATATACTCCAAGACAGAAGAATTCTCAGTAACTTCCTTGTGTTGTGTGTATTCAACTCACAGAGTTGAACGATCCTTTACACAGAGCGGACTTGAAACACACTTTTTGTGGAATTTGCAAGTGGAGATTTCAGCCGCATTGAGGTCAATGGTAGAAAAGGAAATATCTTCGTATAAAAGTTAGACAGAATGATTCTCAGAAACTCCTTTGTGATGTGTGCGTTCAACTCATAGAGTTTAACTTTTCTTTTCATAGAGCAGTTAGGAAACACTCTGTTTGTAAAGACTTCAAGTGGATATTCAGACCTCTTTGAGGCCTTCGTTGGAAACGGGATTTCTTCATATTCTGCTAGACAGAAGAATTCCCAGTAACTTCCTTGTGTTGTGTGTGTTCAACTCACAGAGTTGAACTTCCGTTTACACAGAGCAGATTTGAAACACTCTTTTTGTGGAATTTGCAAATGGAGATTTCAAGCGCTTTGAGGCCAAAGGCAGAAAAGGAAATATCTTCGTATAAAAATTCGACAGAATCATTCTCAGAAACTGCTCTGCGATGTGTGCGTTCAACTCTCAGAGTTTAACTTTTCTTTTCATTCAGCAGTTTGGAAACACTCTGTTTGTAAAGTCTGCACGTGGATATTTTGACCACTTAGAGGCCTTCATTGGAAACGGGTTTCTTTCCTGTAAGGCTAGACAGAAGAATTCCCAGTAACTTCCTTGTGTTGGGTGCATTAAACTCACAGAGTTGAACGTTCCCTTAGACAGAGCAGATTTGAAACACTCTATTTGTGCAATTTGCAAGTGTAGATTTCAAGCGCTTTAAGGTCAATGGCAGAAAAGGAAATATCTTCGTTTCAAAACTAGACAGAATCATTCCCACAAACTGCGTTGTGATGTGTTCGTTCAACTCACAGAGTTTAACCTTTGTTTTCATAGAGCAGTTAGGAAACAGTCTGTTTGTAAATTCTGTAAGTGGATATTCTGACATCTTGTGGCCTTCGTTGGAAACGGGATTTCTTCATATTCTGCTAGACAGAAGAATTCTCAGTAACTTCCTTGTGTTGTGTGTATTCAAGTCACAGAGTTGAACGATCCTTTACACAGAGCAGACTTGTAACACTCTTTTTGTGGAATTTGCAAGTGGAGATTTCAGCCGCTTTGAAGTCAAAGGTAGAAAAGGAAATATCTTCCTATAAAAACTAGACAGAATGATTCTCAGAAACTCCTTTGTGATGTGTGTGTTCAACTCACAGAGTTTAACCTTTCTTTTCATAGAACAGTTAGGAATCACTCTGTTTGTAAAGTCTGCAAGTGGATATTCAGACCTCTTTGAGGCCTTCGTTGGAAACGGGTTTTTTTCATATAAGGCTAGACAGAAGAATTCCCAGTAACTTCCTTGTGTTGTGTGTGTTCAACTCACAGAGCTGAACTTTCATTTACACAGAGCAGATTTGAAACACTCTTTTTGTGGAATTTGCAAGTGGAGATTTCAAGCGCTTTGAGGCCAAAGGCAGAAAAGGAAATATCTTCGTTTCAAAACTAGACAGAATGATTCTCAGAAACTCCTTTGTGATGTGTGCGTTCAACTCACAGAGTTCAACCTTTCTTTTCATAGAGCAGTTGGGAAACACTCTGTTTGTAAAGTCTGCAAGTGCTTATTCAGACTTCTTTGAGGCCTTCGTTGGAAGCGGGATTTCTTCATATTCTGCTAGACAGAAGAATTCTCAGTAACTGCCTTGTGTTGTGTGTATTCAACTCACAGAGTTGAAGGATCCTTTACACAGAGCAGACTTGAAACACTCTTTTTGTGGAATTTGCAAGTGGAGATTTCAGCCGCTTTGAGGTCAATGGTAGAATAGGAAATATCTTCCTATAGAAACTAGACAGAATGATTCTCAGTAAACTCCTTTGTGATGTGTGCGTTCAACTCACAGAGTTTAACCTTTCTTTTCATAGAGCAGTTAGGAAACACTCTGCTTGTAAAGTCTGCAAGTGGATATTCAGCCCTCTTTGAGGCCTTCGTTGGAAACGGGTTTTTTTCATATAAGGCTAGACAGAAGAATTCCCAGTAACTTCCTTGTGTTGTGTGTGTTCAACTCACAGAGTTGAACTTTCATTTACACAGAGCAGATTTGAAACACTCTTTTTGTGGAATTTGCAAATGGAGATTTCAAGCGCTTTGAGGCCAAAGGCAGAAAAGGAAATATCTTCGTACAAAAACTAGACAGAATCATTCTCAGAAACTGCTCTGCGATGTGTGCGTTCAACTCTCAGAGTTTAACTTTTCTTTTCATTCAGCAGTTTGGAAACACTCTGTTTGTAAAGTCTGCACGTGGATAATTTGACCACTTAGAGGCCTTCGTTGGAAACGGGTTTTTTTCATGTAAGGCTACACAGAAGAATTCCCAGTAACTTCCTTGTGTTGTGTACATTCAACTCACAGAGTTGAACGTTTCCTTAGACAGAGCAGATTTGAAACACTCTTTTTGTGCAATTGGCAAGTGGAGATTTCAAGCGCTTTGAGGTCAATGGCAGAAAAGGAAATATCTTCGTTTCAAAACTAGACAGAATCATTCCCACAAACTGCGTTGTGATGTGTTCGTTCATCTCACAGAGTTTAACCTTTCTTTTCGTAGAGCAGTTAGGAAACAGTCTGTTTCTAAATTCTGTAAGTGGATATTCTGACATCTTGTGGCCTTCGTTGGAAACGGGATTTCTTCATATTCTGCTAGACAGAAGAATTCTCAGAATCTTTCCTTGTGTTGTGTGTATTCAACTCACAGAGTTGAACGATCCTTTACACAGAGCAGACTTGAAACACTCTTTTTGTGGAATTTGCAAGTGGAGATTTCAGCCGCTTTGAGGTCCATGGTAGAAAAGGAAATATCTTCGTATAAAAACTAGACAGATGATTCTCAGAAACTCTTTTGTGATGTGTGCGTTCAACTCACAGAGTTTAACCTTTCTGTTCATAGAGCCGTTAGGAAACACTCTGTTTGTAAAGTCTGCAAGTGGATATTCACACCTCCTTGTGACCTTCGTTTGAAACGGGATTTCTTCATATTCTGCTAGACAGAGGAATTCTCAGTAACTTCCTTGTGTTCTGTGTATTCAACTGACAGAGTTGAACGATCCTTTACACAGAGCAGACTTGAAACACTCTTTTTGTGGAATTTGCAAGTGGAGATTTCAGCCTCTTTGAGGTCAATGGTAGAAAAGGAAACTATCTTCGTATACAGACTAGACAGAATGATTCTCAGAAACTCCTTTGTGATGTGTGTTTTCAACTCACAGAGTTTAACCTTTCTTTTCATAGAGCAGTTAGGAAACACTCTGTTTATAAAGTCTGCAAGTGGATATTCAGACCCCTTTGAGGCCTTCGTTGGAAACGGGATTTCTTCATATTATGCTAGACAGAAGAATTCCCAGTAACTTCCTTGTGTTGTGTGTGTTCAACTCACAGAGTTGAACTCTCATTTACACAGAGCAGATTTGAAACACTCTTTTTGTGGAATTTGCAAATGGAGATTTCAAGCGCTTTGAGGCCAAAGGCAGAAAAGGAAATATCTTCGTTTCAAAACTAGACAGAATCATTCTCAGAAACTGCTGCGTGATGTGTGCGTTCAACTCTCAGAGTTTAACTTTTCTTTTCATTCAGCGGTTTGGAAACACTCTGTTTGTAAAGTCTGCACGTGGAAATTTTGACCACTTAGAGGCCTTCGTTGGAAATGGGTTTTTTTCATGTAAGGCTAGACAGAAGAATTCCCAGTAACTTCCTTGTGTTGTGTGCATTCAACTCACAGAGTTGAACGTTCCCTTAGACAGAGCAGATTTGAAACACTCTATTTGTGCAATTTGCAAGTGTAGTTTTCAAGCTCTTTAAGGTCAACGGCAGAAAAGGAAATATCTTGGTTTCAAAACTAGACAGAATCATTCCCACAAACTGCGTTGTGATGTGTTCGTTCAACTCACAGAGTTTAACCTTTCTGTTCATAGAGCAGTTAGGAAACACTCTGTTAAGTCTGTAAGTGGATATTCTGACATCTTGTGGCCTTCGTTGGAAACGGGATTTCTTCATATTCTGCTAGACAGAAGAATTCTCAGTAACTTCCTTGTGTTGTGTGTATTCAACTCACAGAGCTGAACGATCCTTTACACAGAGCAGACTTGAAACATTCTTTTTGTCGAATTTGCAAGTGGAGATTTCAGCCGCTTTGAGGTCAATGGTAGAATAGGAAATATCTTCCTATAGAAACTAGACAGAATGATTCTCAGAAAATCCTTTGTGACGTGTGCGTTCAACTCACAGAGTTTAACTTTTCTTTTCATAGAGCAGTTAGGAAACACTCTGTTTGTAAAGTCTGCAAGTGGATATTCAGACCTCTTTGAGGCCTTCGTTGGAAACGGGATTTCTTCATATTCTGCTAGACAGAAGAATTCTCAGTAACTTCCTTGTGTTGTGTGTATTCAACTCACAGAGTTGAACGATCCTTTACACAGAGCAGACTTGAAACACTCTTTTTGTGGAATTTGCAAGTGGAGATTTCTGCCTCTTTGAGGTCAATGGTAGAATAGGAGATATCTTCCTATAGAAACTAGACAGAATGATTCTCAGAAACTCCTTTTTGATGTGTGCGTTCAACTCACAGAGTTTAACTTTTCTTTTCATAGAGCAGTTAGTAAACACTCTGTTTATAAAGTCTGCAAGTGGATATTCAGACCCCTTTGAGGCCTTCGTTGGAAACGGGATTTCTTCATATTGTGCTAGACAGAAGAATTCCCAGTAACTTGCTTGTGTTGTGTGTGTTCAACTCACAGAGTTGAACTTTGATTTACACAGAGCAGATTTGAAACACTCTTTTTGTGGAATTTGCAAGTGGAGATTTCAAGCGCTTTGAGGCCAAAGGCAGAAAAGGAAATATCTTCGTATAAAAACTAGACAGAATCATTCTCAGAAACTGCTCTGCGATGTGTGCGTTCAACTCTCAGAGTTTAAATTTTCTTTTCATTCAGCAGTTTGGAAACACTCTGTTTGTAAAGTCTGCACGTGGATAATTTGACCACTTAGAGGCCTTCGTTGGAAACGGGTTTTTTCCTGTAAGGCTAGACAGAAGAATTCCCAGTAACTTCCTTGTGTTGTGTACATTCAACTCACAGAGTTGAACGTTCCCTTAGACAGAGCAGATTTGAAAAACTCTTTTTGTGCAATTGGCAAGTGGTGATTTCAGCCGCTTTGAGGTCAATGGTAGAAAAGGAAATATTTTCGTATAAAAACTAGACAGAATCATTCCCACAAACTGCGTTGTGATGTGTTCGTTCAACCCACAGAGTTTAACCTTTCTGTTCATAGAGCAGTTAGGAAACACTCTGTTTGTAAAGTATGAAAGTGGATATTCTGACATCTTGTAGCCTTCGTTGGAAACGGGATTTCTTCGTATTCTGCTAGACAGAAGAATTCTCAGTAACTTCCTTGTGTTGTGTGTATTCAACTCATAGAGTTGAACGATCCTTTACACAGAGCAGACTTGAAACACTCTTTTTGTGGAATTTGCAAGTGGAGATTTCAGCCGCTTTGAGGTCAATGGTAGAAAAGGAAATATCTTCGTATAAAGACTAGACAGAATGATTCTCAGAAAATCTTTTGTGATGTGTGCGTTCAACTCACAGAGTTTAACTTTTCTTCTCATAGAGCAGTTAAGAAACACTCTGTTTGTAAAGTCTGCAAGTGGATATTCAGACCTCTTTGAGGCCTTCGTTGGAAACGGGATTTCTTCAAATTATGCTAGACAGAAGAATTCTCAGTAACTTCCTTGTGTTGTGTGTATTCAACTCACAGAATTGAACGATCCTTTACACAGAGCAGACTTGAAACACTCTTTTTGTGGAATTTGCAAGTGGAGATTTCAGCTGCTTTGAGGTCAATGGTAGAAAAGGAAATATCTTCGTATAGAAACAAGACAGAATGATTCTCAGAAACTCCTTTGTGATGTGTGCGTTCAACTCACAGAGTTTAACCTTTCTTTTCATAGAGCAGTTAGGAAACACTCTGTTTGTAAAGTCTGCAATTGGATATTCAGACCTCTTTGAGGCCTTCGTTGGAAACGGGTTTTTTTCATATAAGGCTAGACAGAAGAATTCTCTGTAACTTCCTTGTGTTGTGTGTATTCAACTCACAGAGTTGAACGATCCTTTACACAGAGCAGACTTGAAACACTCTTTTTGTGGAATTTGCAAGTGGAGATTTCAGCCGCTTTGAGGTCAATGGTAGAATAGGAAATATCTTCCTATAGAAACTAGACAGAATGATTCTCAGAAACTCCTTTGTGATGTGTGCGTTCAACTCACAGAGTTTAACCTTTCTTTTCATAGAGCAGTTAGGAAACACTCTGTTTGTAAATTCTGCAAGTGGATATTCAGACCTCTTTGAGGCCTTCGTTGGAAACGGGTTTTTTTCATATAAGGCTAGACAGAAGAATTCTCAGAATCTTCCCTTGTGTTGTGTGTATTCAACTCACCGAGTTGAACGATCCTTTACACAGAGCAGACTTGAAACACTCTTTTTGTGGAATTTGCAAGTGGACATTTCAGCCACTTTGAGGTCCGTGGTAGAAAAGGAAATACCTTCGTATAAAAACTAGACAGAATGATTCTCAGAAAATCTTTTGTGATGTGTGCGTTCAACTCACCGAGTTTAACTTTTCTTCTCATAGAGCAGTTAGGAAACACTCTGTTTGTAAAGTCTGCAAGTGGATATTCCGACCTCTTTGAGGCCTTCGTTGGAAACGGGATTTCTTCATATTATGCTAGACAGAAGAATTCCCAGTAACTTCCTTGGGTTGTGTGTATTCAACTCACAGAGTTGAACGATCCTTTACACAGAGCAGACTTGTAACACTCTTTTTGTGGAATTTGCAAGTGGAGATTTCAGCCGCTTTGAAGTCAAAGGTAGAAAAGGAAATATCTTCCTATAAAAACTAGACAGAATGATTCTCAGAAACTCCATTGTGATGTGTGTGTCCAACTCACAGAGTTTAACCTTTCTTTTCATAGAGCAGTTAGGAAACACTCAGTTTGTAAAGTCTGCAAGAGGATATTCAGACCTCTTTGAGGCCTTCGTTGGAAACGGGTTTTTTTCATATAAGGCTAGACAGAATAATTCTCAGTAACTTCCTTGTGTTGTGTGTATTCAACTCTCAGAGTTGAACGATCCTTTACAGAGAGCAGACTTGAAACACTCTTTTTGTGGAATTTGCAAGTGGAGATTTCAGCCGCTTTGAGGTCAATGGTAGAATAGGAAATATCTTCCTATCGAAACTAGACAGAATGATTCTCAGAAACTCCTTTGTGATGTGTGCGTTCAACTCACAGAGTTCAACTTTTCTTTCCATAGAGCAGTTAGGAAACACTCTGTTTGTAAAGTCTGCAAGTGGATATTCAGACCTCTTTGAGGCCTTCGTTGGAAACGGGATTTCTTCATATTCTGCAAGACAGAAGAATTCTCAGTAACTTCCTTGTGTTGTGTGTATTCAACTCACAGAGTTGAATGATCCTTTACAGAGAGCAGACTTTAAACACACTTTTTGTGGAATTTGCAAGTGGAGACTTCAGCCGCTTTGAGGTCAATGGTAGAAAAGGAAATATCTTCGTATAAAGACTAGACAGAATGATTCTCAGAAACTTCTTTGTGATGTGTGCGTTCAACTCACAGAGTTTAACCTTTCTTTTCATAGAGCAGTTAGGAAAGACTCTGTTTGTAAAGTCTGCAAGTGGATATTCAGACCTCTTTGAGGCCTTCTTTGGAAACGGGTTTTTTTCATATAAGGCTAGACATAAGAATTCTCAGTAACTTCCTTGTGTTGTGTGTATTCAGCTGACAGAGTTGAACTTTCATTTAGAGAGAGCAGATTTGAAACACTGTTTTTGTGGAATTTGCAAGTGGAGATTTCAAGCGCTTTGTGGCCAAAGGCAGAAAACGATATATCTTCGTATAAAAACTAGACAGAATCATTCTCAGAAACTGCTCTGCGATGTGTGCGTTCAACTCTCAGAGTTTAACTTTTCTTTTCATTCAGCAGTTTGGAAACACTCTGTTTGTAAAGTCTGCACGTGGATAACTTGACCACTTAGAGGCCTTCGTTGGAAACGGGTTTTTTTCTGTAAGGCTAGACAGAAGAATTCCCAGTAACTTCCTTGTGTTGTGTGCATTCAACTCACAGAGTTGAACGTTCCCTTAGACAGAGCAGATTTGAAAAACTCTATTTGTGCAATTTGCAAGTGTAGATTTCAAGCGATTTAAGGTCAACGGCAGAAAAGGAAATATCTTCGTTTCAAAACTAGACAGAATCATTCCCACAAACTGCGTTGTGATGTGTTCGTTCAACTCACAGAGTTTAACCCTTCTGTTCATAGAGCAGTTAGGAAACACTCTGTTTGTAAAGTATGCAAGTGGATATTCAGACCTCCTTGAGGCCTTCGTTGGAAACGGGATTTCTTCATATTCTGCTAGACCGAAGAATTCTCAGTAACTTCCTTGTGTTGTGTGTATTCAACTCACAGAGTTGAACGATCCTTTACACAGAGCAGACTTGAAACACTCTTTTTGTGGAATTTGCCAGTGGAGATTTCAGCCGCTTTGAGTTCAATGGTAGAATAGGAAATATCTTCCTATAGAAACTAGAGAGAATGATTCTCAGAAAATCTTTTGTGATGTGTGCGTTCAACTCACAGAGTTTAACTTTTCTTCTCATAGAGCAGTTAGGAAACACTCTGTTTGTAAAGTCTGCAAGTGGATATTCAGACCTGTTTGAGGCCTTCGTTGGAAACGGGATTTCTTCATATTATGCTAGACAGAAGAATTCTCAGTAACTTCCTTGTGTTGTGTGTATTCAACTGACAGAGTTGAACTTTCATTTAGAGAGAGCAGATTTGAAACACTGTTTTTGTGGAATTTGCAAGTGGAGATTTCAAGCGCTTTGGGGCCAAAGGCAGAAAAGGAAATATCTTCGTATAAAAACAAGACAGAATCATTCTCAGAAACTGCTCTGCGATGTGTGCGTTCAACTCTCAGTAGTTTAACTTTTCTTTTCATTCAGCAGTTTGGAAACACTCTGTTTGTAAAGTCTGCACGTGGATATTTTGACCACTTAGAGGCCTTCTTTGGAAACGGGTTTTTTTCCTGTAAGGCTAGACAGAAGAATTCCCAGTAACTTCCTTGTGTTGTGTGCATTCAACTCACAGAGTTGAACGTTCCCTTAGACAGAGCAGATTTGAAACACTCTATTTGTGCAATTGGCAAGTGTAGATTTCAAGCGCTTTAAGGTCAATGGCAGAAGAGGAAATATCTTCGTTTCAAAACTAGACAGAATCATTCCCACAAACTGCGTTGTGATGTGTTCGTTCAACTCACAGAGTTTAACCTTTCTGTTCATAGAGCAGTTAGGAAACACTCTGTTTGTAAAGTCTGTAAGTGGATATTCTGAAATCTTGTGGTCTTCGTTGGAAACGGGATTTCTTCATATTCTGCTAGACAGAAGAATTCTCAGAAACTTCCTTGTGTTGTGTGTATTCAACTCACAGAGTTGAACGATCGTTTACACAGAGCAGACTTGAGACACTCTTTTTGTGGAATTTGTAAGTGGAGATTTCAGCCGCTTTGAGGTCAATGGTAGAAAAGGAAATATCTTCATATATAAACCAGACAGAATGATTCTCATAAACTCCTTTGTGATGTGTGCGTTCAACTCACAGAGTTTAACTTTTCATTTCATAGAGCCGTTAGGAAACACTCTGTTTGTAAAATCTGCAAGTGGATATTCAGACCTCTTTGAGGCCTTCATTGGAAACGGGATTTCTTCATATTATGCTAGACAGAAGAATTCTCAGTAACTTCCTTGTGTTGTGTGTATTCAACTCACAGAGTTGAACGATCCTTTACACAGAGCAGACTTGAAACACTCTTTTTGTGGAATTTGCAAGTGGAGATTTCAGCCGCTTTGAGGTCAATGGTAGAAAAGGAAACTATCTTCGTATAAAGACCAGACAGAATGATTCTCAGAAACTACTTTGTGATGTGTGCGTTCAACTCACAGGGTTTAACCTTTCTTTTCATAGAGCGGTTAGGAAACACTCTGTTTGTAAAGTCTGCAAGTGGATATTCAGACCTCCTTGAGGGCTTCGTTGGAAACGGGATTTCTTCATATTCTGCTAGACAGAAGAATTCTCAGTAACTTCCTTGTGTTGTGTGTATTCAACTTACAGAGTTGAACGATCCTTTACACAGAACAGACTTGAAACACTGTTTTTGTGGAATTTGCAAGTGGAGATTTCAGCCGCTTTGTGGTCAATGGTAGAATAGGAAATATGTTCCTATAGAAACTAGACAGAATGATTCTCAGAAACTCCTTTGTGATGTGTGCGTTCAACTCACAGAGTTTAACCTTTCTTTTCATAGAGCAGTTAGGAAACACTCTGTATGTAAAGTCTGCAAGTGGCTATTCAGACCTCTTTGAGGCCTTCTTTGGAAACGGGATTTCTTCATATTATGTTAGAGAGAGGAATTCTCAGGAACTTCCTTGTGTTGTGTGTATTCAACTCACAGAGTTGAACGATCCTTTACACAGAGCAGACTTGAAACACTCTTTTTGTGGAATTTGCAAGTGGAGATTTCAGCCGCTTTGAGGTCAATAGGTAGAATAGGAAATATCTTCCTATAGAAACTAGACAGAATGATTCTCAGAAACTCCTTTGTGATGTGTGCGTTCAACTCGCAGAGTTTAACCTTTCTTTTCATAGAGCAGTTAGGAAACACTCTGTTGGTAAAGTCTGCAAGTGGATATTCAGACCTCGTTGAGGCCTTCGTTGGAAACGGGATTTCTTCATATTATGCTAGACAGAAGAATTCTCAGTAACTTCCTTGTGTTGTGTGTATTCAACTCACAGAGTTGAACGATCCTTTACACAGAGCAGACTTGAAACACTCTTTTTGTGGAACTTGCAAGTGGAGATTTCAGCCGCTTTGAGGTCAATTGTAGAATAGGAAATATCTTCCTATAGAAACTAGACAGAATGATTCTCAGAAACTTCTTTGTGATGTGTGCGTTCAACTCACAGAGTTTAACCTTTCTTTTCATAGAGCAGTTAGGAAACACTCTGTTTGTAAACTCTGCAAGTGGATATTCAGACCTCTTTGAGGCCTTCGTTGCAAACGGGATTTCTTCATATTATGCCTGACAGAAGAATTCTCAGTAACTTCCTTGTGTTGTGTGTATTCAACGCACAGAGTTGAACGATCCTTTACACAGAGCATACTTGAAACACTCTTCTTGCGGAATTTGCAAGTGGAGATTTCAGCCGCTTTGAGGTCAATGGTAGAATAGGAAATATCTTCCTATAGAAACTAGACAGAATGATTCTCAGAAACTCCTTTGTGATGTGTGCGTTGAACTCACAGAGTTTAACCTTTCTTTTCATAGAGCAGTTAGGAAACACTCTGTTTGTAAAGTCTGCACGTGGATATTTGGACTTCTTTGAGGCCTTCGTTGGAAACGGGTTTTTTTCATGTAAGGCTAGGCAGCAGAATTCTCAGTAACTTCCTTGTGTTGTGTGTATTCAACTGACAGAGTTGAACTTTCATTTAGAGAGAGCAGATTTGTAACACTGTTTTTGTGGAATTTGCAAGTGGAGATTTCAAGCGATTTGCGGCCAAAGGCAGAAAAGGAAATATCTTCGTATAAAAACTAGACAGAATCATTCTCAGAAACTGCTCTGCGATGTGTGCGTTCAGCTCTCAGAGTTTAACTTTTCTTTTCATTCAGCAGTTTGGAAACACTCTGTTTGTAAAGTCTGCACGTGGATATTTTGACCACTTAGAGGCCTTCGTTGGAAACGGGTTTTTGTCATGTAAGGCTAGACAGAACAATTCCCAGTAACTTCCTTGTGTTGTGTACATTCAACTCACAGAGTTGAACGTTCCCTTAGTCAGAGCAGATTTGAAACACTCTTTTTGTGCAATTGGCAAGTGGAGATTTCAAGCGCTTAAGGTCAATGGCAGAAAAGGAAATATCTTCGTTTCAAAACTAGACAGAATCATTCCCACAAACTGCGTTGTGATGTGTTCGTTCAACTCACAGAGTTTAACATTTCTGTTCATAGAGCAGTTAGGAAACACTCTGTTTGTAAAGTCTGTAAGTGGATATTCTGACATCTTGTGGCCTTCGTTGGAAACGGGATTTCTTCCTATTCTGCTAGACAGAAGAATTCTCAGCAACTTCCTTGTGTTGTGTGTATTCAACTCACAGAGTTGAACTCTGGTTTACACAGAGCAGATTTGAAACACTCTTTTTGTGGAATTTGCAAGTGGAGATTTCAGCCGCTTTGAGGTCAATGGTAGAAAAGGAAATATCTTCGTATAAAAACTAGACAGAATGATTCTCAGAAACTCCTTTGTGATGTGTGCGTTCAACTCACAGAGTTTAACCATTCTTTTCATAGAGCAGTTAGGAAACACTCTGCTTGTAAATTCTGCAAGTGGATATTCAGACCTCCTTGAGGCCTTCGTTGGAAACGGGATTTCTTCATATTCTGCTAGACAGAAGAATTCTCACTAACTTCCTTGTGTTGTGTGTATTCAACTGACAGAGTTGAACTTTCATTTAGAGAGAGCAGATTTGAAACACTGTTTTTGTGGAATTTGCAAGTGGAGATTTCAAGCGCTTTGGGGCCAAAGGCAGAAAAGGAAATATCTTCGTATAAAAACTAGACAGAATCATTCTCAGAAACTGCTCTGCGATGTGTGCGTTCAACTCTCAGAGTTTAACTTTTCTTTTCATTCAGCAGTTTGGAAACACTCTGTTTGTAAAGTCTGCAAGTGGATAATTTGACCACTTAGAGGCCTTCGTTGGAAACGGGTTTTTTTCATGTAAGGCTAGACAGAAGAATTCTCAGTAACTTCCTTGTGTTGTGTGTATTCAATTCACAGAGTTGAACGATCCTTTACACAGAGCAGACTTGTAACACTCTTTTTGTGGAATTTGCAAGTGGAGATTTCAGCCGCTTTGAAGTCAAAGGTAGAAAAGGAAATATCTTCCTATAAAAACTAGACAGAATCATTCCCACAAACTGCGTTGTGATGTGTTCGTTCAACTCACAGCAGTTTAACCTTTCTGTTCATAGAGCAGTTAGGAAACACTCTGTGTGTAAAGTCTGCAAGTGGATATTCAGACCTCTTTGAGGCCTTCGTTGGAAACGGGATTTCTTCATATTCTGCTAGACAGAAGAATTCTCAGTAACTTCCTCGTGTTGTGTGTACTCAACTCACAGAGTTGAACGATCCTTTACACAGAGCAGACTTGAAACACTCTTTTTGTGAAATTTGCAAGTGGAGATTTCAGCCGCTTTGTGGTCAATGGTAGAATAGGAAATATCTTCCTATAGAAACTAGACAGAATGATTCTCAGAAACTTCTTTGTGATGTGTGCGTTCAACTCACAGAGTTTAACCTTCCTTTTCATAGAGCAGTTGGGAAACACTCTGTTTTTAAAGTCTGCAAGTGGATATTCAGACCTCTTTGAGGCCTTCGTTGGAAACGGGTTTTTTTCATGTAAGGCTAGACAGAAGAATTCTCAGAAACGTCCTGGTGTTGTGTGTTTTAAACTCACAGAGTTCAACGATCCTTTACACAGAGTAGACTTGAAACACTCTTTTTGTTGAATTGGCAAGTGGAGATTTCAGCCGCTTTGAGGTCAGTGGTAGAAAAGGAAATATCTTCGTATAAAAACTAGACAGAGTGATTCTCAGAAACTCCTTTGTGATGTCTGCGTTCAACTCACAGGGTTTAACCTTTCTTTTCATAGAGCAGTTAGGAAACACTCTGTTTGTAAAGTCTGCAAGTGGATATTCAGACCTCCTTGAGGCCTTCGTTGGAAACCGGATTTCTTCATATTTTGCTATACAGAATATTTCTCAGAAACTTCCTTGTGTTGTGTGTATTCAACTCACAGAGTTGAACGATCCTTTACAGAGAGCAGACTTGAAACACTCTTTTTGTGGAATTTGCAAGTGGAGATTTCAGCCGCTTTGAGGTCAATGGTAGAATAGGAAATATCTTCCTATAGAAACTAGACAGAATGATTCTCATAAACTCCTTTGTGATGTGTGCGTTCAACTCACAGAGTTTAACCTTTCTGTTCATAGAGCAGTTAGGAAACACTCTGTTTGTAAAGTCTGCAAGTGGATATTCAGACCTCTTTGAGGCCTTCGTTGGAAACGGGATTTCTTCATATTATGCTAGACAGAAGAATTCTCAGTAACTTCCTTGTGTTGTGTGTATTCAACTCACAGAGTTGAAGGATCCTTTACAGAGAGCAGGCTTGAAACACTCTTTTTGTCGAATTTGCAAGTGGAGATTTCAGCCGCTTTCAGGTCAATGGTAGAATAGGAAGTATCTTCTTATAGAAACTAGACAGAATGATTCTCAGAATCTCCTTTGAAATGTGTGCGTTCAACTCACAGAGTTTAACCTTTCTTTTCATAGAGCAGTTAGGAAACACTCTGTTTGTAAAGTCTGCAAGTGGATATTCAGACCTCTTTGAGGCCTTCGTTGGAAACGGGATATCTTCATATTATGCTAGACAGAAGAATTCCCACTAACTTCCTTGTGTTGTGTGTGTTCAACTCACAGAGTTGAACTTTCATTTACCCAGAGCAGATTTGAAACACTCTTTTTGTGGAATTTGCAAGTGGAGATTTCAAGCGCTTTGAGGCCAAAGGCAGAAAAGGAAATATCTTCGTTTCAAAACTAGACAGAATCATTCTCTGAAACTGCTCTGCGATGTGTGCGTTCAACTCTCAGAGTTTAACTTTTCTTTTCATTCAGCAGTTTGGAAACACTCTGTTTGTAAAGTCTGCACGTGGATATTTTGACCACTTAGAGGCCTTCGTTGGAAACGGGTTTTTTTCCTGTAAGGCTAGACAGAAGAATTCCCAGGAACTTCCTTGTGTTGTGTACATTCAACTCACAGAGTTGAACGTTCCCTTAGATAGAGCAGATTTGAAACACTCTTTTTGTGCAATTGGCAAGTGGTGATTTCAGCCGCTTTGAGGTCAATGGTAGAAAAGGAAATATCTTCGTATAAAAACTAGACAGAACGATTCTCAGAAACTCCTTTGTGATGTGTGCGTTCAACTCACAGAGTTTAACCTTTCTTTTCATAGAGCAGTTAGGAAACACTCTGTTTGTAAAGTCTGCAAGTGGATATTCAGACCCCTTTGAGGCCTTCGTTGGAAACGGGATTTCTTCATATTATGCTAGACAGAAGAATTCTCAGTAACTTCCTTGTGTTGTGTGTATTCAACTCACAGAGTTGAAGGATCCTTTACACAGAGCAGACTTGTAACACTCTTTTTGTGTAATTTGCAAGTGGAGATTTCAGCCGCTTTGAGGTCAATGGTAGAAAAGGAAATCTCTTCGTATAAAAACTAGACAGAATGATTCTCAGAAACTCCTTTGTGATGTGTGCCTTCAACTCACAGAGTTTAACCTTTCTTTTCATAGAGCAGTTAGGAAACACTCTGTTTGTAAAGTCTGCAAGTGGATATTCAGACCTCTTTGAGGCCTTCGTTGGAAACGGGATTTCTTCATACTGTGCTAGACAGAAGAATTCCCAGTAACTTCCTTGTGTTGTGTGTGTTCAACTCACAGAGTTGAACTTTCATTTACACAGAGCAGATTGGAAACACTCTTTTTGTGGAATTTGCAAGTGGAGATTTCAAGCGCTTTGAGGCCAAAGGCAGAAATGGAAATATCTTCGTATAAAAACTAGACAGAATCATTCTCAGAAACTGCTCTGCGATGTGTGCGTTCAACTCTCAGAGTTTAACTTTTCTTTTCATTCAGCAGTTTGGAAACACTCTGTTTGTAAAGTCTGCACATGGATATTTTGACCACTTAGAGGCCTTCGTTGGAAACGGGTTTCTTTCCTGTAAGGCTAGACAGAAGAATTCCCAGTAACTTCCTTGTGTTGTGTACATTCAACTCACAGAGTTGAACGTTCCCTTAGACACAGCAGATTTGAAACACTCTTTTTGTGCAATTGGCAAGTGGAGATTTCAAGCGCTTTAAGGTCAATGGCAGTAAAAGAAATATCTTCGTTTCAAAACTAGACAGAATCATTCCCACAAACTGCGTTGTGATGTGTTCGTTCAACTCACAGAGTTTAACCTTTCTGTTCATAGAGCAGTTAGGAAACACTCTGTTTGTAAAGTCTGCAAGTGGATATTCTGACATCTTGTGGCCTTCGTTGGAAATGGGATTTCTTCATATTCTGCTAGACAGAAGAATTCTCAGTAACTTCCTTGTGTTGTGTGTATTCAACTCACAGAATTGAACGATCCTTTACACAGAGCAGACTTGAAACACTCTTTTTGTGGAATTTGCAATTGTAGATTTCAGCCGCTTTGAGGTCAATGGTAGAAAAGGAAATATCTTCGTATAGAAACAAGACAGAATGATTCTCAGAAACTCCTTTGTGATGTGTGTGTTCAACTCACAGAGTTTAACCTTTCTTTTCATAGAGCAGTTAGTAAACACTCTGTTTATAAAGTCTGCAAGTGGATATTCAGACCCCTTTGAGTCCTTCGTTGGAAACGGGATTTCTTCATATTATGCTAGACAGAAGAATTCCCAGTAACTTCCTTGTGTTGTGTGTGTTCAACTCACAGAGTTGAACTTTCATTTACACAGAGCAGATTTGAAACACTCTTTTTGTGGAATTTGCAAGTGGAGATTTCATGCGCTTTGAGGCCAAAGGCAGAAAAGGAAATATCTTCGTTTCAAAACTAGACAGAATCATTCTCAGAAACTGCTGCGTGATGTGTGCGTTCAACTCTCAGAGTTTAACTTTTCTTTTCATTCAGCGGTTTGGAAACACTCTGTTTGTAAAGTCTGCACGTGGAAATTTTGACCACTTAGCGGCCTTCGTTGGAAACGGGATTTTTTCATGTAAGGCTAGACAGAAGAATTCTCAGTAACTTCCTTGTGTTGTGTGTATTCAACTCACAGAGTTGAACGATCCTTTACACAGAGCAGACTTGAAACACTCTTTTTGTGGAATTTGCAAGTGGGGATTTCAGCCGCTTTGAGGTCAATGGTAGAAAAGGAAATATCTTCGTATAAAGACTAGACAGAATGATTCGCAGAAACTCCTTTGTGATGTGTGCGTTCAACTCACAGAGTTTAACCTTTCTTTTCATAGAGCAGTTAGGAAACACTCTGTTTGTAAAGTCTGCAAGTGGATATTCAGACCTCCTTGAGGCCTTCTTTGGAAACGGGATTTCTTCATATTCTGCTAGACAGAAGAATTCTCAGCAACTTCCTTGTGTTGTGTGTATTCAACTCACAGAGTTGAACGATCCTTTACACAGAGCAGACTTGAAACACTCTTTTTGTGGAATTTGCAAGTGGAGATTTCAGCCGCTTTGTGGTCAATGGTAGAAAAGGAAACTATCTTCGTATAAAGACTAGACAGAATGATTCTCAGAAACTCCTTTGTGATGTGTGCGTTCAAATCACAGAGTTTAACTTTTCTTTTCATAGAGCAGTTAGGAAACCCTCTGTTTGTAAAGTCTGCAAGTGGATATTCAGACCTCTTTGAGGCCTTCGTTGGAAACGGGATTTCTTCATATTATGCTAGACAGAAGAATTCTCAGTAACTTCCTTGTGTTGTGTATATTCAACTCACAGAGTTGAATGATCCTTTACACAGAGCAGACTTGAAACTCTCTTTTTGTGGAATTTGCAAGTGGAGATTTCAGCCGCTTTGAGGTCAATGGTAGAAAAGCAAATATCTTCGTATAAAGACTAGACAGAATGATTCTCAGAAACTCCTTTGTGATGTGTGCGTTCAACTCACAGAGTTTAACCTTTCTTTTCATAGAGCAGTTAGGAAACACTCTGTTTCTAAAGTCTGCAAGTGGATATTCAGACCTCCTTGAGGCATTCGTTGGAAACGGGATTTCTTCATATTATGCTAGACAGAAGAATTCTCAGAAACTTCCTTGTGTTGTGTGTATTCAACTCACAGAGTTGAACGATCGTTTACACAGAGCAGACTTGAGACACACTTTTTGTGGAATTTGTAAGTGGAGATTTCAGCCGCTTTGAGGTCAATGGTAGAAAAGGAAATATCTTCATATAAAAACTAGACAGAATGATTCTCATAACTCCTTTGTGATGTGTGCGTTCAACTCACAGAGTTCAACCTCTCTTTTCATAGAGCAGTTGGGAAACACTCTGTTTGTAAAGTCTGCAAGTGGATATTCAGACTTCTTTGAGGCCTTCGTTGGAAACGGGATTTCTTCATATTATGCTAGACAGAAGAATTCTCAGTAACTTCCTTGTGTTGTGTTTATTCAACACACAGAGTTGAATGATCCTTTACACAGAGCAGACTTGAAACACTCTTTTTGTGGAATTTGCAAGTGGAGATTTCAGCCGCTTTGAGGTCAATGGTAGAATAGGAAATATCTTCTTATAGAAACTAGACAAAACGATTCTCAGAAACTCCTTTGTGATGTGTGCGTTCAACTCACAGAGTTTGACCTTTCTTTTCATAGAGCAGTTAGGAAACACTCTGTTTGTAAAGTCTGCAAGTGGATATTCAGACCTCTTTGAGGCCTTCGTTGGAAACGGGATTTCTTCATATTCTGCTAGACAGAATAATTCTCAGTAACTTCCTTGTGTTGTGTGTATTCAACTCACAGATATGAAGGATCCTTTACAGAGAGCAGGCTTGAAACACTCTTTTTGTCGAATTTGCAAGTGGAGATTTCAGCCGCTTTGAGGTCAATGGTAGAATAGGAAATATCTTCTTATAGAAACTAGACAGAATGATTCTCAGAAACTTCTTTGTGATGTGTGCGTTCAACTCACAGAGTTTAACCTTTCTTTTCATAGAGCAGTTAGGAAACACTCTGTTTGTAAACTCTGCAAGTGGATATTCGGACCTCTTTGAGGCCTTCGTTGGAAACGGGATTTCTTCATACTGTGCTAGACAGAAGAATTCCCAGTAACTTCCTTGTGTTGTGTGTGTTCAACTCACAGAGTTGAACTTCCATTTACACAGAGCAGATTTGAAACACTCTTTTTGTGGAATTTGCAAGTGGAGATTTCAAGCGCTTTGAGGCCAAAGGCAGAAAAGGAAATATCTTCGTTTCAAAACTAGACATAATCATTCTCAGAAACTGCTCTGCGATGTGTGCTTTCAACTCTCAGAGTTTAACTTTTCTTTTCATTCAGAAGTTTGGAAACACTCTGTTTGTAAAGTCTGCACGTGGATAATTTGACCACTTAGAGGTCTTCGTTGGAAACGGGTTTTTTTCATGTAAGGCTAGACAGAAGAATTCCCAGTAACTTCGTTGTGTTTTATGCATTCAACTCACAGAGTTGAACGTTCCCTTAGACAGAGCAGATTTGAAACACTCTCTTTGTGCAATTTGCAAGTGTAGATTTCAAGCGCTTTAAGGTCAGTGGCAGAAAAGGAAATATCTTCGTTTCAAAACTAGACAGAATCATTCCCACAAACTGCGTTGTGATGTGTTCGTTCAACTCACAGAGTTTAACTTTTCTGTTCATAGAGCAGTTAGGAAACACTCTGTTTGTAAAGTCTGCAAGTGGATATTCAGACCTCCTTGAGGCCTTCGTTGGAAACGGGATTTCTTCATATTCTGCTAGACAGAAGAATTCTCAGTAACTTCCTTGTGTTGTGTGTATTCAACTCACAGAGTTGAACGATCCTTTACACACAGCAGACTTGAAACACTCTTTTTGTGGAATTTGCAAGTGGAGATTTCAGCCGCTTTGAGGTCAATGGTAGAAAAGGAAACTATCTTCATATAAAGACTAGACAGAATGATTCTCAGAAACTCCTTTGTGATGTGTGTGTCCAACTCACAGAGTTTAACCTTTCTTTTCATAGAGCAGTTAGGAAACACTCTGTTTGTAAAGTCTGCAAGAGGATATTCAGACCTCTTTGAGGCCTTCGGTGGAAACGGGTTTTTTTCATATAAGGCTAGACAGAATAATTCTCAGTAACTTCCTTGTGTTGTGTGTATCCAACTCACAGAGTTGAAGGATCCTTTACAGGGAGCAGGCTTGAAACACTCTTTTTGTCGAATTTGCAAGTGGAGATTTCAGCCGCTTTGAGGTCAATGGTAGAATAGGAAATATCTTCTTATAGAAACTAGACAGAATGATTCTCAGAAACTCCTTTGTGATGTGTGCGTTCAACTCACAGAGTTCAACCTTTCTTTTCATAGAGCAGTTAGGAAACACTCTGTTTGTAAAGTCTGCAAGTGGATATTCAGACATCTTTGAGGCTTTCGTTGGAAACGGGATTTCTTCATATTCTGCTAGAAAGAAGAATTCTCAGAATCTTCCTTGTGTTGTGTGTATTCAACTCACAGAGTTGAACGATCCTTCACACAGAGCAGACTTGAAACACTCTTTTTGTGGAATTTGCAAGTGGAGATTTCAGCCACTTTGAGGTCCATGGTAGAAAAGGAAATATCTTCGTATAAAAACTAGACAGAATAATTATCAGAAAATCCTTTGTGATGTGTGCGTTCAACTCACAGAGTTTAACTTTTCTTTTCATAGAGCAGTTAGGAAACACTCTGTTTGTAAAGTCTGCAAGTGGATATTCAGACCTCCTTGAGGCCTTCGTTGGAAACGGGATTTCTTCATATTCTGCTAGACAGAAGAATTCTCAGTAACTTCCTTGTGTTGTGTGTATTCAACTCACAGAGTTGAACGATCCTTTACACAGAGCAGACTTGAAACACTCTGTTTGTGAAATTTGCAAGTGGAGATTTCAGCCGCTTTGAGGTCAATAGTAGAAAAGGAAATATCTTCGTAGAAAAACTAGACAGAATGATTCTCAGAAACTCCTTTGTGATGTGTGTGTTCAACTCACAGAGTTTAACCTTTCTTTTCATAGAGCAGTTCGTAAACACTCTGTTTGTAAAGTCTGCAAGTGGATATTCAGACCCCTTTGAGGCCTTCTTTGGAAACGGGATTTCTTCATATTATGCTAGACAGAAGATTTCCCAGTAACTTCCTTGTGTTGTGTGTGTTCAACTCACAGAGTTGAACTTTCATTTACAGAGAGCAGATATGAAACACTCTTTTTGTGGAATTTGCAAATGGAGATTTCAAGCGCTTTGAGGCCAAAGGCAGAAAAGGAAATATCTTCGTATAAAAACTAGACAGAATCATTCTCAGAAAATCCTCTGTGATGTGTGCGTTCAACTCTCAGAGTTTAACATTTCTTTTCATTCAGCAGTTTGAAAACACTCTGTTTGTAAAGTCTGCACGTGGATATTTTGACCACTTAGAGGCCTTCTTTGGAAACGGGTTTTTTTCATGTAAGTGTAGACAGAAGAATTCCCAGTAACTTCCTTGTGTTGTGTGCATTCAACTCACAGAGTTGAACGTTCCCTTAGACAGAGCAGATTTGAAACACTCTTTTTGTGCAATTTGCAAGTGGAGATTTCAAGCGCTTTAGGGTCAATGGCAGAAAAGGAAATATCTTCGTTTCAAAACTAGACAGAATGATTCTCAGGAACTCCTTTGTGATGTGTGCGTTCAACTCACAGAGTTTAACCTTTCTTTTCATAGAGCAGTTAGGAAACACTCTGTTTGTAAAGTCTGCAAGTGGATATTCAGACCTCCTTGAGGCCTTCGTTGGAAACGGGATTTCTTCATATTCTGCTAGACAGAAGAATTCTCAGTAACTTCCTTGTGTTGTGTGTATTCAACTCACAGAGTTGAACGATCCTGTACACAGAGCAGACTTGAAACACTCTTTTTGTGGAATTTGCAAGTGGAGATTTCAGCCGCTTTGAGGTCAATGGTAGAATAGGAAATATCTTCCTATAGAAACTAGACAGAATGATTCTCAGAAACTCCTTTGTGATGTGTGCGTTCAACTCACAGAGTTTAACCTTTCTTTTCATAGAGCAGTTAGGAAACACTCTGTTTGTAAAGTCTGCAAGTGGATATTCAGACCTCCTTGAGGCCTTCGTTGGAAACGAGATTTCTTCATATTATGCTAGACAGAAGAATTCTCAGTAACTTCCTTGTGTTGTGTGTATTCAACTCACAGAGTTGAACGATCCTTTACACAGAGCAGACTTGAAACACTCTTCTTGTGGAATTTGCAAGTGGAGATTTCAGCCGCTTTGAGGTCAATGGTAGAATAGGAAATATCTTCGTATAAAAACTAGACAGAATGATTCTCAGAAACTCCTTTGTGATGTGTGCGTTCAACTCACAGAGTTTAACTTTTCTTTTCATAGATCAGTTAGGAAACACTCTGTTTGTAAAGTCTGCAAGTGGATATTCAGACCTCTTTGAGGCCTTCGTTGGAAACGGGATTTCTTCATATTCTGCTAGACAGAAGAATTCTCAGAATCTTCCTTGTGTTGTGTGTATTCAACTCACAGAGTTGAACGATCCTTTACACAGAGCAGACTTGAAACACTCTTTTTGTGGAATTTGCAAGTGGAGATTTCAGCTGCTTTGACGTCCATGGTAGAAAAGGAAATATCTTCGTATAAAAACTAGACAGAATGATTCTGAGAAACTCCTTTGTGATGTGTGCATTCAACTCACAAAGTTTATCCTTTCTTTTCATAGAGCAGTTAGGAAACACTCTGTTTGTAAAGTCTGCAAGTGGATATTCAGACCTCCTTGAGGCCTTCGTTGGAAACGGGATTTCTTCATATTCTGCTAGACAGAAGAATTCTCAGTAACTTCCTTGTGTTGTGTGTTTTCAACTCACAGAGTTGAACGATCCTTTACACAGAGCAGACTTGAAACACTCTTTTTGTGGAATTTGCAAGTGGAGATTTCAGCCGCTTTGAGGTCAATGGTAGAATAGGAAATATCTTCCTACAGAAACTAGACAGAATGATTCTCAGAAACTCCTTTGTGATGTGTGCGTTCAACTCACACAGTTTAACCTTTCTTTTCATAGAGCAGTTAGTAAACACTCTGTTTGTAAAGTCTGCAAGTGGATATTCAGACCTCCTTGAGGCCTTCGTTGGAAACGGGATTTCTTCATATTATGCTAGACAGAAGAATTCCCAGTAACTTCCTTGTGTTGTGTGTGTTCAACTCACAGAGTTGAACTTTCATTTACACAGAGCAGATTTGAAACACTCTTTTTGTGGAATTTGCAAATGGAGATTTCAAGCGCTTTGAGGCCAAAGGCAGAAAATGAAATATCGTCGTATAAAAACTAGACAGAATCATTCTCAGAAACTGCTCTGCGATGTGTGCGTTCAACTCTCAGAGTTTAACTTTTCTTTTCATTCAGCAGTTTGGAAACACTCTGTTTGTAAAGTCTGCGCGTGGATAATTTGACCACTTAGAGGCCTTCGTTGGAAACGGGTTTTTTTCATGTAAGGCTAGACAGAAGAATTCTCAGTAACTTCCTTGTGTTGTGTGTATTCAACTCTCAGAGTTGAACGATCCTTTACAGAGAGCAGACTTTAAACACTCTTTTTGTGGAATTTGCAAGTGGAGATTTCAGCCGCTTTGAGGTCAATGGTAGAAAAGGAAATATCTTCGTATAAAGACTAGACAGAATGATTCGCAGAAACTCATTTGTGATGTGTGTGTTCAACTCACAGAGTTTAACCTTTCTTTTCATAGAGCAGTTAGGAAACACTCTGTTTGTAAAGTCTGCAAGTGGATATTCAGACCTCTTTGAGGCCTTCGTTGGAAACGGGTTTTTTTCATATAAGGCTAGACAGAAGAATTCTCGGTAACTTCCTTGTGTTGTGTGTATTCAACTGACAGAGTTGAACTTTCATTTAGAGAGATCAGATTTGAAACACTGTTTTTGTGGAATTTGCAAGTGGAGATTTCAAACGCTTAGGGGCCAAACGCAGAAAAGGAAATATATTCGTATAAAAACTAGACAGAATGATTCTCAGAAACTCCTTTGTGATGTGTGCGTTCAACTCACAGAGTTTAACCTTTCTGTTCATAGAGCAGTTAGGAAACACTCTGTTTGTAAAGTCTGCAAGTGGATATTCAGACCTCCTTGAGGCCTTCGTTGGAAACGGGGTTTCTTCATATTCTGCTGGAGAGAAGAATTCTCAGCAACTTCCTTGTGTTGTGTGTATTCAACTCACAGAGTTGAACGATCCTTTACACAGAGCAGACTTGAAACACTCTTTTTGTGGAATTTGCAAGTGGAGATTTCAGGCGCTTTGAGGTCAATGGTAGAAAAGGAAACTATCTTCGTATAAAGACTAGACAGAATGATTCTCAGAAAATCCTTTGTGATGTGTGCGTTCAAATCTCAGAGTTTAACTTTTCTTTTCATAGAGCAGTTAGGAAACACTCTGTTTGTAAAGTCTGCAAGTGGATATTCAGACCTCTTTGAGGCCTTCGTTGGAAACGGGATTTCTTCATATTATGCTAGACAGAAGAATTCTCAGTAACTTCCTTGTATTGTGTGTATTCAACTGACAGAGTTGAACTTTCATTTAGAGAGAGCAGATTTGTAACACTCTTTTTGTGGAATTTGCAAGTGGAGATTTCAAGCGCTTTGCGGTCAATGGCAGAAAACGAAATATCATCGTATAAAAACTAGACAGAATCATTCTCAGAAACTGCTCTGCGATGTGTGCGTTCAACTCTCAGAGTTTAACTTTTGTTTTCATTCAGCAGTTTGGAAACACTCTGTTTGTAAAGTCTGCACGTGGATATTTTGACCACTTAGAGGCCTTCGTTGGAAACGGGTTTTTATCCTGTAAGGCTAGACAGAAGAATTCTCAGTAACTTCCTTGTGTTGTGTGTATTCAACTCACAGAGTTCAACGATGCTTTGCACAGAGGAGACTTGAAACACACTTTTTGTTGAATTTGCAAGTGGAGATTTCAGCCGCTTTGAGGTCAATGGTAGAATAGGAAATATCTTCCTATAGAAACTAGACAGAATGATTCTCAGAAACTCCTTTGTGATGTGTGCGCTCAACTCACAGAGTTTAACCTTTCTTTTCATAGAGCAGTTAGGAAACACTCTGTTTGTAAAGTCTGCAAGTGGATATTCAGACCTCTTTGAGGCCTTCGTTGGAAACGGGATTTCTTCATATTCTGCTAAACAGAAGAATTCTCAGTAACTTCCTTGTGTTGTGTGTATTCAACTCACAGAGTTGAACGATCCTTTACACAAAGCAGACTTGAAACACTCTTTTTGTGGAATTTGCAAGTGGAGATTTCAGCCGCTTTGAGGTCAATGTTAGAATAGGAAATATCTTCCTATAGAAACTAGACAGAAATGATTCTCAGAAACTCCTTTGTGATGTGTGCGTTCAACTCACAGAGTTTAACCTTTCTTTTCATAGAGTAGTTAGGAAACACTCTGTTTGTAATGTCTGCCAGTGGATATTCAGACCTCTTTGAGGCCATCGTTGGAAACGGGATTTCTTCATATTATGCTAGACAGAAGAATTCCCAGTAACTTCCTTGTGTTGTGTGTGTTCAACTCACAGAGTTGAACTTTCATTTACACAGAGCAGATTTGAAACACTCTTTTTGTGGAATTTGCAAGTGGAGATTTCACGCGCTGTGAGGCCAAAGGCAGAAAAGGAAATATCTTCGTATAAAAACTAGACAGAATCATTCTCAGAAACTGCTCTGCGATGTGTGCGTTCAACTCTCAGAGTTTAACTTTTCTTTTCATTCAGCAGTTTAGAAACACTCTGTTTGTAAAGTCTGCACGTGGATATTTTGACCATTTAGAGGCTTTCGTTGGAAACGGGTTTTTTTCTTGTAAGGCTAGACAGAAGAATTCCCAGGAACTTCCTTGTGTTGTGTACATTCAACTCACAGAGTTGAACGTTCCCTTAGACAGAGCAGATTTGAAACACTCTTTTTGTGCAATTGGCAAGTGGTGATTTCAGCCGCTTTGAGGTCAATGGTAGAAAAGGAAATATCTTCGTATAAAAACTAGACAGAATGATTCTCAGAAACTTCATTGTGACGTGTGCGTTCAACTCACAGAGTTTATCCTTTCTTTTCATAGAGCAGTTAGGAAACACTCTGTTTGTAAAGTCTGCAAGTGGATATTCAGACCTCTTTGAGGCCTTCGTTGGAAACGGGATTTCTTCATACTGTGCTAGACAGAAGAATTCTCAGTAACTGCCTTGTGTTGTGTGTATTCAACTCACAGAGTTGAACGATCCTTTACACAGAGCAGACTTGAAACACTCCTTTTGTGGAATTTGCAATTGGAGATTTCAGCCGCTTTGAGGTCAATGGTAGAATAGGAAATATCTTCCTATAGAAACTAGACAGAATGATTCTCAGAAACTCCTTTGTGATGTGTGTGTTCAACTCACAGAGTTTAACCTTTCTTTTCATAGAGCAGTTAGTAAACACTCTGTTTATAAATCTGCATGTGGATATTCAGATCTCTTTGAGGCCTTCGTTGGAAACGGGATTTCTTCATATTATGCTAGACAGAAGAATTCTCAGTAACTTCCTTGTGTTGTGTGTATTCAACTGACAGAGTTGAACTTTCATTTACAGAGAGCAGATTTGAAACACTGCTTTGTGGAATTTGCAAGTGGAGATTTCAAGCGCTTTGGGGCCAAAGGCAGAAAAGGAAATATCTTCGTATAAAAACTAGACAGAATGATTCTCAGAAACTCCTTTGTGACGTGTGCGTTCAACTCACAGAGTTTAACTTTTCTTTTCATAGAGCAGTTAGGAAACACTCTGTTTGTAAAGTCTGCAAGTGGATATTCAGACCTCTTTGAGGCCTTCGTTGGAAACGGGATTTCTTCATATTCTGCTAGACAGAAGAATTCTCCCTAACTTCCTTGTGTTGTGTGTATTCAACTCACAGAGTTGAACGATCCTTTACACAGAGCAGACTTGAAACACACTTTTTGTGGAATTTGCAATTGGAGATTTCAGCCGCGTTGAGGTCAATGGTAGAAAAGGAAATATCTTCGTATAAAAACTAGACAGAATCATTCTCAGAAACTTCTTTGTGATGTATGCGTTCAACTCACAGAGTTTAACCTTCCTTTTCATAGAGCAGTTAGGAAACCCTCTGTTTGTAAACTCTGCAAGTGGATATTCAGACCTCTTTGAGGCCTTCGTTGGAAACGGGATTTCTTCATACTATGCTAGACAGAAGAATTCCCAGTAACTTCCTTGTGTTGTGTGCGTTCAACTCACAGAGTTGAACTTTGATTTACACAGAGCAGATTTGAAACACTCTTTTTGTGGAATTTGCAAGTGGAGATTTCAAGCGCTTTGAGGCCAAAGGCAGAAAAGGAAATATCTTCGTATAAAAACTAGACAGAATCATTCTCAGAAACTGCTGCTTGATGTTTGCGTTCAACTCTCAGAGTTTAACTTTTCTTTTCATTCAGCGGTTTGGAAACACTCTGTTTGTAAAGTCTGCACGTGGATATTTTGACCACTTAGAGGCCTTCGTTGGAAACGGGTTTTTTTCATGTAAGGCTAGACAGAAGAATTCCCAGTAACTTCCTTGTGTTGTGTACATTCAACTCACAGAGTTGAACGTTCCCTTAGACAGAGCAGATTTGAAACACTCTTTTTGTGCAATTGGCAAGTGGAGATTTCAAGAGTTTTAAGGTCAATGGCAGAAAAGGAAATATCTGCGTTTCAAAACTAGACAGAATCATTCCCACAGACTGCGTTGTGATGTGTTCGTTCAAATCACAGAGTTTAACCTTTCTTTTCATAGAGCAGTTAGGAAACAGTCTGTTTGTAAATTCTGTAAGTGGATTTTCTGACAACTTGTGGCCTTCGTTGGAAACGGGATTTCTTCATATTCTGCTAGACAGAAGAATTCTCAGTAACTTCCTTGTGTTGTGTGTATTCAACTCACAGAGTTGAACGATCCTTTACACAGAGCAGACTTGAAACACTCTTTTTGTGGAATTTGCAAGTGGAGATTTCAGCCGCTTTGAGGTCAAAGGTAGAATAGGTAATATCTTCCTATAGAAACTAGACAGAATGATTCTCAGAAACTCCTTTGTGATGTGTGCGTTCAACTCACAGAGTTTAACCTTTCTGTTCACAGAGCAGTTAGGAAACACTCTGTTTGTAAAGTCTGCAAGTGGATATTCAGACCTCCTTGAGGCCTTCGTTGGAAACGGGATTTCTTCGTATTCTGCTAGACAGAAGAATTCTCAGTAACTTCCTTGTGTTGTGTGTATTCAACTGACAGAGTTGAACGATCCTTTACACAGAGCAGACTTGAAACACTCTTTTTGTGGAATTTGCAAGTGGAGATTTCAGCCGCTTTGAGGTCAATGGTAGAAAAGGAAATATCTTCGTATAAAGACTAGACAGAATCATTCTCAGAAACTGCTCTGCGATGTGTGCGTTCAACTCTCAGAGTTTAACTTTTCTTTTCATTCAGCAGTTTGGAAACACTCTGTTTGTAAAGTCTGCACGTGGATATTTTGACCATTTAGAGGCCTTCGTTGGAAACGGGTTTTTTTCTTGTAAGGCTAGACAGAAGAATTCCCAGGAACTTCCTTTTGTTGTGTACATTCAACTCACAGAGTTGAACGTTCCCTTAGACAGAGCAGATTTGAAACACTCTTTTTGTGCAATTGGCAAGTGGTGATTTCAGCCGCTTTGAGGTCAATGGTAGAAAAGGAAATATCTTCGTATAAAAACTAGACAGAATGATTCTCAGAAACTCCTTTGTGATGTGTGTGTTCAACTCACAGAGTTTAACCTTTCTTTTCATAGAGCAGTTAGGAAACACTCTGTTTGTAAAGTCTGCAAGTGGATATTCAGACCTCTTTGAGGCCTTCGTTGGAAACGGGTTTTTTTCATATTAGGCTAGACAGAAGAATTCCCAGTAACTTCCTTGTGTTGTGTGTGTTCAACTCACAGAGTTGAACTTCATTTAAACAGAGCAGATTTGAAACACTCTTTTTGTGGAATTTGCAAGTGGAGATTTCAAGCGCTTTGAGGCCAAAGGCAGAAAAGGAAATATCTTCGTAAAAAAATAGAAAGAATCATTCTCAGAAACTGCTCTGCGATGTGTGCGTTCAACTCTCAGAGTTTGACTTTTCTTTTCATTCAGCAGTTTGGAAACACTCTGTTTGTAAAGTCTGCACGTGGAAAATTTGACCACTTAGAGGCCTTCATTGGAAACGGGTTTTTTTCATGTAAGGCTAGACAGAAGAATTCTCAGTAACTTCCTTGTGTTGTGTGTATTGAACTCACAGAGTTGAACGATCCTTTACACAGAGCAGACTTGTAACACTCTTTTTGTGGAATTTGCAAGTGGAGATTTCAGCCACTTTGAAGTCAAAGGTAGAAAAGGAAATATCTTCCTATAAAAACTAGACAGAATCATTCCAAGAAACTGCGTTGTCATGTGTTCGTTCAACTCACAGAGTTTAACCTTTCTGTTCATAGAGCAGTTAGGAAACACTCTGTAAAGTTTGTAAGTGGATATTCTGACATCTTGTGGCCTTCGTTGGAAACGGGATTTCTTCATATTCTGCTAGACAGAAGAATTCTCAGTAACTTCCTTGTGTTGTGTGTATTCAACTCACAGAGTTGAACGATCCTTTACACAGAGCAGACTTGAAACACTCATTTTGTGGAATTTGCAAGTGGAGATTTCAGCCGCTTTGAGGTCAATGGTAGAAAAGGAAACTATCTTCATATAAAGACTAGACAGAATGATTCTGAGAAACTCCTTTGTGATGTGTGCATTCAACTCACAGAGTTTAACCTTTCTTTTCATAGAGCAGTTAGGAAACACTCTGTTTGTAAAGTCTGCAAGTGGATATTCAGACCTCCTTGAGGCCTTCGTTGGAAACGGGATTTCTTCATATTCTGCTAGACAGAATAATTCTCAGTAACTTCCTTGTGTTGTGTGTATTCAACTCACAGAGTTGAAGGATCCTTTACAGAGAGCAGGCTTGAAACACTCTTTTTGTCGAATTTGCAAGTGGAGATTTCAGCCGCTTTGAGGTCAATGGTAGAATAGGAAATATCTTCTTATAGAAAGTAGACAGAACGATTCTCAGAAACTCCTTTGTGATGTGTGCGATCAACTCACAGAGTTTAACCTTTCTTTTCATAGAGCAGTTAGGAAACACTCTGTTTGTAAAGTCTGCAAGTGGATATTCAGACCTCCTTGAGGCCTTCGTTGGAAACGGGATTTCTTCATATTCTGCTAGACAGAAGTATTCTCAGTAACTTCCTTGTGTTGTGTGTATTCAACTCACAGAGTTGAACGATCCTTTACAAAGAGCAGACTTGAAACACTCTTTTTGTGGAATTTGCAAGTGGAGATTTCAGCCGCTTTGAGGTCCATGGTAGAAAAGGTAATATCTTCCTATAAAGACTAGACAGAATGATTCTCAGAAACTCCTTTGTGATGTGTGCGTTCAACTCACAGAGTTTAACCTTTCTGTTCATAGAGCAGTTAGGAAACACTCTGTTTGTATAGTCTGCAAGTGGATATTCAGACCTCCTTGAGGCCTTCGTTGGAAACGGGATTTCTTCATATTCTGCTAGACAGAAGAATTCTCAGTAACTTCCGCGTGTTGTGTGTATTCAACTCAGAGAGTTGAACGATCCTTTACACAGAGCAGACTTGAAACACTCTTTTTGTGGAATTTGCAAGTGGAGATTTCTGCCGCTTTGAGGTCAATGGTAGAAAAGGAAATATCTTCCTATAAAAACTAGACAGAATGATTCTCATAAACTCCTTTGTGATGTGTGCATTCAACTCACTGAGTTTCACCTTTCTTTTCATAGAGCAGTTAGGAAACACTCTGTTTGTAAAGTCTGCAAGTGGATATTCAGACCTCCTTGAGGCCTTCGTTGGAAACGGGATTTCTTCATATTCTGCTAGACAGAAGAATTCTCAGTAACTTCCTTGTGTTGTGTGTATTCAACTCACAGAGTTGAACGATCCTTTACACAGAGCAGACTTGAAACACTCTTTTTGTGGAATTTGCAAGTGGAGATTTCAGCTGCTTTGAGGTCAATGGTAGAAAAGGAAATATCTTCGTATAAAGACTAGACAGAAATCATTCTCAGTAAACTGCTCTGCGATGTGTGCGTTCAACTCTCAGAGTTTAACTTTTCTTTTCATTCAGCAGTTTGGAAACACTCTGTTTGTAAAGTCTGCACGTGGATAACTTGACCACTTAGAGGACTTCGTTGGAAACGGGTTTTTTTCCTGTAAGGCTAGACAGAAGAATTCCCACTAACTTCCTTGTGTTGTGTACATTCAACTCACAGAGGTGAACGTTCCCTTAGACAGAGCAGATTTGAAACACTCTTTTTGTGCAATTGGCAAGTGGAGATTTCAAGCGCTTTAAGGTCAATGGTAGAAAAGGAAATATCTTCGTTTCAAAACTAGACAGAATGATTCTCAGAAACTCCTTTGTGATGTGTGCGTTCAACTCACAGAGTTTAACCTTTCTTTTCATAGAGCATTTGGGAAACGCTCTGTTTGTAAAGTCTGCAAGTGGATATTCAGACTTCTTTGAGGTCTTCGTTGGAAGCGGGATTTCTTCATATTCTGCTAGACAGAAGAATTCTCAGTAACTTCCTTGTGTTGTGTGTATTCAACTCACAGAGTTGAACGATCCTTTACACAGAGCAGACTTGAAACACTCTTTTTGTGGAATTTGCAAGTGGAGACTTCAGCCGCTTTGAGGTCAATGGTAGAATAGGAAATATCTTCCCATAGAAACTAGACAGAATGATTCTCAGAAACTCCTTTGTGATGTGTGCGTTCAACTCACAGAGTTTAACCTTCCTTTTCATAGAGCAGTTAGGAAACACTCTGTTTGTAAAGTCTGCAAGTGTATATTCAGACATCCTTGAGGCTTTCGTTGGAAACGGGATTTCTTCATATTCTGCTAGAAAGAAGAATTCCCAGTAACTTCCTTGTGTTGTGTGTGTTCAACTCACAGAGTTGAACTTTCATTTACACAGAGCAGATTTGAAACACTCTTTTTGTGGAATTTGCAAGTGGAGATTTCAAGCGCTTTGAGGCCAAAGGCAGAAAAGGAAATGTCTTCGTTTCAAAACTAGACAGAATCATTCTCAGAAACTGCTCTGCGATGTGTGCGTTCAACTCTCAGAGTTTAACTTTTCTTTTCATTCAGAAGTTTGGAAACACTCTGTTTGTAAAGTGTGCACGTGGATAACTTGAACACTTAGAGGCCTTCGTTGGAAACGGGTTTTTTTCATGTAAGGCTAGACAGAAGAATTCCCACTAACATCCTTGTGTTGTGTGTGTTCAACTCACAGAGTTGAACTTTCATTTACACAGAGCAGATTTGAAAGACTCTTTTTGTGCAATTTGCAAATGGAGATTTCAAGCGCTTTGAGGCCAAAGACAGAAAAGGAAATATCTTCGTTTCAAAACTAGACAGAATCATTCCCACAAACTGCGTTGTGATGTGTTCGTTCAACTCACAGAGTTTAACCTTTCTGTTCATAGAGCAGTTAGGAAACACTCTGTTTCTAAAGTCTGTAAGTGGATATTCTGACATCTTGTGGCCTTCGTTGGAAACGGGGTTTCTTCATATTCTGCTAGACAGAAGAATTCTCAGTAACTTCCTTGTGTTGTGTGTATTCAACTCACACCGTTGAACGATCCTTTATACAGAGCAGACTTGAAACACTGTTTTTGTGGAATTTACAAGTGGAGATTTCAGCCGATTTGAGGTCAATGGTAGAAAAGGAAATATCTTCCTATAGAAACTAGACAGAATGATTCTCAGAAACTCCTTTGGGATGTGTGTGTCCAACTCACAGAGTTTAACCTTTCTTTTCATAGAGCAGTTAGGAAACACTCTGTTTGTAAAGTCTGCAAGAGGATATTCAGACCTCTTTGAGGCCTTCGTTGGAAACGGGTTTTTTTCATATAAGGCTAGACAGAAGAATTCCCAGTAACTTCCTTGTGTTGTGTGTGTTCAACTCACAGAGTTGAACTTTCATTTACACAGAGCAGATTTGAAACACTCTTTTTGTGGAATTTGCAGGTGGAGATTTCAAGTGCTTTGAGGCCAAAGGCAGAAAAGGAAATATCTTCGTATAAAAACTAGACAGAATGATTCTCAGAAACTCCTTTGTGATGTGGGTGTTCAACTCACAGTGTTTAACCTTTCTTTTCATAGAGCAGTTTGGAAACACTCTGTTTGAAAAGTCTGCACGTGTATAATATGACCACTTAGAGGCCTTCGTTGGAAACGGGTTTTTTTTCATGTAAGGCTAGACAGAAGAATTCCCAGTAACTTCCTTGTGTTGTGTGCATTCAACTCACAGAGTTGAACGTTCCCTTAGACAGAGCAGATTTGAAACACTCTATTTGTGCAATTTGCAAGTGTAGTTTTCAAGCTCTTTAAGGTCAACAGCAGAAAAGGAAATATCTTCGTTTCAAAACTAGACAGAATCATTCCCACAAACTGCGTTGTGATGTGTTCGTTCAACTCACAGAGTTTAACCTTTCTTTTCATAGAGCAGTTAGGAAACAGTGGGTTTGTAAATTCTGTAAGTGGATATTCTGACATCTTGTGGCCTTCGTTGGAAACGGGATTTCTTCATATTCTGCTAGACAGAAGAATTCTCAGAAACTTCCTTGTGTTGTGTGTATTCAACTCACAGAGTTGAACGATCCTTTACACAGAGCAGACTTGAAACACTCTTTTTGTGGAATTTGCAAGTGGAGATTTCTGCCGCTTTGAGGTCAATGGTAGAATAGTAAATATCTTCCTATAGAAACTAGACAGAATGGTTCTGAGAAATCCTTTGTGAGGTGTGCGTTCAACTCACAGAGTTTAACCTTTCTTTTCATAGAGCAGTTAGGAAACACTCTGTTTTTAAAGTCTTCAAGTGGATATTCAGACCTCCTTGAGGCCTTCGTTGGAAACGGGATTTCTTCATATTATGCTAGACAGAAGAATTCTCAGTAACTTCCTTGTGTTGTGTGTATTCAACTCACAGAGTTGAACGATCCTTTACACAGAGCAGACTTGAAACACTCTTTTTGTGGAATTTGCAAGTGGAGATTTCAGCCGCTTTGAGGTCAATAGTAGAAAAGGAAATATCTTCATAGAAAAACTAGACAGAATGATTCTCAGAAACTCCTTTGTGCTGTGTGCGTTCAGCTCACAGAGTTTAACCTTTCTTTTCATAGAGTAGTTAGGAAACACTCTGTTTGTAAAGTCTGCAAGTGGATATTCAGACATCTTTGAGGCCTTCGTTGGAAACGGGATTTCTTCATATTCTGCTAGACAGAAGAATTCTCAGTAACTTCCTTGTGTTGTGTGTATTCAACTGACAGAGTTGAACTTTCATTTAGAGAGAGCAGATTTGTAACACTGTTTTTGTGGAATTTGCAAGTGGAGATTTCAAGCGCTTTGGGGCCAAAGGCAGAAAAGGAAATATCGTCGTATAAAAACTAGACAGAATCATTCTCAGAAACTGCTGCGTGATGTGTGCGTTCAACTCTCAGAGTTTAACTTTTCTTTTCATTCAGCGGTTTGGAAACACTCTGTTTGTAAAGTCTGCACGTGGAAATTTTGACCACTTAGAGGCCTTCTTTGGAAACGGGTTTTTTTCATGTAAGGCTAGACAGAAGAATTCCCAGTAACTTCCTTGTGTTGTGTGCATTCAACTCACAGAGTTGAACGTTCCCTTAGACAGAGCAGATTTGAAACACTCTATTTGTGCAATTTGCAAGTGTAGTTTTCAAGCTCTTTAAGGTCAACGGCAGAAAAGGAAATATCTTCGTTTCAAAACTAGACAGAATGATTCTCAGAAACTCCTTTGTGATGTGTGTGTTCAACTCACAGAGTTTAACCTTTCTTTTCATAGAGCAGTTACTAAACACTCTGTTTATAAAGTCTGCAAGTGGATATTCAGACCCCTTTGAGGCCTTCGTTGGAAACGGGATTTCTTCATATTATGCTAGACAGAAGAATTCTCAGTAACTTCCTTGTGTTGTGTGTATTCAACTCACAGAGTTGAACGAACCTTTACACAGAGCAGACTTGAAACACTCTTTTTGTGGAATTTGCAAGTGGAGATTTCATCCCCTTTGAGGTCAATGGTAGAAAAGGAAATATCTTCGTATAAAAACTAGACAGAATGATTCTCATAAACTTCTTTGTGATGTGTGCGTTCAACTCACAGAGTTTAACCTTTCTTTTCATAGAGCAGTTAGGAAACACTCTGTTTGTAAACTCTGCAAGTGGATATTCAGACCTCTTTGAGGCCTTCGTTGGAAACGGGATTTCTCCATACTGTGCTAGACAGAAGAATTCCCAGTAACTTCCTTGTGTTGTGTGTGTTCAACTCACAGAGTTGAACTTTCATGTACACAGAGCAGATTTGAAACACTCTTTTTGTGGAATTTGCAAATGGAGATTTCAAGCGCTTTGAGGCCAAAGGCAGAAAAGGAAATATCTTCGTATAAAAACTAGACAGAAATCATTCTCAGAAACTGCTCTGCGATGTGTGCGTTCAACTCTCAGGAGTTTAACTTTTCTTTTCATTCAGCAGTTTGGAAACACTCTGTTTGTAAAGTCTGCACGTGGATATTTTGACCACTTAGAGGCCTTCGTTGGAAACGGGTTTTTTTCCTGTAAGGCTAGACAGAAGAATTCCCAGTAACTTCCTTGTGTTGTGTACATTCAACTCACAGAGTTGAACGTTCCCTTAGACAGAACAGATTTGAAACACTCTTTTTGTGCAATTGGCAAATGGAGATTTCAAGCGCTTTGAGGTCAATGGTAGAAAAGGAAATATCTTCGTTTCAAAACTAGACAGAATCATTCCCACAAACTGCGTTGTGATGTGTTCGTTCAACTCACAGAGTTTAACCTTTCTTTTCATAGAGTAGTTAGGAAACAGTCTGTTTGAAAATTCTGTAAGTAGATATTCTGACAGCTTGTGGCCTTCGTTGGAAACGGGATTTCTTCATATTCTGCTAGACAGACGAATTCTCAGTAACTTCCTTGTGTTGTGTGTATTCAACTCACAGAGTTGAACGATCCTTTACACAGAGCAGACTTGTAACACTCTTTTTGTGGAATTTGCAAGTGGAGATTTCAGCCCCTTTGAAGTCAAAGGTAGAAAAGGAAATATCTTCCTATAAAAACTAGACAGAATGATTCTCAGAAACTTCTTTTTGATGTGTGCGTTCAACTCACAGAGTTTAACCTTTCTTTTCATAGAGCAGTTAGGAAACACTCTGTTTGTAAACTCTGCAAGTGGATATTCAGACCTGTTTGAGGCCTTCGTTGGAAACGGGATTTCTTCATACTATGCTAGACAGAAGAATTCTCAGTAACTTCCTTGTGTTGTGTGTATTCAACTCACAGAGTTGAACGATCCTTTACACAGAGCGGACTTGAAACACACTTTTTGTGGAATTTGCAAGTGGAGATTTCAGCCGCGTTGAGGTCAATGGTAGAAAAGGAAATATCTTCGTTTCAAAACTAGACAGAATGATTCTCAGAAACTCCTTTGTGATGTGTGCGTTCAACTCACAGAGTTTCACTTTTCTTTTCATAGAGCAGTTAGGAAACACTCTGTTTGTAAAGTCTGCAAGTGGATATTCAGACCTCTTTGAGGCCTTCGGTGGAAACGGGATTTCTTCATATTATGCTAGACAGAAGAATTCCCAGTAACTTCCTTGTGTTGTGTGTGTTCAACTCACAGAGTTGAACTTTCATTTACACAGAGCAGATTTGAAACACTCTTTTCGTGAAATTTGCAAGTGGAGATTTCAAGCGCTTTGAGGCCAAAGGCAGAAAAGGAAATATCTTCGTATAAAAACTAGACAGAATAATTCTCAGAAACTGCTCTGTGATGTGTGCGTTCATCTCTCAGAGTTTAACTGTTCTTTTCATTCAGCAGTTTGGAAACACTCTGTTTGTAAAGTCTGCACGTGGATATTTTGACCACTTAGAGGCCTTCGTTGGAAACGGGTTTTTTTCATGTAAGGCTAGACAGAAGAATTCCCAGTAACTTCCTTGTGTTGTGTACATTCAACTCACAGAGTTGAACGTTCCCTTAGACAGAGCAGATTTGAAACACTCTTTTTGTGCAATTGGCAAGTGGAGATTTCAAGCGCTTTAAGGTCAATGGCAGAAAAGGAAATATCTTCGTTTCAAAGCTAGACAGTATGATTCTCAGAAACTTCTTTGTGATGTGTGCGTTCAACTCACAGAGTTTAACCTTTCTTTTCATAGAGCAGTTAGGAAACACTCTGTTTGTAAACTCTGCAAGTGGATATTAAGACCTCTTTGAGGCCTTCGTTGGAAACGGGATTTCTTCATACTGTGCTAGACAGAAGAATTCTCAGTAACTTCCTTGTGTTGTGTGTATTCAACTCACAGAGTTGAACGATCCTTTACACAGAGCGGAATTGAAACACTCTTTTTGTGAAACTTGCAAGTGGAGATTTCAGCCGCGTTGAGGTCAATGGTAGAAAAGGAAATCTCTTCGTATAAAAACTAGACAGAGTGATTCTCAGAAACTCCTTTGTGATGTCTGCGTTCAACTCACCGAGTTTAACCTTTCTTTTCATAGAGCAGTTAGGAAACACTCTGTTTGTAAAGTCTGCAAGTGGATATTCAGACCTCCTTGAGGCCTTCGTTGGAAACGGGATTTCTTCATATTCTGCTATACAGAAGAATTCCCAGTAACTTTCCTTGTGTTGTGTGTGTTCAACTCACAGAGTTGAACTTTCATTTACACAGAGCAGATTTGAAACACTCTTTTTGTGGAATTTGCAAGTGGAGATTTCAAGCGCTTTGAGGCCAAAGGCAGAAAAGGAAATATCTCCGTTTCAAAACTAGACAGAATCATTCTCAGAAACTGCTCTGCGATGTGTGCGTTCAACTCTCAGAGTTTAACTTTTCTTTTCATTCAGCAGTTTGGAAACACTCTGTTTGTAAAGTCTGCACGTGGATATTTTGACCATTTAGAGGCCTTCGTTGGAAACGGGTTTTTTTTCTTGTAAGGCTAGACAGAAGAATTCCCAGGAACTTCCTTGTGTTGTGTACATTCAACTCACAGAGTTGAACGTTCCCTTAGACAGAGCAGATTTGAAACACTCTTTTTGTGCAATTGGCAAGTGGTGATTTCAGCCGCTTTGAGGTCAATGGTAGAAAAGGAAATATCTTCGTATAAAAACTAGACAGAATCATTCCCACAAACTGCGTTGTGATGTGTTCGTTCAACTCACAGAGTTTAACCTTTCTGTTCATAGAGCAGTTAGGAAACACTCTGTTTGTAAAGTCTGCAAGTGGATATTCAGACCTCTTTGAGGCCTTCGTTGGAAACGGGATTTCTTCATATTCTGCTAGACAGAAGAATTCTCAGTAACTTCATTGTGTTGTGTGTATTCAACTCACAGATTTCAACGATCCTTTACACAGAGCAGACTTGAAACACTCTTTTTCTGGAATTTGCAAGTGGAGATTTCAGCCGCTTTGAGGTCAATGGTAGAATAGGAAATATCTTCCTATAGACACTAGACAGAATGATTCTCAGAAACTCCTTTATGATGTGTGCGTTCAACTCACAGAGTTTAACCTTTCTGTTCATAGAGCAGTTAGGAAACACTCTGTTTGTAAAGTCTGCAAGTGGATATTCAGACCTCCTTGAGGCCTTCGGTGGAAACGGGATTTCTTCATATTCTGCTAGACAGAAGAATTCTCAGTAACTTCCTTGTGTTGTGTGTATTCAACTCACAGAGTTGAACGATCCTTTACACAGAGCAGACTTGAAACACTCTTTTTGTGGAATTTGCAAGTGGAGATTTCAGCCGATTTGAGTTCAATGGTAGAATAGGAAATATCTTCCTATAGAAACTAGACAGAATGATTCTCAGAAACTCCTTTGTGATGTGTGCGTTCAACTCATAGAGTTTAACCTTTCTTTTCATAGAGCAGTTAGGAAACACTCTGTTTGTAAAGTCTGCAAGTGGATATTCAGACCTCTTTGAGGCCATCGTTGGAAACGGGATTTCTTCATATTCTGCTAGAGAGAAGAATTCTCAGTAACTTCCTTGTGTTGTGTGTATTCAACTCACAGAGTTGAACGATCCTTTACACAGAGCAGACTTGAAACTCTCTTTTTGTGGAATTTGCAAGTGGAGATTTCAGCCGCTTTGAGGTCAATAGTAGAAAAGTAAATATCTTCGTAGAAAAACTAGACAGAATGATTCTCAGAAACTCTTTTGTGATGTGGGCGTTCAACTCACAGAGTTTAACCATTCTTTTCATAGAGCAGTTAGGAAACACTCTGTTTGTAAAGTCTGCATGTGGATATTTGGACTTCTTTGAGGCCTTCGTTGGAAACGGGTTTTTTTCATGTAAGGCTAGACAGAAGAATTCTCAGTAACTTCCTTGTGTTTTGTGTATTCAACTCACAGAGTTGAACGATCCTTTACACAGAGCAGACTTGAAACACTCTTTTTGTGGAATTTGCAAGTGGATATTTCAGCCGCTTTGAGTTCAATGGTAGAATAGGAAATATCTTCCTATAGAAACTAGACAGAATGATTCTCAGAAACTCCTTTGTGATGTGTGCGTTCAACTCACAGATTTCAACCTTTCTTTTCATAGAGCAGTTGGGAAACACTCTGTTTGTAAAGTCTGCAAGTGGATATTCAGACTTCTTTGAGGCCTTCGTTGAAAGCGGGATTTCTTCATATTCTGCTAGACAGAAGAATTCTCAGTAACTTCCTTGTGTTGTGTGTATTCAACTCACAGAGTTGCACGATCGTTTACACAGAGCAGACTTGAAACACTCTTTTTGTGGAATTTGCAAGTGGAGATTTCAGCCGCTTTGAGGTCAATAGTAGAAAAGGAAATATCTTCGTAGAAAAACTACACAGAATGATTCTCAGAAACTCCTTTGTGATGTGGGTGTTCAACTCACAGAGTTTAACCTTTCTTTTCATAGAGCAGTTAGGAAACACTCTGTTTGTAAAGTCTGCAAGTGGATATTTTCACCTCTTTGAGGCCTTCATTGGAAACGGGTTTTTTTTCATGTAAGGCTAGACAGAAGAATTCTCAGTAACTTCCTTGTGTTGTGTGTATTCAACTGACAGAGTTGAACTTTCATTTAGACAGAGCAGATTTGAAACACTCTTTTTCTGGAATTTGCAAGTGGAGATTTCAAGCGCTTTGAGGCCAAAGGCAGAAAAGGAAATATCTTCGTATAAAAACTACACAGAATCATTCTCAGAAACTGCTCTGCGATGTGTGCGTTCAACTCTCAGAGTTTAACTTTTCTTTTCATTCAGCAGTTTGGAAACACTCTGTTTGTAAAGTCTGCACGTGGATATTTTGACCATTTAGAGGCCTTCGTTGGAAACGGGTTTTGTCCTTGTAAGCCTAGACAGAAGAATTCCCAGTAACTTCCTTGTGTTGTGTGCATTCAACTCACAGAGTTGAACGTTCCCTTAGACAGAGCAGATTTGAAACACTCTATTTGTGCAATTTGCAAGTGTAGTTTTCAAGCTCTTTAAGGTCAACGGCAGAAAAGGAAATATCTTGGTTTCAAAACTAGACAGAATGATTCTCAGAAACTCCTTTGTGATGTGTGCGTTCAACTCACAGAGTTTAACCTTACTGTTCATAGAGCAGTTAGGAAACACTCTGTTTGTAAAGTCTGCAAGTGGATATTCAGACCTCTTTGAGGCCTTCGTTGGAAACGGGATTTCTTCATATTATGCTAGACAGAAGAATTCTCAGTAACTTCCTTGTGTTGTGTGTATTCAACTCACAGAGTTGAACGATCCTTTACACAGAGCAGACTTGAAACACTCTTTTTGTGGAATTTGCAAGTGGAGATTTCAGCCGCTTTGAGTTCAATGGTAGAATAGGAATTATCTTCCTACAGAAACTAGACAGAATGATTCTCAGAAACTCCTTTGTGATGTGTGTGTTCAACTCACAGAGTTTAAGCTTTCTTTTCATAGAGCAGTTAGTAAACACTCTGTTTATAATGTCTGCAAGTGGATATTCAGACCCCTTTGACGCCTTCGTTTGAAACGGGATTTCTTCATATTATGCTAGACAGAAGAATTCTCAGTAACTTCCTTGTGTTGTGTGTATTCAACTGACAGAGTTGAACTTTCATTTAGAGAGAGCAGATTTGAAACACTGTTTTTGTGGAATTTGCAAGTGGAGATATCAAGCGCCTTGGGGCCAAAGGCAGAAAAGGAAATATCTTCGTATAAAAAGTAGACAGAATGATTCTCAGAAACTTCTTTGTGATGTGTGCGTTCAACTCACAGAGTTTAACCTTTCTTTTCATAGAGCAGTTAGGAAACACTCTGTTTGTAAACTATGCAAGTGGATATTCAGACCTCTTTGAGGCCTTCGTTGGATACGGGATTTCTTCATACTATGCTAGACAGAAGAATTCTCAGTAACTTCCCTTGTGTTGTGTGTATTCAACTCACAGAGTTGAACGATCCTTTACACAGAGCAGACTTGAAACATTCTTTTTGTGGAATTTGCAAGGGGAGATTTCAGCCGCTTTGAGGTCAATGGTAGAATAGGAAATATCTTCCTATAGAAACTAGACAGAATGATTTTCAGAAACTGCTTTGTGATGTGTGCGTTCAACTCACAGAGTTTCACCTTTCTTTTCATAGAGCAGTTAGGAAACACTCTGTTTGTAAAGTCTACAAGTGGATATTCAGACCTCTTTGAGGCCTTCGTTGGAAACGGGATTTCTTCATATTATGCTAGACAGAAGAATTCTCAGTAACTTCCTTGTGTTGTGTGTATTCAACTGACAGAGTTGAACTTTCATTTGGAGAGAGCAGATTTGAAACACTGTTTTTTTGGAATTTGCAAGTGGAGATTTCAAGCGCTTTGGGGCCAAAGGCAGAAAAGGAAATATCTTCGTATAAAAACTAGACAGAATCATTCTCAGAAACTGCTCTGTGATGTGTACGTTCAACTCTCAGCAGTTTAACTTTTCTTTTCATTCAGCAGTTTGGAAACACTCTGTTCGTAAAGTCTGCACGTGGATAATTTGACCACTTAGAGGCCTTCGTTGGAAACGGGTTTTTTTCATGTAAGGCTAGACAGAAGAATTCTCAGTAACTTCCTTGTGTTGTGTGTATTCAACTCACAGAATTGAACGATCCTTTACACAGAGCAGACTTGAAACACTCTTTTTGTGGAATTTGCAAGTGGAGATTTCAGCCGCTTTGAGGTCAATAGTAGAAAAGGAAATATCTTCGTAGAAAAACTAGACAGAATGATTCTCAGAAAATGTTTTGTGATGTGTGCGTTCAACTCACAGAGTTTAACTTTTCTTCTCATAGAGCAGTTAGGAAACACTCTGTTTGTAAAGTCTGCAAGTGGATATTGAGACCTCTTTGAGGCCTTCGTTGGAAACGGGATTTCTTCATATTATGCTAGACAGAAGAATTCTCAGTAACTTCCTTGTGTTGTGTGTATTCAACTGACAGAGTTGAACTTTCATTTAGAGAGAGCAGATTTGAAACACTGTTTTTGTGGAATTTGCAAGTGGAGATTTCAAGCGCTTTGAGGTCAATGGTAGAATAGGAAATATCTTCCTATAGAAACTAGACAGAATCATTCTCAGAAACTGCTGCGTGATGTGTGAGTTCAACTCTCAGAGTTTAACTTTTCTTTTCATTCAGCGGTTTGGAAACACTCTGTTTGTAAAGTCTGCACGTGGAAATTTTGACCACTTAGAGGCCTTCGTTGGAAACGGGTTTTCTTCATGTAAGGCTAGACAGAAGAATTCCCAGTAACTTCCTTGTGTTGTGTACATTCAACTCACAGAGTTGAACGTTCCCTTAGACAGAGCAGATTTGAAACACTCTTTTTGTGCAATTGGCTAGTGTTGATTTCAGCCGCTTTGAGGTCAATTGTATAAAAGGATATATCTTCATATAAAAACTAGACAGAATGATTCTCAGAAACTCCTTTGTGATGTGTGCGTTCAACTCACAGAGTTTAACCTTTCTTTCCATAGAGCAGTTAGGAAACACTCTGTTTGTAAAGTCTGCAAGTGGATATTCAGACCTCTTTGAGGCCTTCGTTGGAAACGGGTTTTTTTCTTATAAGGCTAGACAGAAGAATTCTCAGTAACTTCCTTGTGTTGTGTGTATTCAACTCACAGAGTTGAACGATCCTTTACACAGAGCAGACTTGAAACACTCTGTTTGTGGAATTTGCAAGTGGAGATTTCAGCCGCTTTGAGGTCAATAGTAGAAAAGGAAATATCTTCGTAGAAAAACTAGACAGAATGATTCTCAGAAACTCCTTTGTGATGTGTGCGTTCAACTCACAGAGTTTAAACTTTCTTTTCATAGAGCAGTTAGGAAACACTCTGTTTGTAAAGTCTGCAAGTGGATATTCAGACCTCTTTGAGGCCTTCGTTGGAAACGGGTTTTTTTCATATAAGGCTAGACAGAAGAATTCCCAGTAACTTCCTTGTGTTGTGTGTGTTCAACTCACAGAGTTGAACTTTCATTTACACAGAAAAGATTTGAAACACTCTTTTTGTGGAATTTGCAAGTGGAGATTTCAAGCGCTTTGAGGCCAAAGGCAGAAAAGGAAATATCTCCGTTTCAAAACTAGACAGAATCATTCTCAAAAACTGCTCTGCGATGTTTGCGTTCAACTCTCAGAGTTTAACTTTTCTTTTCATTCAGCAGTTTGGAAACACTCTGTTTGTAAAGTCTGCACGTGGATAACTTGACCACTTAGAGGACTTCGTTGGAAACGGGTTTTTTTCCTGTAAGGCTAGACAGAAGAATTCCCAGTAACTTCCTTGTGTTGTGTACATTCAACTCACAGAGTTGAACGTTCCCTTAGACAGAGCAGATTTGAAACACTCTTTTTGTGCAATTGGCAAATGGAGATTTCAAGCGCTTTAAGTTCAATGGCAGAAAAGGAAATATCTTCGTTTCAAAACTAGACAGAATCATTCTCAGAAACTGCTCTGCGATGTGTGCGTTCAACTCTCAGAGTTTAACTTTTCTTTTCATAGAGCAGTTAGGAAACAGTCTGTTTGTCAATTCTGTAAGTGGATATTCTGACATCTTGTGGCCTTCGTTGGAAACGGGATTTCTTCATATTCTGCTAGACAGAAGAATTCTCAGAATCTTCCTTGTGTTGTGTGTATTCAACTCACAGATTTGAACGATCCTTTACACAGAGCAGACTTGAAACACTCTTTTTGTGGAATTTGCAAGTGGAGATTTCAGCCGCTTTGAGGTCCATGGTAGAAAAGGAAATATCTTCGTATAAAAACTAGACAGAATGATTCTCAGAAACTCCTTTGTGATGTGTGCGTTCAACTCACAGAGTTTAACCTTTCTTTTCATAGAGCAGTTAGGAAACACTCTGTTTGTAAAGTCTGCAAGTTGATATTCAGACCTCTTTGAGGCCTTCGTTGGAAACGGGATTTCTTCATATTATGCTAGACAGAAGAATTCTCAGTAACTTCCTTGTGTTGTGTGTATTCAACTCACAGAGTTGAACGATCCTTTACACAGAGCAGACTTGAAACACTCTTTTTATGGAATTTGCAAGTGGAGATTTCAGCCGCTTTGAGGTCAATGGTAGAAAAGGAAATATCTTCGTATAAAAACTAGACAGAATGATTCTCATAAACTCCTTTGTGATGTGTGCGTTCAACTCACAGAGTTTAACCTTTCTTTTCATAGAGCAGTTAGGAAACACTCTCTTTGTGAAGTCTGCAAGTGGATATTCAGACCTCCTTGAGGCCTTCGTTGGAAACGGGATTTCTTCATATTCTGCTAGACAGAAGAATTCTCAGTAACTTCCTTGTGTTGTGTTTATTCAACTCACAGAGTTAATGATCCTTTACACAGAGCAGACTTGAAACACTCTTTTTGTGGCATTTGCAAGTGGAGATTTCAGCCGCTTTGAGGTCAATGGTAGAAAAGTAAATATCTTCGTATAAAGACTAGACAGAATCATTCTCAGAAACTGCTCTGCGATGTGTGCGTTCAACTCTCAGAGTTCAACTTTTCTTTTCATTCAGCAGTGTGGAAACACTCTGTTTGTAAAGTCTGCACGTGGATATTTTGACCACTTAGAGGCCTTTGTTGGAAACGGGTTTTTTTCCTGTAAGGCTAGACAGAAGTTTTCCCAGTAACTTCCTTGTGTTGTGTACATTCAACTCACAGAGTTGAACGTTCCCTTAGACAGAGCAGATTTGAAACACTCTTTTTGTGCAATTGGCAAATGGAGATTTCAAGCGCTTTAAGGTCAATGGCAGAAAAGGAAATATCTTCGTTTCAAAACTAGACAGAATCATTCCCACAAACTGCGTTGTGATGTGTTCGTTCAACTCACAGAGTTTAACCTTTCTGTTCATAGAGCAGTTAGGAAACACTCTGTTTGTAAAGTCTGTAAGTGGATATTCTGACATCTTGTGGCCTTCGTTGGAAACGGGATTTCTTCATATTATGGTAGACAGAAGAATTCTCAGTAACTTCCTTGTGTTGTGTGTATTCAACTCACAGAGTTAAACGATCCTTTACACAGAGCAGACTTGAAACACTCTTTTTGTGGAATTTGCAAGTGGAGATTTCAGCCGCTTTGAGGTCAATGGTAGAAAAGGAAACTATCTTCATATAAACACTAGACAGAATGATTCTCAGAAACTCCTTTGTGATGTGTGTGTTCAACTCACAGAGTTTAACCTTTCTTTTCATAGAGCAGTTAGTAAACACTCTGTTTATAAAGTCTGCAAGTAGATATTCAGACCCCTTTGAGGCCTTCGTTGGAAACGGGATTTCTTCATATTATGCTAGACAGAAGAATTCTCAGTAACTTCCCTTGTGTTGTGTGTATTCAACTCACAGAGTTGAACGATCCTTTACACAGAGCAGAGTTGAAACATTCTTTTTGTGGAATTTGCAAGTGGAGATTTCAGCCGCTTTGAGGTCAATGGTAGAATAGCAAATATCTTCCTATAGAAACTAGACAGAATGATTCTCAGAAACTCCTTTGTGATGTGTGCATTCAACTCACAGAGTTTAACCTTTCTTTTCATAGAACAGTTAGGAAACACTCTGTTTGTAAAGTCTTCAGGTGGATATTCAGACCTCTTAGAGGCCTTCGTTGGAAACAGGATTTCTTCATATTATGCTAGACAGAAGAATTCTCAGCAATCTTCCTTGTGTTGTGTGTATTCAACTCACAGAGTTGAACGATGGTTTACACAGAGCAGATTTGAAACACTCTTTTTGTGGAATTTGCAAGTGGAGATTTCAGCCGCTTTGAGGTCAATGGTAGAAAAGGAAATATCTTCCTATAAAAACTAGACAGAATGATTCTCAGAAACTCCTTTGTGATGTGTGCGTTCAACTCACAGAGTTTCACTTTTCTTTTCATAGAGCAGTTACGAAACACTCTGTTTGTAAAGTCTTCAAGTGGATATTCAGACCTCTTTGAGGCCTTCGTTGGAAACGGGATTTCTTCATATTCTGCTACACAGAAGAATTCTCAGTAACTTCCTTGTGTTGTGTGTATTCAACTCACAGAGTTGAACGATCCTTTACACAGAGCAGACTTGAAACACTCTTTTTGTGGAATTTGCAAGTGGAGATTTCAGCCGCTTTGAGGTCAATGGTAGAAAAGGAAACTATCTTCATATAAAGACTAGACTGAATCATTCTCAGAAACTGCTCTGTGATGTGTGCATTCAACTCTCAGAGTTTAACTTTTCTTTTCATTCAGCAGTTTGGAAACACTCTGTTTGTAAAGTCTGCACGTGGATAATTTGACCACTTAGAGGCCTTCGTTGGAAACGGGTTTTTTTCATGTAAGGCTAGACAGAAGAATTCTCAGTAACTTCCTTGTGTTGTGTGTATTCAACTCACACAGTTGAACGATCCTTTACACAGAGCAGACTTGTAACACACTTTTTGTGGAATTTGCAAGTGGAGATTTCAGCCGCTTTGAAGTCAAAGGTAGAAAAGGAAATATCTTCCTATAAAAACTAGACAGAATGATTCTCAGAAACTCCTTTGTGATGTGTGCGTTCAACTCACAGAGTTTAACCTTTCTTTTCATAGAGCAGTTAGGAAACACTCTGTTTGAAAAGTCTGCAAGTGGATATTCAGACCTCTTAGAGGCCTTCGTTGGAAACGGGATTTCTTCATATTATGCTAGACAGAAGAATTTTCAGTAACTTCCTTGTGTAGTGTGTATTCAACTCACAGAGTTGAACGATCCTTTACACAGAGCAGACTTGAAACACTCTTTTTGTGGAATTTGCAAGTGGAGATTTCAGCCGCTTTGAGGTCAATGGTAGAAAAGGAAATATCTTCGTATAAAGACAAGACAGAATGATTCTCAGAAACTCCTTTGTGATGTGTGCGTTCAACTCACAGAGTTTAACCTTTCTTTTCATAGAGCACTTAGGAAACACTCTGTTTGTAAAGTCTGCAAGTGGATATTCAGACCTCTTTGAGGCCATCGTTGGAAACGGGATTTCTTCATATTCTGCTAGACAGAAGAATTCTCAGTAACTTCCTTGTGTTGTGTGTATTCAACTCACAGAGTTGAACGATCCTTTACACAGAGCAGACTTGAAACACTCTTTTTGTGGAATTTGCAAGTGGAGATTTCACCCGCTTTGAGGTCAATGGTAGAAAAGGAAATATCTTCGTATAAAGACTAGACTGAATGATTCTCAGAAACTCCTTTGTGATGTGTGCGTTCAACTCACAGAGTTTAACCTTTCTTTTCATAGAGCAGTTAGGAAACACTCTGTTTGTAAAGTCTGCAAGTGGATATTCAGACCTCCTTGAGGCCTTCATTGGAAACAGGATTTCTTCATATTCTGCTAGACAGAAGAATTCTCAGTAACTTCCTTGTGTTGTGTGTATTCAACTCACAGAGTTGAACGATCCTTTACAGCAGAGCAGACTTGAAACACTCTTTTTGTGGAATTTGCAAGTGGAGATTTCAGCCGCTTTGAGGTCAATGGTAGAAAAGGAAATATCTTCCTATAAAGACTAGACAGAGTGATTCTCAGAAACTCCTTTGTGATGTCTGCGTTCAACTCACAGAGTTTAACCTTTCTTTTCATAGAGCAGTTAGGAAACACTCTGTTTGTAAAGTCTGCAAGTGGATATTCAGACCTTCTTGAGGCCTTCGTTGGAAACGGGATTTCTTCATATTATGCTAGACAGAAGAATTCTCAGTAACTTCCTTGTGTTCTCTGTATTCAACTCACAGAGTTGAACGATCCTTTACAGAGAGCAGACTTGAAACACTCTTTTTGTGGAATTTGCAAGTGGAGATTTCAGCCGCTTTGAGGTCAATGGTAGAAAAGGAAATATCTTCGTATAAAGACTAGACAGAATGATTCTCAGAAACTCCTTTGTGATGTGTGCGTTCAACTCACAGAGTTTAACCTTTGTTTTCATAGAGCAGTTAGGAAACACTCTGTTTGTAAAGTCTGCAAGTGGATATTCAGACATCTTTGAGGCCTTCGTTGGAAACGGGATTTCTTCATGTTCTGCTGGACAGAAGAATTCTCAGAATCTTCCTTGTGTTGTGTGTCTTCAAGTCACAGAGTTGAACAATGGTTTACACAGAGCAGATTTGAAACACTCTTTTTGTGGAATTTGCAAGTGGAGATTTCAGCCGCTTTGAGGTCAATGGTAGAAAAGGAAATATCTTCGTATAAAAACTAGACAGAATGATTCTCAGAAACTCCTTTATGATGTGTGCGTTCAACTCACAGAGTTTAACCTTTCTTTTCATAGAGCAGTTAGGAAACACTCTGTTTGTAAACTCTGCAAGTGGATATTCAGACCTCTTTGAAGCCTTGGTTGGAAACGGGATTTCTTCATATTATGCCTGAGAGAAGAATTCTCAGTAACTGCCTTGTGTTGTGTGTATTCAACTCACAGAGTTGAATGATCCTTTACACAGAGCAGACTTGAAACACTCCTTTTGTGGAATTTGCAAGTGGAGATTTCAGCCGCTTTGAGGTCAATGGTAGAATAGGAAATATCTTCCTATAGAAACTAGACAGAATGATTCTCAGAAACTCCTTTGTGATGTGTGTGTTCAACTCACAGAGTTTAACCTTTCTTTTCATGGAGCAGTTAGGAAACACTCTGTTTGTAAAGTCTGCAAGGGGATATTCAGACCTCTTTGAGGCTTCCGTTGGAAACGGGATTTCTTCATATTCTGCTAGACAGAAGAATTCTCAGTAACTTCATTGTGTTGTGTGTATTCAACTCACAGAGTTGAACGATCCTTTACACAGAGCAGACTTGAAACACTCTTTTTGTGGAATTTGCAAGTGGAGATTTCAGCCGCTTTGAGGTCAATGGTAGAAAAGGAAATATCTTCGTATAAAGACTAGACAGAATGATTCTCAGAAACTCCTTTGCGATGTGTGCATTCAACTCACAGAGTTTAACCTTTCTTTTCACAGAGCAGTTAGGAAACACTCTGTTTGTAAAGTCTGCAAGTGGATATTCAGACCTCCTTGAGGCCTTCGTTGGAAACGGGATTTCTTCATATTATGCTAGACAGAAGAATTCTCAGAAACTTCCTTGTGTTGTGTGTTTTCAACTCACAGAGTTGAACGATGGTTTACACAGAGTAGACTTGAAACACTCTTTTTGTGTAATTTGCAAGTGGAGATTTCAGCCGCTTTGAGGTCAATGGTAGAAAAGGAAATATCTTCGTATAAAAAGTAGACAGAATGATTCTCAGAAACTCCTTTGTGATGTGTGCGTTCAACTCACAGAGTTTAACTTTTCTTTTCATAGAGCAGTTAGGAAACACTCTGTTTGTAAAATCTGCAAGTGGATATTCAGACCTCTTTGAGGCCTTCGTTGGAAACGGGATTTCTTCATATTATGCTAGACAGAAGAATTCCCAGTAACTTCCTTGTGTTGTGTGTGTTCAACTCACAGAGTTGAACTTTCATTTACACAGAGCAGATTTGAAACACTCTTTTTGTGGAATTTGCAAGTGGAGATTTCAAGCGCTTTGAGGCCAAAGGTAGAAAAGGAAATATCTTCGTATAAAAACTAGACAGAATCATTCTCAGAAACTGCTGCGTGATGTGTGCGTTCAACTCTCAGAGTTTAACTTTTCTTTTCATTCAGCGGTTTGGAAACACTCTGTTTGTAAAGTCTGCACGTGGATATTTTGACCACTTAGAGGCCTTCGTTGGAAACGGGTTTCTTGCATGTAAGGCTAGACAGAAGAATTCCCAGTAACTTCCTTGTGTTGTGTGTATTCAACTCACAGAGTTGAACGTTCCCTTAGACGGAGCAGATTTGAAACACTCTATTTGTGCAATTTGCAAGTGTAGATTTCAAGCGCTTTAAGGTCAATGGCAGAAAAGGAAATATCTTCGTTTCAAAACTAGACAGAATCATTCCCACAAACTGCGTTGTGATGTGTTCGTTCAACTCACAGAGTTTAACCTTTCTGTTCATAGAGCAGTTAGGAAACACTCTGTTTGTAAAGTCTGTAAGTGGATATTCTGACATCTTGTGGCCTTCGTTTTAAACGGGATTTCTTCATATTGTGCTAGACAGAAGAATTCTCAGTAACTTCCTTGTGTTGTGTGTATTCAACTCACAGAGTTGAACTATCCTTTACAGAGAGCAGACTTCAAACACTCTTTTTGTGGAATTTGCAATTGGATATTTCAGCCGCTTTGAGGTCAATGGTAGAAAAGGAAATATCTTCGTATAAAGACTAGACAGAATGATTCTCAGAAAATCTTTTGTGATGTGTGCGTTCAACTCACAGAGTTTAACTTTTCTTCTCATAGAGCAGTTAGGAAACACTCTGTTTGTAAAGTCTGCAAGTGGATATTCAGACCTCTTTGAGGCCTTCGTTGGAAACGGGATTTTTTCATATTATGCTAGACAGAATAATTCTCAGTAACTTCCTTGTGTTCTGTGTATTCAACTCACAGAGTTGAACGATCCTTTACAGAGAGCAGACTTGAAACACTCTATTTGTGGAATTTGCAAGTGGAGATTTCAGCCGCATTGAGGTCAATGGTACAAAAGGAAATATCTTCGTATAAAGACTAGACAGAATGATTCTCAGAAACTCCTTTGTGATGTGTGCGTTCAACTCACAGAGTTTAACCTTTCTTTTCATAGAGCAGTTAGGAAACACTCTGTTTCTAAAGTCTGCAAGTGGATATTCAGACATCCTTGAGGCTTTCGTTGGAAACGGGATTTCTTCATATTCTGCTAGAAAGAAGAATTCTCAGTAACTTCCTTGTGTTGTGTGTATTCAACTCACAGTGTTGAACGATCCTTTACACAGAGCAGACTTGAAACACTCTTTTTGTGGAATTTGCAAGTGGAGATTTCAGCCGCTTTGAGTTCAATGGTAGAATAGGAAATATCTTCTTATAGAAACTAGACAGAATGATTCTCAGAAACTCCTTTGTGATGTGTGCGTTCAACTCACAGAGTTCAACCTTTCTTTTCATAGAGCAGTTGGGAAACACTCTGTTTGTAAAGTCTGCAAGTGGATATTCAGATTTCTTTGAGGCCTTCGTTGGAAGCGGGATTTCTTCATGTTCTGCTAGACAGAACAATTCTCAGTAACTTCCTTGTGTTGTGTGTATTCAACTCACAGAGTTGAACGATCCTTTACACAGAGCAGACTTGAAACACTCTTTTTGTGGAATTTGTAAGTGGAGATTTCAGCCGCTTTGAGGTCAATAGTAGAAAAGGAAATATATTCGTAGAAAAACTAGACAGAATGATTCTCATAAACTCCTTTGTGATGTGTGCGTTCAACTCACAGAGTTTAACCTTTCTTTTCATAGAGCAGTTAGGAAACACTCTGTTTGTAAAGTCTGCAAGTGGATATTCAGACCTCGTTGAGGCCTTCGTTGGAAACGGGATTTCTTCATATTCTGCTAGACAGAAGAATTCTCAGTAACTTCCTTGTGTTGTGTGTATTCAACTCACAGAGTTGAACGATCCTTTACACAGAGCAGACTTTAAATACTCTTTTTGTGGAATTTGCAAGTGGAGATTTCAGCCGCTTTGAGTTCAATGGTAGAATAGGAAATATCTTCCTATAGAAACTAGACAGAATGATTCTCAGAAACTCCTTTGTGATGTGTGCGTTCAACTCACAGAGTTTAACCTTTCTTTTCATAGAGCAGTTAGGAAACACTCTGTTTGTATAGTCTGCAAGTGGATATTCAGACCTCTTTGAGGCCTTCGTTGGAAACGGGTTTTTTTCATATAAGGCTAGACAGAAGAATTCTCAGTAACTTCCTTGTGTTGTGTGCTTTCAACTCACAGAGTTCAACGATCCTTTACACAGAGCAGATTAGAAACACTCTTTTTGTGGAATTTGCAAGTGGAGATTTCAGCCACTTTGAGGTCAATGGTAGAAAAGGAAATATCTTCGTATAAAAACTAGACAGATTGATTCTCAGAAAATCTTTTGTGATGTGTGCGTTCAACTCACAGAGTTTAACTTTTCTTCTCATAGAGCAGTTAGGAAACACTCTGTTTGTAAAGTCTGCAAGTGGATATTCAGACCTCTTTGAGGCCTTCGTTGGAAACGGGATTTCTTCATATTATGCTAGACAGAAGAATTCTCAGTAACTTTCCTTGTGTTGTGTGTATTCAACTCACAGAGTAGAACGATCCTTTACACAGAGCAGACTTGAAACACTCTTTTTGTGGAATTTGCAAGTGGAGATTTCAAGCGCTTTGAGGCCAAAGGCAGAAAAGGAAATATCTTCGTATAAAAACTAGACAGAATGATTCTCAGAAACTCCTTTGTGATGTGTGCGTTCAACTCACAGAGTTGAAGTTTTCTTTTCTTAGAGCAGTTAGGAAACACTCTGTTTGTAAAGTCTGCAAGTGGATATTCAGAACTCTTTGAGGCCTTCGTTGGAAACGGGGTTTCTTCATATTCTGCTAGACAGAAGAATTCTCAGTAACTTCCTTGTGTTGTGTGTATTCAACTCACAGAGTTGAACGATCCTTTACACAGAGCAGACTTGAAACATTCTTTTTGTGGAATTTGCAACTGGAGATTTCAGCCGCTTTGAGGTCAACGGTAGAATAGGAAATATCTTCCTATAGAAACTAGACACAATGATTCTGAGAAACTCCTTTGTGATGTGTGCGTTCAACTCACAGAGTTTAACCTTTCTTTTCATAGAGCAGTTAGGAAACACTCTGTTTGTAAAGTCTGCAAGTGGATATTCAGACCTCCTTGAGGCCTTCGTTGGAAACGGGATTTCTTCATATTATGCTAGACACAATAATTCTCAAGTAACTTCCTTGTGTTGTGTGTATTCAACTCACAGAGTTGAACGATCCTTTACAGAGAGCAGACTTGAAACACTCTTTTTGTTGAATTTGCAAGTGGAGATTTCAGCCGCTTTGAGGTCAATGGTAGAAAAGGAAACTATCTTCGTATAAAGACTAGACAGAATGATTGTCAGAAACTCCTTTGTGATGTGTGCGTTCAATTCACAGAGTTTAACCTTTCTTTTCATAGAGCAGTTAGGAAACACTCTGTTTGTAACGTCTGCAAGTGGATATTCAGACATCTTTGAGGCTTTCGTTGGAAACGGGATTTCTTCATATTCTGCTATACAGAAGAATTCCCAGTAACTTCCTTTTGTTGTGTGTGTTCAAGTCACAGAGATGAACTCTCATTTACACAGAGCAGATTTGAAACTCTCTTTTTGTGGAATTTGCAAATGGAGATTTCAAGCGCTTTGAGGCCAAAGGCAGAAAAGGAAATATCTTCCTATAAAAACTAGACAGAATCATTCTCAGAAACAGCTCTGTGATGTGTGCGTTCAACTCTCAGAGTTTAACTTTTCTTTTCATTCAGCAGTTTGGAAACACTCTGTTTGTAAAGTCTGCACGTGGATATTTTGACCACTTAGAGGCCTTCGTTGGAAACGGGTTTTTTTTCACGTAAGGCTAGACGGTAGCATTCCCAGTAACTTCCTTGTGTTGTGTGCATTCAACTCACAGAGATGAACGTTCCCTTAGACAGAGCAGATTTGAAACGCTCTATTTGTGCAATTTGCAAGTGTAGATTTCAAGCGCTTTAAGGTCAATGGCAAAAAAGGAAATATCTTCGTTTCAAAACTAGACAGAATCATTCCCACAAACTGCGTTGTGATGTGTTCGTTCAACTCACAGAGTTTAACCTTTCTGTTCATAGAGCAGTGAGGAAACACTCTGTTTGTAAACTCTGTAAGTGGATATTCTGACATCTTGTGGCCTTCGTTGGAAAAGGGATTTCTTCATATTCTGCTAGACTGAAGAATTCTCAGTAACTTCCTTGTGTTGTGTGTATTCAACTCACAGAATTGAACGATCCTTTACACAGAGCAGACTTGAAACACTCTTTTTGTGGAATTTGCAAGTGGAGATTTCAGCCGCTTTGAGGTCAATGGTAGAAAAGGAAATATCTTCGTATGGAAACAAGACAGAATGATTCTCAGAAACTCCTTTGTGATGTGTGCGTTCAACTCACAGAGTTTAACCTTTCTTTTCATAGAGCAGTTGGGAAACACTCTGTTTGTAAAGTCTGCAAGTGGATATTCCGACATCCTTGAGGCTTTCGTTGGAAATGGGATTTCTTCATATTCTGCTAGAAAGAAGAATTCTCAGTAACTTCCTTGTGTTGTGTGTATTCAAAGGACAGAGTTGAACTTTCATTTAGAGAGAGCAGATTTGAAACACTGTTTTTGTGGAATTTGCAATTGGAGATTTCAAGCGCTTTGGGGCCAAAGGCAGAAAAGGAAATATCTTCGTATAAAAACTAGACAGAATCATTCTAAGAAACTGCTGCGTGATGTGTGCGTTCAACTCTCAGAGTTTAACTTTTCTTTTCATTCAGCGGTTTGGAAACACTCTGTTTGTAAAGTCTGCACGTGGATATTTTGACCACTTAGAGGCCTTCGTTGGAAACGGGTTTTTTTCATGTAAGGCTAGACAGAAGAATTCCCAGTAACTTCCTTGTGTTGTGTACATTCAACACACAGAGTTGAACGTTCCCTTAGACAGAGCAGATTTGAAACACTCTTTTTGTGCAATTGGCAAGTGGAGATTTCAAGCGCTTTAAGGTCAATGGCAGAAAAGGAAATATCTTCGTTTCAAAACTAGACAGAATGATTCTCAGAAACTCCTTTGTGATGTGTGCGTTCAACTCACAGAGTTTAACCTTTCTTTTCATAGAGCAGTTAGGAAACACTCTGTTTGTAAAGTCTGCAAGTGGATATTCTGACCTCTTTGAGGCCTTCGTTGGAAACGGGATTTCTTCATATTCTGCTAGACAGAAGAATTCTCAGTAACTTCCTTGTGTTGTGTACTTTCAACTCACAGAGTTGAACGTTCCTTTACACAGAGCAGATTAGAAACACTCTTTTTGTGGAATTTGCAAGTGGAGATTTCAGCCGCTTTGAGGTCAATGGTAGAAAAGGAAATATCTTCATAAAAAAACTAGACAGAATGATTCTCAGAAACTCCTTTGTGATGTGTGCGTTCAACTCACAGAGTTTAACCTTTCTTTTCATAGAGCAGTTAGGAAACACTCCGTTTGTAAAGTCTGCAAGTGGATATTCAGACCTCCTTGAGGCCTTCGTTGGAAACGGGATTTCTTCATATTATGCTAGACAGAAGAATTCTCAGTAACTTCCTTGTGTTGTGTGTATTCAACTCACAGAGTTGAACGATCCTTTGCACAGAGCAGACTTGAAACACTCTTTTTGTGGAATTTGAAAGTGGAGATTTCAGCCGCTTTGAGGTCAATGGTAGAATAGGAAATATCTTCCTATAGAAACTAGACAGAATGATTCTCAGAAACTCCTTTGTGATGTGTTCGTTCAACTCACAGAGTTCAACTTTTCTTTTCATAGAGCAGTTGGGAAACACTCTGTTTGTACAGTCTACAAGTGGATATTCAGACCTCTTTGAGGCCTTCGTTGGAAACGGGATTTCTTCATATTCTGCAAGACAGAAGAATTCTCAGTAACTTCCTTGTGTTGTGTGTATTCAACTCACAGAGTTGAACGATCCTTTACACAGAGTAGACTTGAAACACTCCTTTTGTGGAATTTGCAAGTGGAGATTTCAGCCGCTTTGAAGACAATGGTAGAATAGGAAATATCTTCCTATAGAAACTAGACAGAATGATTCTCAGAAACTCCTTTGTGATGTGTGCGTTCAACTCACAGAGTTTAACTTTTGTTTTCATAGAGCAGTTAGGAAACACTCTGTTTGTAAAGTCTTCAAGTGGATATACAGACCTCTTTGAGGCCTTCGTTGGAAACGGGATTTCTTCATATTCTGCTAGACAGAATAATTCTCAGTAACTTCCTTGTGTTGTGTGTATTCAACCCACAGAGTTGAACGATCCTTTACAGAGAGCAGACTTGAAACACTCTTTTTGTGGAATTTGCAAGTGGAGATTTCAGCCGCTTTGGGTCAATGGTAGAATAGGAAATATCTTCCTATAGAAACTAGACAGAATGATTCTCAGAAACTCCTTTGTGATGTGTGTGTTCAACTCACAGAGTTTAACCTTTCTTTTCATAGAGCAGTTAGTAAACACTCTGTTTATAAAGTCTGCAAGTGGATATTCAGACCCCTTTCAGGCCTTCGTTGGAAACGGGATTTCTTCATATTCTGCTAGACAGAAGAATTCCCAGTAACTTCCCTTGTGTTGTGTGCATTCAACTCACAGAGTTGAACGTTCCCTTAGACAGAGCAGATTTGAAACACTCTATTTGTGCAATTTGCAAATGTAGATTTCAAGCGCTTTAAGGTCAATGGCAGAAAAGGAAATATCTTCGTTTCAAAACTAGACAGAATCATTCCCACAAACTGCGTTGTGATGTGTTCGTTCAACTCACAGAGTTTAACCTTTCTGTTCATAGAGCAGCTAGGAAACACTCTGTTTGTAAAGTCTGTAAGTGGATATTCTGACATCTTGTGGCCTTCGTTGGAAACGGGATTTCTTCATATTCTGCTAGACAGAAGAATTCTCAGAATCTTCCTTGTGTTGTGTCTATTCAACTCACAGAGTTGAACGATCCTTTACACAGAGCAGACTTGAAACACTCTTTTTGTGGAATTTGCAAGTGGAGATTTCAGCCGCTTTGAGGTCCATGGTAGAAAAGGAAATATCTTCGTATAAAAACTAGACAGATTGATTCTCAGAAACTCCTTTGTGATGTGTGCGTTCAACTCACAGAGTTTAACCTTTCTTTTCATAGAGCAGTTAGGAAACACTCTGTTTGTAAAGTCTGCAAGTGGATATTCAGACCTCTTTGAGGCCTTCGTTGGAAACGGGATTTCTTCATATTCTGCTAGACAGAAGAATTCTCAGTAACTTCCTTGTGTTGTGTGTATTCAACTCACAGAGTTGAACGATCCTTTACACAGAGCAGACTTGTAACACTCTTTTTGTGGAATTTGCAAGTGGAGATTTCAGCCGCTTTGAAGTCAAAAGTAGAAAAGGAAATATCTTCCTATAAAAACTAGACAGAGTGATTCTCAGAAACTCCTTCGTGATGTCTGCGTTCAACTCACAGAGTTTAACCTTTCTTTTCATAGAGCAGTTAGGAAACACTCTGTTTGTAAAGTCTGCAAGTGGATATTCAGACCTCCTTGAGGCCTTCGTTGGAAACGGGATTTCTACATATTATGCTAGACAGAAGAATTCTCAGTAACTTCCTTGTGTTGTGTGTATTCAACTGACAGAGTTGAACTTTCATTTAGAGAGAGGAGATTTGAAACACTGTTTTTGTGGAATTTGCAAGTGGAGATTTCAAGCGCTTTGGGGCCAAAGGCAGAAAAGGAAATATCTTCGTATAAAAACTAGACAGAATCATTCTCAGTAACTGCTCTGTGATGTGTGCGTTCAACTCTCAGAGTTTAACTTTTCTTTTCATTCACCAGTTTGGAAACACTCAGTTTGTAAAGTCTGCACGTGGATATTTTGACCACTTAGGGGTCTTCGTTGGAAACGGGTTTTTTTCATGTAAGGCTAGACAGAAGAATTCCCAGTAACTTCCTTGTGTTGTGTGCATTCAACTCACAGAGTTGAACGTTCCCTTAGGCAGAGCAGATTTGAAACACTCTATTTGTGCAATTTGCAAGTGTAGATTTCAAGCGCTTTAAGGTCAACGGCAGAAAAGGAAATATCTTCGTCTCAAAACTAGACAGAATCATTCCCACAAACTGCGTTGTGATGTGTTCGTTCAACTCACAGAGTTTAACCTTTCTGTTCATAGAGCAGTTAGGAAACACTCTGTTTGTAAAGTCTGTAAGTGGATATTCTGACATCTTGTGGCCTTCGTTGGAAACGGGATTTCTTCATAGTCTGCTAGACAGAAGAATTCTCAGTAACTTCCTTGTGTTGTGTGTATTCAACTCACAGAGTTGAACGATCCTTTACACAGAGCAGACTTGAAACACTCTTTTTGTGGAATTTGCAAGTGGAGTTTTCAGCCGCTTTGAGGTCAATGGTAGAATAGGAAATATCTTCCTATAGAAACTAGACAGAATGATTCTCAGAAACTCCTTTGTGATGTGTGCGTTCAACTCACAGAGTTTAACTTTTCTTTTCATAGAGCCGTTAGGAAACACTCTGTTTGTAAAGTCTGCAAGTGGATATTCAGACCTCTTTGAGGCCTTCTTTGGAAAAGGGATTTCTTCATATTATGCTAGACAGAAGAATTCTCAGCAACTTCCTTGTGTTGTGTGTATTCAACTCACAGAGTTGAACGATCCTTTACACAGAGCAGACTTGTAACACTCTTTTTGTGGAATTTGCAAGTGGAGATTTCAGCCGCTTTGACGTCAAAGGTAGAAAAGGAAATATCTTCCTATAAAAACTAGACAGAATGATTCTCAGAAACTCCTTTGTGATGTGTGCGTTCAACTCACAGAGTTTAACCTTTCTTTTCATAGAGCAGTTAGGGAACACTCTGTTTGTAAAGTCTGCAAGTGGATATTCAGACCTCTTTGAGGCCTACGTAGGAAACGGGATTTCTTCATATTATGCTAGACAGAAGAATTCTCAGAAACTTCCTTGTGTTGTGTGTATTCAACTCACAGAGTTGAACGATCCTTTACACAGAGCAGACTTGAAACACTCTTTTTCTGGAATTTGCAAGTGGAGATTTCAGCCGCTTTGAGGTCAATGGTAGAATAGGAAATATCTTCCTATAGATACTAGACAGAATGTTTCTCATAAACTCCTTTGTGATGTGTGCATTCAACTCAAAGACTTTAACCTTTCTTTTCATAGAGCAGTTAGGAAACACTCTGTTTGTAAAGTCTGCAAGTGGATATTCAGACCTCCTTGAGGCCTTCGTTGGAAACGGGATTTCTTCATATTCTGCTAGACAGAAGAATTCTCAGTAACTTCCTTGTGTTGTGTGTATTCAACTCACAGAGTTGAACGATCCTTTACACAGAGCAGACTTGAAACACTCTTTTTGTGGAATTTGCAAGTGGAGATTTCAGCCGCTTTGAGGTCAATGGTAGAATAGGACATATCTTCCTATAGAAACTAGACAGAATGATTCTCAGAAACTCCTTTGTGATGTGTGCGTTCAACTCACAGAGTTTAACCTTACTGTTCATAGAGCAGTTAGGAAACACTCTGTTTGTAAAGTCTGCAAGTGGATATTCAGACCTCCTTGAGGCCTTCGTTGGAAACGGGATTTCTTCATATTCTGCTAGACAGAAGAACTCTCAGAATCTTCCTTGTGTTGTGTGTATTCAACGCACAGAGTTGAACGATCCTTTACACAGAGCAGACTTGAAACACTCTTTTTGTGGAATTTGCAAGTGGAGATTTCAGCCGCTTTGAGGTCCATGGTAGAAAAGGAAATATCTTCGTATAAAAACTAGACAGAATGATTCTCAGAAACTTCATTGTGATGTGTGCGTTCAACTCACAGAGTTTAACCTTTCTTTTCATAGAGCAGTTAGGAAACACTCTGTTTGTAAAGTCTGCAAGTGGATATTCAGACATCCTTGAGGCTTTCGTTGGAAACGGGATTTCTTCATATTCTGCTAGAAAGAAGAATTCTCAGTAACTTCCTTGTGTTGTGTGTATTCAACTCACAGAGTTGAACGATCCTTTACACAGAGCAGACTTGAAACACTGTTTTTGTGGAATTTGCAAGTGGAGATTTCAGCCGCTTTGAAGTCAATGGTAGAATAGGAAATATCTTCCTATAGAAACTAGACAGAATGATTCTCAGAAACTCCTTTGTGATGTGTGCGTTCAACTCACAGAGTTTAACCTTTCTTTTCATAGAGCAGTTAGGAAACACTCTGTTTGTAAAGTCTGCAAGTGGATATTCAGACCTCCTTGAGGCCTTCGTTGGAAGCGGGATTTCTTCATGTTCAGGTAGACAGAAGAATTCTCAGTAACTTCCTTGTGTTGTGTGTATTCAACTCACAGAGTTGAACGATCCTTTACACAGAGCAGACTTCAAACACTCTTTTTGTGGAATTTGCAAGTGGAGATTTCAGCCGCTTTGAAGTCAATGGTAGAATAGGAAATATCTTCCTATAGAAACTAGACAGAATGATTCTCAGAAACTCCTTTGTGATGTGTGCGTTCAACTCACAGAGTTTAACCTTTCTTTTCTCAGAGCAGTTAGGAAACACTCTGTTTGTAAAGTCTGCAAGTGGATATTCAGACATCTTTGAGGCTTTCGTTGGAAACGGGGTTTCTTCATATTCTGCTAGACAGAAGAATTCTCAGTAACTTCCTTGTGTTGTGTGTATTCAACTCACAGAGTTGAACGATCCTTTACACAGAGCATACTTGAAACACTCTTTTTGTGGAATTTGCAAGTGGAGATTTCAGCCGCTTTGAGGTCAATGGTAGAATAGGAAGTATCTCCCTATAGAAACTAGACAGAATGATTCTCAGAAACTCCTTTGTGATGTGTGCGTTCAACTCACACAGTTTAACCTTTCTTTTCATAGAGCTGTTAGGAAACACTCTGTTTGTAAAGTCTGCAAGTGGATATTCAGACCTCCTTGAGGCCTTCGTTGGAAACGGGATTTCTTCATATTATGCTAGACAGAAGAATTCCCAGTAACTTCCATGTGTTGTGTGTGTTCAACTCACAGAGTTGAAATTTCATTTACACAGAGCAGATTTGAAACACTCTTTTTGTGGAATTTGCAAATGGAGATTTCAAGCGGTTTGAGGCCAAAGGCAGAAAAGGAAATATCTTCGTATAAAAACTAGACAGAATCATTCTCAGAAACTGCTCTGTGATGTGTGCGTTCAACTCTCAGAGTTTAACTTTCCTTTTCATTCAGCAGTTTGGAAACACTCTGTTTGAAAAGTCTGCTGCTGGATAATTTGACCACTGAGAGGCCATCGTTGGAAACGGGTTTTTTCCATGTAACGCTAGACAGAAGAATTCTCAGTAACTTCCTTGTGTTGTGTGTATTCAACTCACAGAGTTGAACGATCCTTTACACAGAGCAGACTTGAAACACTCTTTTTGTAGAATTTGCAAGTGGAGATTTCAGCCGCTTTGAGGTCAATGGTAGAATAGGAAATATCTTCCTTTAGAAACTAGACAGAATGATTCTCAGAAACTCCTTTGTGATGTGTGCGTTCAACTCACAGAGTTTAACTTTTCTTTTCATAGAGCAGTTAGGAAACACTCTGTTTGTAAAGTCTGCAAGTGGATATTCAGACATCTTTGAGGCTTTCGTTGGAAACGGGATTTCTTCATATTCTGCTATACAGAAGAATTCCCAGTAACTTTCCTTGTGTTGTGTGTGTTCAACTTACAGAGTTGAACTTTCATTTACACAGAGCAGATTTGAAACACTCTTTTTGTGGAATTTGCAAGTGGAGATTTCAAGCGCTTTGAGGCCAAAGGCAGAAAAGGAAATATCTTCGTATAAAAACTAGACAGAATCATTCTCAGAAACTGCTCTGTGATGTGTGCGTTCAACTCTCAGAGTTTAACTTTTCTTTTCATTCAGCAATTTGGAAACACTCTGTTTGTAAGGTCTGCACGTGGATAATTTGACCACTTAGAGGCCTTCGTTGGAAACGGGTTTTTTTCATGTAAGGCTAGACAGAAGAATTCCCAGTAACTTCCTTGTGTTGTGTACATTCAACTCACAGAGTTGAACGTTCCCTTAGACAGAGCAGATTTGAAACACTCTTTTTGTGCAATTGGCAAATGGAGATTTCAAGCGCTTTAAGGTCAATGGCAGGAAAGGAAATATCTTCGTTTCAAAACTAGACAGAATCATTCCCACAAACTGCGTTGTGATGTGTTCGTTCAACTCACAGAGTTTAAACTTTCTTTTCATAGAGCAGTTAGGAACCAGTCTGTTTGTAAATTCTGTAAGTGGATATTCTGACATCTTGTGACCTTCGTTGGAAACGGGATTTCTTCATATTCTGCTAGACAGAAGAATTCTCAGTAACTTCATTGTGTTGTGTGTATTCAACTCACAGAGTTCAACGATGCTTTACACAGAGTAGACTTGAAACACTCTTGTTGTGGAATTTGCAAGTGGAGATTTCAGCCGCTTTGAGGTCAATGGTAGAATAGGAAATATCTTCCTATAGAAACTAGACAGAATGATTCTCAGAAACTCCTTTGTGATGTGTGCGTTCAACTCACACAGTTTAACCTTTGTTTTCATAGAGCAGTTAGGAAACACTCTGTTTGTAAAGTCTGCAAGTGGATATTCAGACCTCCTTGAGGCATTCGTTGGAAACGGGATTTCTACATATTATGCTAGACAGAAGAATTCTCAGTAACTTCCTTGTGTTGTGTGTATTCCACTCACAGAGTTGAACGATCCTTTACACAGAGCAGGCTTGTAACACTCTTTTTGTGGAATTTTCAAGTGGAGATTTCAGCCGCTTTGAAGTCAAAGGTAGAAAAGGAAATATCCTCCTATAAAAACTAGACAGAATGATTCTCAGAAACTCCTTTGTGATGTGTGCGTTCAACTCACAGAGTTTAACCTTTCTGTTCATAGAGCAGTTAGGAAACACTCTGTTTGTAAAGTCTGCAAGTGGATATTCAGACCTCTTTGAGGCCTTCGTTGGAAACGGGATTTCTTCATATTATGCTAGACCGAAGAATTCCCAGTAACTTCCTTGTGTTGTGTCTGTTCAACTCACAGAGTTGAACTTTCATTTACACAGAGCAGATTTGAAACACTCTTTTTCTGGAATTTGCAAGTGGAGATTTCAAGCGCTTTGAGGCCAAAGGCAGAAAAGGAAATATCTTCGTATAAAAACTAGACAGAATCATTCTCAGAAACTGCTCTGCGATGTGTGCGTTCAACTCTCAGAGTTTAACTTTTCTTTTCATTCAGCAGTTTGGAAACACTCTGTTTGTAAAGTCTGCACGTGGATATTTTGACCACTTAGAGGCCTTCGTTGGAAACGGGTTTTTTTCCTGTAAGCCTAGACAGAAGAATTCTCAGTAACTTCCTTGTGTTGTGTGTATTCAACTCACACAGTTGAACGATCCTTTACACAGAGCAGACTTGTAACACTCTTTTTGTGGAATTTGCAAGTGGAGATTTCAGCCGCTTTGAAGTCAAATGTAGAAAAGGAAATATCTTCCTATAAAAACTAGACAGAATGATTCTCAGAAACTTCTTTGTGATGTGTGCGTTCAACTCACAGAGTTTAACCTTTCTTTTCATAGAGCAGTTAGGAAACACTCTGTTTGTAAACTCTGCAAGTGGATATACAGACCTCTTTGAGGCCTTCGTTGGAATCGGGATTTCTTCATACTATGCTAGACAGAATATTTCTCAGTAACTTCTTTGTGTCGTGTGTATGCAACTCACAGAGTTCAACCTTCCTTCAGACAGAGCAGATTTGAAACACTCTTTTTGTGGAATTTGCAAGTCGAGATTTCAAGCGCTTTGAGGCCAAAGGCAGAAAAGGAAATACTTTCGTATAAAAACTAGACAGAATCATTCTCAGACACTGCTGCATGATGTGTGCGTTCAACTCTCAGAGTTTAACTTTTCTTTTCATTCAGCGGTTTGGAAACACTCTGTTTGTAAAGTCTGCACGTGGATATTTTGACCACTTAGAGGCCTTCGTTGGAAACGGGTTTTTTTCATGTAAGGCTAGACAGAAAGAATTCCCAGTAACTTCCTTGTGTTGTGTGCATTCAACTCACAGAGTTGAACGTTCCCTTAGACAGAGCAGATTTGAAACACTCTATTTGTGCAATTTGCAAGTGTAGTTTTCAAGCTCTTTAAGGTCAACGGCAGAAAAGGAAATATCTTCGTTTCAAAACTAGACAGAATCATTCCCACAAACTGCGTTGTGATGTGTTCGTTCATCTCACAGAGTTTAACTTTTCTGTTCATAGAGCAGTTAGGAAACACCCTGTTTGTAAAGTCTGCAAGTGGATATTCAGACCTCCTTGAGGCCTTCGCTGGAAACGGGATTTCTTCATATTCTGCTAGACAGAAGAATTCTCAGTAAATTCCTTGTGTTGTGTGTATTCAACTCACAGAGTTGAACGATCCTTTACACAGAGCAGACTTGAAACACTCTTTTTGTGGAATTTGCAAGTGGAGATTTCAGCCGCTTTGAGGTCAATGGTAGAATAGGAAATATCTTCCTATAGAAACTAGACACAATGATTCTCAGAAACTCCTTTGTGATGTGTGTGTTCAACTCACAGAGTTTAACCTTTCTTTTCATAGAGCAGTTAGGAAACACTCTGTTTGTAATGTCTGCAAGTGGATATTCAGACCTCTTTGAGGCCTTCGTTGGAAACGGGTTTTTTCATATAAGGCTAGACAGAAGAATTCTCAGTAACTTCCTTGTGTTGTGTGTATTCAACTGACAGAGTTGAACTTTCATTTAGAGAGAGCAGATTTGAAACACTGTTTTTGTGGAATTTGCAAGTGGAGATTTCAAGTGCTTTGGGGCCAAAGGCAGAAAAGGAAATATCTTCGTATAAAAACTAGACAGAATCATTCTCAGAAACTGCTCTGCGATGTGTGCGTTCAACTCTCAGAGTTTAACTTTTCTTTTCATTCAGCAGTTTGGAAACACTCTGTTTGTAAAGTCTGCACGTGGATATTTTGAACATTTAGAGGCCTTCGTTGGAAACGGGTTTTTTTCCTGTAAGGCTAGACAGAATAATTCTCAGTAACTTCCTTGTGTTGTGTGTATTCAACTCACAGAGTTGAACGATCCTTTACAGAGAGCAGACTTGAAACACTCTTTTTGTGGAATTTGCAAGTGGAGATTTCAGCCGCTATGAGGTCAATGGTAGAAAAGGAAATATCTTCGTATAAAGACTAGACAGAATGATTCTCCTAAACTCCTTCGTGATGTGTGCGTTCAAATCACAGAGTTGAACTTTTCTTTTCATAGAGCAGTTAGGAAACACTCTGTTTATATAGTCTGCAAGTGGATATTCAGACCCCTTTGAGGCCTTCGTTGGAAACGGGATTTCTTAATATTATGCTAGACAGAAGAATTCCCAGTAACTTCCTTGTGATGTGTGTGTTCAACTCTGTGAGTTGAACTTTCATTTACACAGAGCAGATTTGAAACACTCTTTTTGTGGAATTTGCAAATGGAGATTTCAAGCGCTTTGAGGCCAAAGGCAGAAAAGGAAATATCTTCGTATAAAAACTAGACAGAATGATTCTCAGAAACTCCTTTGTGATGTATGCGTTCAACTCACAGAGTTTAACCTTTCTTTTCATAGAGCAGTTAGGAAACACTCTGTTTGTAAAGTCTGCAAGTGGATATTCAGACCTCCTTGAGGCCTTCGTTGAAAACGGGTTTTCTTCATATTATGCTAGACAGAAGAATTCTCAGTAACTTCCTTGTGTTGTGTGTATTCAACTCACAGAGTTCAATGATCCTTTACACAGAGCAGACTTGAAACACTCTTTTTGTGGAATTTGCAATTGGGGATTTCAGCCGCTTTGAGGTCAATGGTAGAAAAGGAAATATCTTCGTATAAAAACTAGACAGAATGATTCTCAGAAACTCCTTTGTGATGTGTGCGTTCAACTCACAGAATTTAACCTTCCTTTTCATAGAGCAGTTGGGAAACACTCTGTTTGTAAAGTCTGCAAGTGGATATTCAGACCTCTTTGAGGCCTTCGTTGGAAACGGGATTTCTTCATATTCTGCTAGACAGAAGAATTCTCAGTAACTTCCTTGTGTTGTGTGTATTCAACTGACAGAGTTGAACTTTCATTTAGACAGAGCAGATTTGAAACACTCTTTTTGTGGAATTTGCAAGTGGAGATTTCAAGCGCTTTGAGGCCAAAGGCCGAAAAGGAAATATCTTCGTATAAAAACTAGACAGAATCATTCTCAGAAACTGCTCTGCGATGTGTGCGTTCAACTCTCAGAGTTTAACTTTTCTTTTCATTCAGCAGTTTGGAAACACTCTGTTTGTAAAGTCTGCACGTGGATATTTTGACCACTTAGAGGCCTTCGTTGGAAACGGGTTTTTTCCTGTAAGGCTAGACAGAAGAATTCTCAGTAACTTCCTTGTGTTGTGTGTATTCAACTCACAGAGTTGAACGATCCTTTACACAGAGCAGACTTGAAACACTCTTTTTGTGGAATTTGCAAGTGGAGATTTCAGCCGCTTTGAGGTCAACGGTAGAATAGGAAATATCTTCCTAAAGAAACTAGACAGAATGATTCTCAGAAACTCCTTTGAGCTGTGTGCGTTCAACTCACAGAGTTTAACCTTTCTTTTCATAGAGCAGTTAGGAAACACTCTGTTTGTAAAGTCTGCAAGTGGATATTCAGACATCTTTGAGGCTTTCGTTGGAAACGGGTTTTCTTCATATTCTGCTAGACAGAAGAATTCTCAGAAACTTCCTGGTGTTGTGTGTTTTCAACTCACAGAGTTCAACGATCCTTTACACAGAGTAGACTTGAAACACTCTTTTTGTGGAATTGGCAAGTGGAGATTTCAGCCGCTTTGAGGTCAAGGGTAGAAAAGGAAATATCTTCGTACAAAAACTAGACAGAATGATTCTCAGCAAACTCCTTTGTGATGTGTGCGTTCAACTCACAGAGTTCAACCTTTCTTTTCATAGAGCAGTTGGGAAACACTCTGTTTGTAAAGTCTGCAAGTGGATATTCAGACTTCTTTGAGGCCTTCGTTGGAAGCGGGATTTCTTCATATTCTGCTAGACAGAAGAATTCCCAGTAACTTCCTTGTGTTGTGTGTGTTCAACTCACAGAGTTGAACTTTCATTTACACAGAGCAGATTGGAAACACTCTTTTTGTGGAATTTGCAAGTGGAGATTTCAAGCGCTTTGAGGCCAAAGGCAGAAAAGGAAATATCTTCAGTATAAAAATTAGACAGAATCATTCTCAGAAACCGCTCTGTGATGTGTGCGTTCAACTCTCAGAGTTTAACTTTTCTTTTCATTCAGCAGTTTGGAAACACTCTGTTTGTAAAGTCTCCTCGTGGATATTTTGACCACTTAGAAGCCTTCGTTGGAAACGTGTTTTTTTTCATGTAAGGCTAGACAGAAGAATTCCCAGTAACTTCCTTTTGTTGTGTGCATTCAACTCACAGAGATGAACGTTCCCTTAGACAGAGCAGATTTGAAACACTCTATTTGTGCAATTTGCAAGTGTAGATTTCAAGCGCTTTAAGGTCAATGGCAGAAAAGGAAATATCTTCGTTTCAAAACTAGACAGAATTATTCCCACAAACTGCGTTGTGATGTGTTCGTTCAACTCACAGAGTTAAACCTTTCTTTTCATAGAGCAGTTAGGAAACAGTCTGTTTGAAAATTCTGTAAGTGGATATTCTGACATCTTGTGGCCTTCGTTGGAAACGGGATTTCTTCATATTCTGCTAGACAGAAGAATTCTCAGAATCTTCCCTGTGTTGTGTGTATTCAACTCACAGAGTTGAACGATGGTTTACACAGAGCAGATTTGAAACACTCATTTGGTGGAATTTGCAAGTGGAGATTTCAGCCGCTTTGAGGTCAATGGTAGAAAAGGAAATATCTTCGTATAACAACTAGACAGAATGATTCTCAGAAAATCTTTTGTGATGTGTGCGTTCAACTCACAAAGTTTAACTTTTCTTCTCATAGAGCAGTTAGGAAACACTCTGTTTGTAAAGTCTGCAAGTGTATATTCAGACCTACTTTGAGGCCTTCGTTGGAAACGGGATTTCTTCATATTATGCTAGACAGAAGAATTCTCAGTAACTTCCTTGTGTTGTGTGTATTCAACTCACAGAGTTGAATGATCCTTTACACAGAGCAGACCTGAAACACTCTTTTTGTGGAATTTGCAAGTGGAGATTTCAGCTGCTTTGAGGTCAATGGTAGAAAAGGAAACTATCTTCGTATAAAGACTAGACAGAATGATTCTCAGAAACTCCTTTGTGATGTGTGTGTTCAACTCACAGAGTTTAACCTTTCTTTTCATAGAGCAGTTAGTAAACACTTTGTTTATAAAGTCTGCAAGTGGATATTCAGACCCCTTTGAGGCCTTCGTTGGAAACGGGATTTCTTCATATTATGCTAGACAGAAGAATTCCCAGTAACTTCCTTGTGTTGTGTGTGTTCAACTCACAGAGTTGAACTTTCATTTACACAGAGCAGATTTGAAACACTCTTTTTGTGGAATTTGCAAATGGAGATTTCAAGCGCTTTGAGGCCAAAGGCAGAAAAGGAATTATCTTCGTATAAAAACTAGACAGAATCATTCTCAGAAACTGCTGCGTGATGTGTGCATTCAACTCTCAGAGTTTAACTTTTCTTTTCATTCAGCGGTTTGGAAACACTCTGTTTGTAAAGTCTGCACGTGGATATTTTGACCACTTAGAGGCCTTCGTTGGAAACGGGTTTTTTTTCATGTAAGGCTAGACAGAAGAATTCCCAGTAACTTCCTCGTGTTGTGTGCATTCAACTCACAGAGTTGAACGTTCCCTTAGACAGAGCAGATTTGAAACACTCTATTTGTGCAATTGGCAAGTGTAGATTTCAAGCGCTTTAAGGTCAATGGCAGAAAAGGGAATATCTTCGTTTCAAAACTAGACAGAATCATTCCCACAAACTGCGTTGTGATGTGTTCGTTCAACTCACAGAGCTTAACCTTTCTTTTCATAGAGCACTTAGGAAACACTCTGTTTGTAAATTCTGTAAGTGGATATTCTGAAATCTTGTGGCCTTCGTTGGAAACGGGATTTCTTCATATTCTGCTAGACAGAAGAATTCTCAGTAACTTCCCTTGTGTTGTGTGTATTCAACTCACAGAGTTGAATGATCCTTTACACAGAGCAGACTTGAAACATTCTTTTTGTGGAATTTGCAAGTGGAGATTTCAGCCGCTTTGAGGTCAATGGTAGAAAAGTAAATATCTTCGTATAAAGACTAGACAGAATGATTCTCAGAAACTCCTTTGTGATGTGTGCGTTCAACTCACAGAGTTTAACCTTTCTGTTCATAGAGCTGTTAGGAAACACTCTGTTCGTAAAGTCTGCAAGTGGATATTCAGACCTCCTTGAGGCCTTCGTTGGAAACGGGATTTCTTCATATTCTGCTAGACAGAAGAATTCTCAGTAACTTCCTTGTGTTGTGTTTATTCAACTCACAGAGTTGAATGATCCTCTACACAGAGCAGACTTGAAACACTCTTTTTGTGGAATTTGCAAGTGGAGATTTCAGCCGCTTTGAAGTCAATGGTAGAAAAGTAAATATCTTCGTATAAAGACTAGACAGAATGATTCTCAGAAACTCCTTTGTGATGTGTGAGTTCAACTCACAGAGTTTATCCTTTCTTTTCATAGAGCAGTTAGGAAGCACTCTGTTTGTAAAGTCTGCAAGTGGATATTCAGACCTCTTTCAGGCCTTCGTTGGAAACGGGATTTCTTCATATTCTGCTAGACAGAAGAATTCTCAGTAACTTCCTTGTGTTGTGTGTATTCAACTCACAGAGTTGAACGATCCTTTACACAGAGCAGACTTGAAACACTCTTTCTGTGGAATTTGCAAGTGGAGATTTCAGCCGCTTTGAGGTCAATAGTAGAAAAGGAAATATGCTTCGTAGAAAAACTAGACAGAATGATTCTCAGAAACTCCTTTGTGATGTGTGCGTTCAACTCACAGAGTTTAACCTTTCTTTTCATAGAGCAGTTGGGAAACACTCTGTTTGTAAAGTCTGCAAGTGGATATTCAGACATCCTTGAGGCATTCGTTGGAAACGGGATTTCTTCATATTCTGCTAGAAAGAAGAATTCTCAGTAACTTCCTTGTGTTGTGTGTATTCAACTCACAGAGTTGAACGATCCTTTACACAGAGCAGACTTGAAACATTCTTTTTGTGGAATTTGCAAGTGGAGATTTCAGCCGCTTTGGGGTCAATGGTAGAATAGGAAATATCTTCCTATAGAAACTAGACAGAATGATTCTGAGAAACTCCTTTGTGATGTGTGCGTTCAACTCACAGAGTTTAACCTTTCTTTTCATAGAGCAGTTGGGAAACACTCCGTTTGTAAACTCTGCAAGTGGATATTCAGACCTCCTTTAGGCCTTCGTTGGAAACGGGATTTCTTCATATTATGCTAGACAGAAGAATTCTCAGTAACTTCCTTGTGTTGTGTGTATTCAACTGACAGAGTTGAACTTTCATTTAGAGAGAGCAGATTTGAAACACTGTTTTTCTGGAATTTGCAAGTGGAGATTTCAAGCGCTTTGGGGCCAAAGGCAGAAAAGGAAATATCTTCGTATAAAAACTAGACAGAATCATTCTCAGAATCTGCTGCGTGATGTGTGCGTTCAACTCTCAGAGTTTAACTTTTCTTTTCATTCAGCGGTTTGGAAACACTCTGTTTGTAAAGTCTGCACGTGGATATTTTGACCACTTAGAGGCCTTCGTTGGAAACGGGATTTTTTCATGTAAGGCTAGACAGAAGAATTCCCAGTAACTTCCTTGTGTTGTGTGCATTCAACTCACAGAGTTGAACGTTCCCTTAGACAGAGCAGATTTGAAACACTCTATTTCTGCAATTTGCAAGTGTAGTTTCCAAGCTCTTTAAGGTCAACGGCAGAAAAGGAAATATCTTCGTTTCAAAACTAGACAGAATCATTCCCACAAACTGCGTTGTGATGTGTTCGTTCAACTCACAGAGTTTAACCTTTCTGTTCATAGAGCAGTTAGGAAACACTCTGTTTGTAAAGTCTGTAAGTGGATATTCTGACATCTTGTGGCCTTCGTTGGAAACGGGATTTCTTCATATTCTGCTAGATAGAACAATTCTCAGTAACTTCCTTGTGTTGTGTGTATTCAACACACAGAGTTGAACGATCCTTTACACAGAGCAGACTTGAAACACTCTTTTTGTGGAATTTGCAAGTGGAGATTTCAGCCGCTTTGAGGTCAATGGTAGAATAGGAAATATCTTCCTATAGAAACTAGACAGAATGATTCTCAGAAACTCCTTTGTGATGTGTGCGTTCATCTCACAGAGTTTAACCTTTCTTTTCATAGAGCAGTTGGGAAACACTCTGTTTGTAAAGTCTGCAAGTGGATATTCAGACATCCTTGAGGCTTTCGTTGGAAACGGGATTTCTTCATATTCTGCTAGAAAGAATAATTCTCAGTAACTTCCTTGTGTTGTGTGTATTCAACTCACAGAGTTGAAGGATCCTTTACAGAGAGCAGGCTTGAAACACTCTTTTTGTCGAATTTGCAAGTGGAGATTTCAGCCGCTTTGAGGTCAATGGTAGAATAGGTAATATCTTCTTATAGAAACTAGACAGAATGATTCTCATGAACTCCTTTGTGATGTGTGCGTTCAACTCACAGAGTTTAACCTTTCTTTTCATAGAGCAGTTAGGAAACACTCTGTTTGTAAAGTCTGCAAGTGGATATTCAGACCTCCTTGAGGCCTTCGTTGGAAACGGGATTACTTCATATTCTGCTAGACAGAAGAATTCTCAGTAACTTCCTTGTGTTGTGTGCATTCAACTCACAGAGTTGAATGATCCTTTACACAGAGCAGATTAGAAACACTCTTTTTGAGGAATTTGCAAGTGGAGATTTCAGCCGCTTTGAGGTCAATGGTAGAAAAGGAAATATCTTCGTATAAAAACTAGACAGAATGATTCTCATAAACTCCTTTGTGATGTGCGCATTCAACTCACAGAGTTTCACCTTTCTTTTCATAGAGCAGTTAGGATACACTCTGTTTGTAAAGTCTGCAAGTGGATATTCAGACCTCCTTGAGGCCTTCGTTGGAAACGGGAATTCTTCATATTCTGCTAGACAGAAGAATTCTCAGTAACTTCCCTGTGTTGTGTGTATTCAACTGACAGAGTCGAACTTTCATTTAGAGAGAGCAGATTTGTAACACTGTTTTTGTGGAATTTGCAAGTGGAGATTTCAAGCGCTTTGGGGCCAAAGGTAGAAAAGGAAATATCTTCGTATAAAAACTAGACAGAATCATTCTCAGAAACTGCTCTGCGATGTGTGCGTTCAACTCTCAGAGTTTAACTTTTCTTTTCATTCAGCAGTTTGGAAACACTCTGTTTGTAAAGTCTGCACGTGGATAACTTGACCACTTAGAGGACTTCGTTGGAAACGGGTTTTTTTCCTGTAAGGCTAGACAGAAGAATTCCCAGTAACTTCCTTGTGTTGTGTGCATTCAACTCACTGAGATGAACGTTCCCTTAGACAGAGCAGATTTGAAACACTCTATTTGTGCAATTTGCAAGTGTAGATTTCAAGCGCTTTAAGGTCAATGGCAGAAAAGGAAATATCTTTGTTTCAAAACTAGACAGAATCATTCCCACAAACTGCGTTGTGATGTGTTCGTTCAACTCACAGAGTTTAACCTTTCTGTTCATAGAGCAGTTAGGAAACACTCTGTTTGTAAAGTCTGTAAGTGGATATTCTGACATCTTGTGGCCTTCGTTGGAAACGGGATTTCTTCATATTCTGCGAGACAGAATAATTCTCAGTAACTTCCTTGTGTTGTGTGTATTCAACTCACAGAGTTGAACGATCCTTTACACAGAGCAGACTTGAAACACTCTTTTTGTGGAATTTGCAAGTGGAGATTTCAGCCGCTTTGAGGTCAATGGTAGAATAGGAAATATCTTCCTATGGAAACTAGACAGAATGATTCTCAGAAACTCCTTTGTGATGTGTGTGTTCAACTCACAGAGTTTAACCTTTCTTTTCATAGAACAGTTAGTAAACACTCTGGTTTTAAAGTCTGCAAGTGGATATTCAGACCCCTTTGAGGCCTTCGTTGGAAACAGGATTTCTTCATATTCTGCTAGACAGAATAATTCTCAGTAACTTCCTTGTGTTGTGTGTATTCAACTAACAGAGTTGAACTTTCATTTGGAGAGAGCAGATTTGAAACACTGTTTTTGTGGAATTTGCAAGTGGAGATTTCAAGCGCTTTGGGGCCAAAGGCAGAAAAGGAAATATCTTCGTATAAAAACTAGACAGAATCATTCTCAGAAAATGCTCTGTGATGTGTGCGTTGAACTCTCAGAGTTTAACTTTTGTTTTCATTCAGCAGTTTGGAAATACTCTGTTTGTAAAGTCTGCACGTGGATATTTTGACCACTTAGAGGCCTTATTTGGAAACGGGTTTTTTTCATGTAAGGGTAGACAGAAGAATTCCCAGTAACTTTCCTTGTGTTGTGTACATTCAACTCACAGAGTTGAACGTTCCCTTAGACAGAGCAGATTTGAAACACTCTTTTTGTGCAATTGGCAAGTGGTGATTTCAGCCGCTTTGAGGTCAATGGTAGAAAAGGAAATATCTTCCTATAAAAACTAGACAGAATCATTCCCACAAACTGCGTTGTGATGTGTTCGTTCAACTCACAGAGTTTAACCTTTCTTTTCATAGAGCAGTTAGGAAACAGTCTGTTTGTAAATTCTGTAAGTGGATATTCTGACATCTTGTGGCCTTCGTTGGAAACGGGATTTCTTCATATTCTGCTAGAGAGAATACTTCTCAGTAACTTCCTTGTGTTGTGTGTATTCAACTCACAGAGTTGAAGGATCCTTTACAGAGAGCAGGCTTGAAACACTCTTTTTGTCGAATTTGCAAGTGGAGATTTCAGCCGCTTTGTGGTCAATGGTAGAATAGGAAATATCTTCTTATAGAAACTAGACAGAATGATTCTCAGAAACTTCTTTGTGATGTGTGCGTTCAACTCACAGAGTTTAACCTTTCTTTTCATAGAGCAGTTAGGAAACACTCTGTTTGTAAACTCTGCAAGTGGATATTCAGACCTGTTTGAGGCCTTCGTTGGAAACGGTATTTCTTCATACTATGCTAGACAGAAGAATTCTCAGTAACTTCCTTGTGTTGTGTGTATTCAACTCACAGAGTTGAACGATCCTTTACACAGAGCAGACTTGTAACACTCTTTTTGTGGAATTTGCAAGTGGAGATTTCAGCCGCTTTGAAGTCAAAGGTAGAAAAGGAAATATCTTCCTATAAAAACTAGATAGAATGATTCTGAGAAACTCCTTTGTGATGTCTGCGTTCAACTCACAGAGTTCAACCTTTCTTTTCATAGAGCAGTTAGGAAACACTCTGTTTGTAAAGTCTGCAAGTGGATATTCAGACTTCTTTGAGGCTTTCGTTGGAAACGGGATTTCTTCATATTCTGCTAGACAGAAGAATTCCCAGTAACTTCCTTGTGTTGTGTGTGTTCAACTCACAGAGTTGAACTTTCATTCACACAGAGCAGATTTGAAACACTCTTTTTGTGGAATTTGCAAGTGGAGATTTCAAGCGCTTTGAGGCCAAAGGCAAAAAAGGAAATATCTTCGTATAAAAACTAGACAGAATCATTCTCAGAAACTGCTCTGCGATGTGTGCGTTCAACTCTCAGAGTTTAACTTTTCTTTTCATTCAGCAGTTTGGAAACACTCTGTTTGTAAAGTCTGCACGTGGATATTTTGACCACTTAGGGGCCTTCGTTGGAAACGGGTTTCTTTCCTGTAAGGCTAGACAGAAGAATTCCCAGTAACTTCCTTGTGTTGTGTACATTCAACTCACAGAGTTGAACGTTCCCTTAGACAGAGCAGATTTGAAACACTCTTTTTGTGCAATTGGCAAGTGGAGATTTCAAGCGCTTTGAGGTCAATGGCAGAAAACGAAATATCTTCGTTTCAAAACTAGACAGAATCATTCCCACAATCTGCGTTGTGATGTGTTCGTTCAACTCACAGAGTTTAACCTTTCTTTTCATAGAGCAGTTAGGAAACAGTCTGTTTGTCAATTCTGTAAGTGGATATTCTGACATCTTGTGGCCTTCGTTGGAAACGGGATTTCTTCATATTCTGCTAGACAGAAGAATTCTCAGAAACTTCCTTGTGTTGTGTGTTTTCAACTCACAGATTTGAACGATGCTTTACACAGAGTAGACTTGAAACACTCTTTTTGTGGAATTTGCAAGTGGAGATTTCAGCCGCTTTGAGGTCAATGGTAGAAAAGGAAATATCTTCGTTTAAAAACTAGACAGAATGATTCTCAGAAACTCATTTGTGATGTGTGCGTTCAACTCACAGAGTTTAACCTTTCTTTTCATAGAGCAGTTAGGAAACACTCTGTTTGTAATGTCTGCAAGTGGATATTCAGACCTCTTTGAGGCCTTCGTTGGAAACGGGATTTCTTCATATTACGCTAGACAGAAAAATTCTCAGTAACTTCCTTGTATTCTGTGTATTCAACTCTCAGAGTTGAATGATCCTTTACACAGAGCAGACTTGAAACACTCTTTTTGTGGAATTTGCAAGTGGAGATTTCAGCCGCTTTGTGGTCAATGGTAGAATAGGAAATATCTTCCTATAGAAACTAGACAGAATGATTCTCAGAAACTCCTTTGTGATGTGTGCGTTCAACTCACAGAGTTTAACCTTTCTGTTCATAGAGCAGTTAGGAAACATTCCGTTTGTAAAGTCTGCAAGTGGATATTCAGACCTCTTTGAGGCCTTCGTTGGAAACGGGATTTCTTCATATTATGCTAGACAGAAGAATTCTCAGCAACTTCCTTGTGTTGTGTGTATTCAACTCACAGAGTTGAACGATCCTTTACACAGAGCAGACTTGAAACACTCTTTTTGTGGAATTTGCAAGTGGAGATTTCAGCCGCTTTCAGGTCAATAGTAGAAAAGGAAATATCTTCGTAGAAAAACTAGACAGAATCATTCTCAGAAACTCCTTCGTGATGTGTGCCGTTCAACTCACAGAGTTTAACCTTTCTTTTCATAGAGCAGTTAGGAAACACTCTGTTTATAAAGTCTGCAAGTGGATATTCAGACCTCTTTGAGGCCTTCGTTGGAAACAGGATTTCTTCATATGATGCTAGACAGAAGAATTCTCAGTGACTTCCTTGTGTTGTGTGTATTCAACTCACAGAGTTGAACGATCCTTTACACAGAGCAGACTTGAAACACTCTTTTTGTGGAATTTGCAAGTGGAGATTTCAGCCGCTATGTGGTCAATGGTAGAATAGGAAATATCTTCCTATAGAAACTAGACAGAATGATTCTCAGAAACTCCTTTGTGATGTGTGCCTTCAACTCACAGAGTTTAACCTTTCTTTTCATAGAGCAGTTAGGAAACACTCTGTAAAGTCTGCAAGTGGATATTCAGACCTCTTTGAGGCCTTCGTTGGAAACGGGATTTCTTCATATTCTGCTAGACAGAAGAATTCTCAGTAACTTCCTTGTGTTGTGTGTATTCAACTCACAGAGTTGAACGATCCTTTACACAGAGCAGACTTGAAACACTCTTTTTGTGGAAATTGCAAGTGGAGATTTCAGCCGCTTTGAGGTCAATGGTAGAAAAGGAAATATCTTCGTATAAAAACTGGAGAGAATGATTCTCAGAAACTCCTTTGTGATGTGTGCGTTCAACTCACAGAGTTTAACCTTTCTTTTCGTAGAGCAGTTAGGAAACACTCTGTTTGTAAAGTCTGCAAGTGGATATTCAGACCTCCTTGAGGCCTTCGTTGGAAACGGGATTTCTTCATATTCTGCTCTACAGAAGAATTCTCAGTAACTTCCTTGTGTTGTGTGTATTCAACTCACAGAGTTGAACGATCCTTTACACAGTGCAGACTTGAAACACTCTTTTTGTGGAATTTGCAAGTGGAGATTTCAGCCGCTGTGAGTTCAATGGTAGAATAGGAAATATCTTCCTATAGAAACTAGACAGAATGATTCTCAGAAACTCCTTTGAGATGTGTGTGTTCAACTCACAGAGTTTAACCTTTCTTTTCATAGAGCAGTTAGGAATCACTCTGTTTGTAAAGTCTGCAAGTGGATATTGAGACCTCTTTGAGGCCTTCGTTGGAAACGGGATTTTTTCATATAAGGCTAGACAGAATAATTCTCAGTAACTTCCTTGTGTTGTGTGTATTCAACTCACAGAGTTGAACGATCCTTTACACAGAGCAGACTTGAAACACTCTTTGTGTGGAATTTGCAAGTGGAGATTTCAGCCGCTTTGAGGTCAATGGTAGAATAGGAAATATCTTCCTATAGAAACTAGACAGAATGATTCTCAGAAACTCCTTTGTGATGTGTGCGTTCAACTCACAGAGTTTAACTTTCCTTTTCATAGAGCAGTTAGGAAACACTCTGTTTGTAATGTCTGCAAGTGGATATTCAGACCCCTTTGAGGCCTTCGTTGGAAACGGGATTTCTTCATATTATGCTAGACAGAATAATTCTCAGTAACTTCCTTGTTTTGTGTGTATTCAACTCACAGAGTTGAACGATCCTTTACAGAGAGCAGACTTGAAACACTCTTTTTGTGGAATTTGCAAGTGGAGATTTCAGGCGCTTTGAGGTCAATGGTAGAATAGGAAATATCTTCCTATAGAAACTAGACAGAATGATTCTGAGAAACTCCTTTGTGATGTGTGCGTTCAACTCACACAGTTTAACCTTTCTTATCATAGAGCAGTTAGGAAACACTCTGTTTGTAAAGTCTGCAAGTGGATATTCAGACCTCCTTGAGGCCTTCGTTGGAAACGGGATTTCTTCATATTATGCTAGACATAAGAATTCTCAGTAACTGCCTTGTGTTGTGTGTATTCAACTCACAGAGTTGAACGATCCTTTACACAGGGCAGACTTGAAACACTCTTTTTGTGGAACTTGCAAGTGGAGATTTCAGCCGCTTTGAGGTCAATGGTAGAATAGGAAATATCTTCCTATAGAAACTAGACAGAATGATTCTCAGAAACTCCTTTGTGATGTGTGCGTTCAACTCGCAGAGTTCAACCTTTCTTTTCATAGAGCAGTTGGGAAACACTCTGTTTGTAAAGTCTGCAAGTGGATATTCAGACATCCTTGAGGCTTTCGTTGGAAACGGGTTTTCTTCATATTCTGCTAGAAAGAAGAATTCTCAGTAACTTCCTTGTGTTGTGTGTATTCAACTCACAGAGTTCAACGATCCTTTACACAGAGCAGACTTGAAACACTCTTTTTGGGGAATTTGCAAGTGGAGATTTCAGCCGCTTTGAGGTCAATGGTTGAAAAGGAGATATCTTCGTATAAAAACTAGACAGAATGATTCTCAGAAACTCCTTTGTGATGTGTGCGTTCAACTCACAGAGTATAACCTTTCTTTTCTTAGAGCAGTTAGGAAACACTCTGTTTGTAAAGTCTGCAAGTGGATATTCAGACCTCCTTGAGGCCTTCGTTGGAAACGGGTTTTTTTCATATAAGGCTAGACAGAAGAATTCTCAGTAACTTCCTTGTGTTGTGTGTATTCAACTCACAGAGTTGAACGATCCTTTACACAGAGCAGACTTGAAACTCTCTTTTTGTGGAATTTGCAAGTGGAGATTTCAGCCGCTTTGAGTTCAATGTTAGAATAGGAAATATCTTCCTATAGAAACTAGACAGAATGATTCTCAAAAACTCCTTTGTGATGTGTGCGTTCAACTCACAGAGTTCAACCTTTCTTTTCCTAGAGCAGTTGGGAAACACTCTGTTTGTAAAGTCTGCAAGTGGATATTCAGACTTCTTTGAGGCCTTCGTTGGAAGCGGGATTTCTTCATATTCTGCTAGACAGAAGAATTCTCAGTAACTTCCTTGTGTTGTGTGTATTCAACTGACAGAGTTGAACTTTCATTTGGAGAGAGCAGATTTGAAACACTGTTTTTGTGGAATTTGCAAGTGGAGATTTCAAGCGCTTTGGGGCCAAAGGCAGAAAAGGATATATCTTCGTAGAAAAACTAGACAGAATCATTCTCAGAAACTGCTCTGCAATGTGTGCGTTCAACTCTCAGAGTTTAACTTTGCTTTTCATTCAGCAGTTTGGAAACACTCTGTTTGTAAAGTCTGCACGTGGATATTTTGACCACTTAGAGGCCTTCGTTGGAAACGGGTTTCTTTCCTGTAAGGCTAGACAGAAGAATTCCCAGTAACTTCCTTGTGTTGTGTGCATTCAACTCACAGAGTTGAACGTTGCCTTAGACAGAGCAGATTTGAAACACTCTATTTGTGCAATTTGCAAGTGTAGATTTCAAGCGCTTTAAGGTCAATGGCAGAAAAGGAAATATCTTCGTTTCAAAACTAGACAGAATGATTCTCAGAAACTTCATTGTGATGTGTGCGTTCAACTCACAGAGTTAAACCTTTCTTTTCATAGAGCAGTTGGGAAACAGTCTGTTTGTAAATTCTGTAAGTGGATATTCTGACATCTTGTGGCCTTCGTTGGAAACAGGATTTCTTCATATTCTGCTAGACAGAAGAATTCTCAGAAACTTCCTTGTGTTGTGTGTATTCAACTCACAGAGTTGAACGATCGTTTACACAGAGCAGACTTGAGACACTCTTTTTGTGGAATTTGTAAGTGGAGATTTCAGCCGCTTTGAGGTCATTGGTAGAAAAGGAAATATCTTCATATAAAAACTAGACAGAATGATTCTCATAAACTCCTTTGTGATGTGTGCGTTCAACTCACAGCAGTTTAACTTTTCTTTTCATAGAGCAGTTAGGAAAAACTCTGTTTGTAAAGTCTGCAAGTGGATATTCAGACCTCTTTGAGGCCTTCGTTGGAAACGGGATTTCTTCATATTATGCTAGACAGAAGAATTCTCAGTAACTTCCTTGTGTTGTGTGTATTCAACTCACAGAGTTGAACGATCCTTTACACAGAGCAGACTTGAAACACTCTTTTTGTGGAATTTGCAAGTGGAGATTTCAGCCGCTTTGAGTTCAATTGTAGAATAGGAAATATCTTCCTATAGAAACTAGACAGAATGATTCTCAGAAACTCCTTTGTGATGTGTGCGTTCAACTCACAGAGTTTAACCTTTCTTTTCATAGAGCAGTTAGGAAACACTCTGTTTGTAAAGTCTGCAAGTGGATATTCAGTCTTCTTTGAGGCTTTCGTTGGAAACGGGATTTCTTCATATTCTGCTATACAGAAGAATTCTCAGTAACTTCCTTGTGTTGTGTGCATTCAACTCAGAGAGTTGAACGATCTTTTACACAGAGCAGATTGGACACACTCTTGTTGTGGAATTGCAAGTGGAGATTTCAGCCCCTTTGAGGTCAATGGTAGAAAAGGAAATATCTTTGTATAAAAACAAGACAGAATGATTCTCAGAAACTCCTTTGTGATGTGTGCGTTCAAGTCACAGAGTTTAACCTTTCTTTTCATAGAGCAGTTAGGAAACACTCTGTTTCTAAAGTCTGCAAGTGGATATTCAGACCTCTTTGAGGCCTTCGTTGGAAACGGGATTTCTTCATATTCTGCTAGACAGAAGAATTCTCAGTAACTTCCTTGTGTTGTGTGTATTCAACTCACAGAGTTGAACGATCCTTTATACAGAGCAGACTTGTAACACTCTTTTTGTGGAATTTGCAAGTGGAGATTTCAGCCGCTTTGAAGTCAAAGGTAGAAAAGGAAATATCTTCCTATAAAAACTAGACAGAATGATTCTCAGAAAATCTTTTGTGATGTGTGCGTTTAACTCACAGAGTTTAACTTTTCTTCTCATAGAGCAGTTAGGAAACACTCTGTTTGTAAAGTCTGCAAGTGGATATTCAGACCTCTTTGAGGCCTTCGTTGGAAACGGGATTTCTTCATATTATGCTAGACAGAAGAATTCTCAGTAACTTCCTTGTGTTGTGTGTATTCAACTGACAGAGTTGAACTTTCATTTAGACAGAGCAGATTTGAAACACTCTTCTTGTGGAATTTGCAAATGGAGATTTCAAGCGCTTTGAGGCCAAAAGCAGAAAAGGAAATATCTTCGTATAAAAACTAGACAGAATCATTCTCAGAAACTGCTCTGCGATGTGTGCGTTCAACTCTCAGAGTTTAACTTTTCTTTTCATTCAGCAGTTTGGAAACACTCTGTTTGTAAAGTCTGCACGTGTTTATTTTGACCACTTAGAGGCCTTCGTTGGAAACGGGTTTTTTTCCTGTAAGGCTAGACAGAAGAATTCCCAGTAACTTCCTTGTGTTGTGTGCATTCAACTCACAGAGGTGAACGTTCCCTTAGACAGAGCAGATTTGAAACACTCTATTTGTGCAATTTGCAAGTGTAGATTTCAAGCGCTTTAAGGTCAATGGCAGAAAAGGAAATATCTTCGTTTCAAAACTAGACAGAATCATTCCCACAAACTGCGTTGGGATGTGCTCGTTCAACTCACAGAGTTTAAACTTTCTGTTCATAGAGCAGTTAGGAAACACTCTGTTTGTAAAGTCTGTAAGTGGATATTCTGACATCTTGTGGCCTTTGTTGGAAACGGGATTTCTTCATATTCTGCTAGACAGAAGAATTCTCAGTAACTTCCTTGTGTTGTGTGTTTTCAACTCACAGAGTTGCACGATCCTTTACACAGAGCAGACTTGAAACACTCCTTTTGTGGAATTTGCAAGTGGAGATTTCAGCCGCTTTGAGGTCAATGGTAGAATAGGAAATATCTTCCTATAGAAAGTAGACAGAATGATTCTCAGAAACTCCTTTGTGATGTGTGCGTTCAACTCACAGAGTTTAACTTTTCTTTTCATAGAGCAGTTAGGAAACACTCTGTTTGTAAAGTCTGCAAGTGGATATTCAGACCTCTTTGAGGCCTTCGTTGGAAACGGGATTTCTTCATATTATGCTAGACCGAAGAATTGCCAGTAACTTCCTTGTGTTGTGTGTGTTCAACTCACAGAGTTGAACTTTCATTTACACAGAGCAGATTTGAAACACTCTTTTTGTGGAATTTGCAAATGGAGATTTCAAGCACTTTGAGGCCAAAGGCAGAAAAGGAAATGTCTTCGTTTCAAAACTAGACAGAATCATTCCCAGAAACTGCTCTGCGATGTGTGCGTTCAACTCTCAGAGTTTAACTTTTCTTTTCATTCAGCAGTTTGGAAACACTCTGTTTGTAAAGTCTGCACGTGGATAATTTGACCACTTAGAGGCCTTCGTTGGAAACGGGTTTTTTTCATGTAAGGCTAGACAGAAGAATTCTCAGTAACTTCCTTCTGTTGTGTGTATTCAACTCACAGAGTTGAACGATCCTTTACACAGAGCAGACTTGTAACACTCTTTTTGTGGAATTTGCAAGTGGAGATTTCAGCCGCTTTGAAGTCAAAGGTAGAAAAGGAAATATCTTCCTATAAAAACTAGACAGAATGATTCTCAGAAACTCCTTTGTGATGTGTGCTTTCAACTCACAGAGTTTAACGTTTCTTTTCATAGAGCAGTTAGGAAACACTCTGTTTGTAAAGTCTCCAAGTGGATATTCAGACCTCTTTGAGGCCTTCGTTGGAAACGGGTTTTTTTCATATAAGGCTAGACAGAAGAATTCTCAGTAACTTCCTTGTGTTGCGTGTATTCAACTGACAGAGTTGAACTCTCATTTAGATAGAGCAGATTTTAAACACTGTTTTTGTGGAATTTGCAAGTGTATATTTCAACCGCTTTGGGGCCAAATGCAGAAAAGGAAATATCTTCGTATAAAAACTAGACAGAATGATTCTCAGAAACTCCTTTGTGATGTGTGCGTTCAACTCACAGAGTTTATCCTTTCTTTTCATAGAGCAGTTAGGAAACACTCTGTTTGTAAAGTCTGCAAGTGGATATTCAGACATCTTTGAGGCTTTCGTTGGAAACGGGATTTCTTCATATTCTGCTAGACAGAAGAATTCTCAGAAACTTCGTTGTGTTGTGTGTGGTCAACTCACAGAGTTCAACGATCCTTTACACAGAGTAGACTTGAAACACTCTTTTTGTGGAATTGGCAGGGTGGAGATTTCAGCCGCTTTGAGGTCAATTTTAGAAAAGGAAATATCTTCGTATAAAAACTAGACAGAATGATTCTCAGAAACTCCTTTTTGCTGTGTGCGTTCAGCTCACAGAGTTTAACCTTTCTTTTCATAGAGCAGTTAGGAAACACTCTGTTTGTAAAGTCTGCAAGTGGATATTCAGACCTCCTTGAGGCCTTCGTTGGAAACGGGATTTCTTCATATTCTGCTATAGAGAAGAATTCCCAGTAACTTCCTTGTGTTGTGTGTGTTCAACTCACAGAGTTGAACTTTCATTTACACAGAGCAGATTTGAAACACTCTTTTTGTGGAATTTGCAAGTGGAGATTTCAAGCACTTTGAGGCCAAAGGCAGAAAAGGAAATATCTTCGTTTCAAAACTAGACAGAATCATTCTCAGAAACTGCTCTGCGATGTGTGCTTTCAACTCTCAGAGTTTAACTTTTCTTTTCATTCAGCAGTTTGAAAACACTCTGTTTGTAAAGTCTGCACGTGGATAACTTGACCACTTAGAGGCCTTCGTTGGAAACGGGTTTTTTTCATGTAAGGCTAGACAGAAGAATTCCCAGTAACTTCCTTGTGTTGTGTACATTCAACTCACAGAGTTGAACGTTCCCTTAGACAGAGCAGATTTGAAACACTCTTTTTGTGCAATTGGCAAGTGGAGATTTCAAGCGCTTTAAGGTCAATGGCAGAAACGGAAATATCTTCGTTTCAAAACTAGACAGAATCATTCCCACAAACTGCGTTGTGATGTGTTCGTTCAACTCACAGAGTTTAACCTTTCTTTTCATAGAACAGTTAGGAAACAGTCTGTTTGTAAATTCTGTAAGTGGATATTCTGACATCTTGTGGCCTTCGTTGGAAACGGGATTTCTTCATATTCTGCTAGACAGAAGAATTCTCAGTAACTTCCTTGTGTTGTGTGTATTCAACTCACAGAGTTGAACGATCGTTTACACAGAGCAGACTTGAGACACTCTTTTTGTGGAATTTGTAAGTGGAGATTTCAGCCGCTTTGAGGTCAACGGTAGAAAAGGAAATATCTTCATATAAAAACTAGACAGAATGATTCTCAGAAACTTCTTTGTGATGTGTGCGTTCAACTCACAGAGTTTAACCTTTCTTTTCATAGAGCAGTTAGGAAACACTCTGTTTGTAAACTCTGCAAGTGGATATTCAGACCTGTTTGAGGCCTTCGTTGGAAACGGGATTTCTTCATATTATGCTAGACAGAAGAATTATCAGAAACTTCCTTGTGTTGTGTGTATTCAACTCAAAGAGTTGAACGATCCTTTACACAGTGCAGACTTGAAACACTCTTTTTGTGGAATTTGCAAGTGGAGATTTCAGCCGCTTTGAGGTCAATGGTAGAATAGGAAATATCTTCCTATAGGAACTAGACAGAACGATTCTCAGAAACTCCTTTGTGATGTGTGCGTTCAACTCACAGAGTTTAACCTTTCTTTTCATAGAGCAGTTAGGAAACACTCTGTTTGTAAAGTCTGCAAGTGGATATTCAGACCTGTTTGAGGCCTTCGTTGGAAACGGGATTTCTTCATATTCTGCTAGACAGAAGAATTCCCAGTAACTTCCTTGTGTTGTGTGTGTTCAACTCACAGAGTTGAACTTTCATTTACAAAGAGCAGATTTGAAACACTCTTTTTGTGGAATTTGCAGGTGGAGATTTCAAGCGCTTTGAGGCCAAAGGCAGAAAAGGAAATATCTTCGTATAAAAACTAGACAGAATCATTCTCAGAAACTGCTCTGCGATGTGTGCGTTCAACTCTCAGAGTTTAACTTTTCGTTTCATTCAGCAGTTTGGAAACACTCTGTTTGTAAAGTCTGCACGTGGATATTTTGACCACTTAGAGGCCTTCGTTGGAAACGGGTTTTTTTCATGTAAGGCTAGACAGAAGAATTCTCAGTAACTTCCTTGTGTTGTGTGTATTCAACTCACAGATTTGAACGATCCTTTACACAGAGCAGACTTAAAACACTCTTTTTGTGGAATTTGCAAGTGGAGATTTCAGCCGCTTTGAGGTCAATGTTAGAAAAGGAAACTATCTTCGTATAAAAACTAGACAGAATGATTCTCATAAACTCCTTTGTGATGTGTGCGTTCAACTCACAGAGTTTAACTTTTCTTTTCATAGAGCAGTTAGGAAACACTCTGTTTGTAAAGTCTGCAAGTGGATATTCAGACCTGTTTGAGGCCTTCGTTGGAAACGGGATTTCTTCATATTCTGCTAGACAGAAGATTTCCCAGTAACTTCCTTGTGTTGTGTGTGTTCAACTCACAGAGTTGAACTTTCATTTACACAGAGCAGATTTGAATCACTCTTTTTGTGGAATTTGCAAATGGAGATTTCAAGCGCTTTGAGGCCAAAGGCAGAAAAGGAAATATCTTCGTATAAAAACTAGACAGAATCATTCTCAGAAACCGCTCTGTGATGTGTGCGTTCAACTCTCAGAGTTTAACTTTTCTTTTCATTCAGCAGTTTGGAAACACTCTGTTTGTAAAGTCTGCACGTGGATATTTTGACCACTTAGAAGCCTTCGTTGGAGACAGGTTTTTTTCATGTAAGGCTAGACAGAAGAATTCTCAGTAACTTCCTTGTGTTGTGTGTATTAAACTCACAGAGTTGAACGATCCTTTACACAGAGCAGACTTGAAACACTCTTTTTGTGGAATTTGCAAGTGGAGATTTCAGCCGCTTTGAGGTCAATGGTAGAATAGGAAATATCTTCCTATAGAAAATAGACACAATGATTCTCAGAAACTCCTTTGTGATGTGTGCGTTCAACTCACACAGTTTAACCTTTCTTTTCATAGAGCAGTTAGGAAACACTCTGTTTGTAAAGTCTGCAAGTGGATATTCAGACCTCCTTGTGGCCTTCGTTGGAAACGGGATTTCTTCCTATTATGCTAGACAGAAGAATTCTCAGTAACTTCCTTGTGTTGTGTGTATTCAACTCACAGAGTTGAACGATCCTTTACACAGAGCAGACTTGAAACACTCTTTTTGTGGAATTTGCATGTGGAGATTTCAGCCGCTTTGAGTTCAATGGTAGAATAGGAAATATCTTCTTATAGAAACTAGACAGAATGATTCTCAGAAACTGCTTTGTGATGTGTGTGTTCAACACACAAGGTTTAACCTTTCTTTTCATAGAGCAGTTAGGAAACACTCTGTTTGTAAAGTCTGCAACTGGATATTCAGACATCCTTGAGGCTTTCGTTGGAAACGGGATTTCTTCATATTCTGCTAGAAAGAAGAATTCTCAGTAACTTCCTTGTGTTGTGTGTATTCAACTCACAGAGTTGAACGATCCTTTACACAGAGCAGACTTGAAACACTCTTTTTGTGGATATTTGCAAGTGGAGATTTCAGCCGCTTTGAGGTCAATGTTAGAAAAGGAAATATCTTCGTATAAAAACTAGACAGAATGATTCTGAGAAACTCCTTTGTGATGTGTGCGTTCAACTCACAGAGTTTAACCTTTCTTTTCATAGAGCAGTTAGGAAACACTCTGTTTGTAAAGTCTGCAAGTGGATATTCAGACCTCCTTGAGGCCTTCGTTGGAAACTGCATTTCTTCATATTCTGCTATACAGAAGAATTCTCAGTAACTTCCTTGTGTTGTGTGTATTCAACTCACAGATTTGAACGATCCTTTACACAGAGCAGACTTGAAACACTCTTTTTGTGGAATTTGCAAGTGGAGATTTCAGCCTCTTTGTGGTCAATGGTAGAATAGGAAATATATTCCTATAGAAACTAGACAGAATCATTCTCAGAAACTGCTGCGTGATGTGTGCGTTCAACTCTCAGAGTTTAACTTTTCTTTTCATTCAGCGGTTTGGAAACACTCTGTTTGTAAAGTCTGCACGTGGAACTTTTGACCACTTAGAGGCCTTCGTTGGAAACGGGTTTTTTTCATGTAAGGCTAGACAGAAGAATTCCCAGTAACTTCCTTGTGTTGTGTGCATTCAACTCACAGAGTTGAACGTTCCCTTAGACAGAGCAGATTTGAAACACTCTATTTGTGCAATTTGCAAGTGTAGTTTTCAAGCTCTTTTAGGTCAACGGCAGAAAAGGAAATATCTTGGTTTCAAAACTAGACAGAATCATTCCCACAAACTGCGTTGTGATGTGTTCGTTCAACTCACAGAGTTTAACCTTTCTGTTCATAGAGCAGTTAGGAAACACTCTGTTTGTAAAGTCTGTAAGTGGATATTCTGACATCTTGTGGCCTTCGTTGGGAACGGGATTTCTTCATATTCTGCTAGACAGAAGAATTCTCAGTAACTTCCTTGTGTTGTGTGTATTCAACTCACAGAGTTGAACGATCCTTTACACAGAGCAGACTTGAAACATTCTTTTTGTGGAATTTGCAAGTGGAGATTTCAGCCGCTTTGAGGTCAATGGTGGAATAAGAAATATCTTCCTATAGAAACTAGACAGAATGATTCTCAGAAACTCCTTTGTGATGTGTGCGTTCAACTCACAGAGTTTAACCTTTGTTTTCATAGAGCAGTTAGGAAACACTCTGTTTGTAAAGTCTGCAGGTGGATATTCAGACATCTTTGAGGCTTTCGTTGGAAACGGGATTTCTTCATATTCTGCTATACAGAAGAATTCCCAGTAACTTCTTTGTGTTGTGTGTGTTCAACTCACAGAGATGAACTCTCATTTACACAGAGCAGATTTGAAACTCTCTTTTTGTGGAATTTGCAAATGGAGATTTCAAGCGCTTTGAGGCCAAAGGCAGAAAAGGAAATATCTTCGTATAAAAACTAGGCAGAATCATTCTCAGAAACTGCTCTGCGATGTGTGCGTTCAACTCTCAGAGTTTAACTTTTCTTTTCATTCAGCAGTTTGGAAACACTCTGTTTGTAAAGTCTGCACTTGGATAATTTGACCACTTAGAGGCCTTTGTTGGAAACGGGTTTTTTTCATGTAAGGCTAGACAGAAGAATTCTCAGAAACTTCGTTGTGTTGTGTGTTTTCAACTCACAGAGTTGAACGATCCTTTACACAGCGTAGACTTGAAACACTCTTTTTGTGGAATTTGCAAGTGGAGATTTCATCCGCTTTGAGGTCAATGGTAGAAAAGGAAATATCTTCGTATAAAAACTAGACAGAATGATTCTCAGAAACTCCTTTGTGATGTGTGCGTTGAACTCACAGAGTTTAACCTTTCTTTTCATAGAGCAGTTAGGAAACACTCTGTTTGTAAAGTCTGCAAGTGGATATTCAGACCTCTTTGAGGCCTTCGTTGGAAACGGTTTTTTTTCATATAAGGCTAGACAGAAGAATTCTCAGTAACTTCCTTGTGTTTTGTGTATTCAACTGACAGAGTTGAACTTTCATTTAGAGAGAGCAGATTTGAAACACTGTTTTTGTGGAATTTGCAATTGGAGATTTCAAGCGCTTTGGGGCCAAAGGCAGAAAAGGAAATATCTTCGTATAAAAACTAGACAGAATCATTCTCAGAAACTGCTCTGCGATGTGTGCGTTCAACTCTCAGAGTTTAACTTTTCTTTTCATTCAGCAGTTTGGAAACACTCTGTAAAGTCTGCACGTGGATATTTTGACCATTTAGAGGCTTTCGTTGGAAACGGGTTTTTTTTTGTAAGGCTAGACAGAAGAATTCCCAGGAACTTCCTTGTGTTGCGTACATTCAACTCACACATTTGAACGTTCCCTTAGACAGAGTAGATTTGAAATACTCTTTTTCTGCAATTGGCAAGTGGTGATTTCAGCCGCTTTGAGGTCAATGGTAGAAAAGGAAATATCTTCGTATAAAAACTAGACAGAATCATTCCCACAAACTGCGTTGTGATGTGTTCGTTCAACTCACAGAGTTTAACCTTTCTGTTCATAGAGCAGTTAGGAAACACTCTGTTTGTAAAGTCTGAAAGTGGATATTCTGACATCTTGTGGCCTTCGATGGAAACGGGATTTCTTCATATTCTGCTAGACAGAAGAATTCTCAGAAACTTCCTTGTGTTGTGTGTATTCAACTCACAGAGATGAACGATCCTTTACACAGAGCAGACTTGAAACACTCTTTTTGTGGAATTTGCAAGTGGAGATTTCAGCCGCTTTGAGGTCCATGGTAGAAAAGGAAATATCTTCGTATAAAAACTAGACAGAATGATTCTCAGAAACTCCTTTGTGATGTGTGCGTTCAACTCACAGAGTTCAACCTTTCTTTTCATAGAGCAGTTAGGAGACACTCTGTTTGTAAAGTCTGCAAGTGGATATTCAGACCTCTTTGAGGCCTTCGTTGGAAACGGGTTTTCTTCATATTCTGCTAGAGAGAAGAATTCCCAGTAACTTCCTTGTGTTGTGTACATTCAACTCACAGAGTTGAACGTTCCCTTAGACAGAGCAGACTTGTAACACTCTTTTTGTGGAATTTGCAAGTGGAGATTTCAGCAGCTTTGAAGTCAAAGGTAGAAAAGGAAATATCTTCCTATAAAAACTTGACAGAATGATTCTCAGAAACTCCTTTGTGATGTGTGCGTTCAACTCACAGAGTTTAACCTTTCTTTTCATAGAGCAGTTAGGAAACACTCTATTTGTAAATTCTGCAAGTGGATATTCAGACCTCCTTAAGGCCTTCGTTGGAAACGGGATTTCTTCATATTATGCTAGACAGAAGAATTCCCAGTAACTTCCTTGTGTTGTGTGTGTTCAACTCACAGAGTTGAACTTTCATTTACACAGAGCAGATTTGAAACACTCTTTTTGTGGAATTTGAAATGGAGATTTCAAGCGCTTTGAGGCCAAAGGCAGAAAAGGAAATATCTTCGTATAAAAACGAGACAGAATCATTCTCAGAAACTGCTCTGCGATGTGTGCGTTCAACTCTCAGAGTTTAACTTTTCTTTTCATTCAGAAGTTTGGAAACACTCTGTTTGTAAAGTCTGCACGTGGATAACTTGACCACTTAGAGGCCTTCGTTGGAAACGGGTTTTTTTCATGTAAGTCTAGACAGAAGAATTCCCAGTAACTTCCTTGTGTTGTGTACATTCAACTCACAGAGTTGAACGTTCCCTTAGACAAAGCAGATTTGAAACACTCTTTTTGTGCAATTGGCAAATGGAGATTTCAAGCGCTTTAAGGTCAATGGCAGAAAAGGAAATATCTTCGTTTCAAAACTAGACAGAATCATTCCCACAAACTGCGTTGTGATGTGTTCATTCAACTCACAGAGTTTAACCTTTCCGTTCATAGAGCAGTTAGGAAACACACTGTTTGTAAAGTCTGTAAGTGGATATTCTGACATCTTGTGGCCTTCGTTGGAAACGGGATTTCTTCATATTCTGCTAGACAGAAGAATTCTGAGAATCTTCCTTGTGTTGTGTGTATTCAACTCACAGAGTTGAACGATCCTTTACACAGAGCAGACTTGAAACACTCTTTTTGTGGAATTTGCAAGTGGAGATTTCAGCCGCTTTGAGGTCCATGGTAGAAAAGGAAATATCTTCGTATAAAAACTAGACAGAATGATTCTCAGAAAATCCTTTGTGATGTGTGCGTTCAACTCACAGAGTTTAACTTTTCTGTTCATAGAGCAGTTAGGAAACACTCTGTTTGTAAAGTCTGCAAGTGGATATTCAGACCTCTTTGAGGCCTTCGTTGGAAACGTTATTTCTTCATATTATGCTAGACAGAAGAATTCTCAGTAACTTCCCTTGTGTTGTGTGTATTCAACTCACAGAGTTGAACGGTCCTTTACACAGAGCAGACTTGAAACACTCTTTTTGTTGAATTTGCAAGTGGAGATTTCAGCCGCTTTGAGGTCAATGGTAGAATAGGAAATATCTTCCTATAGAAACTAGACAGAATGATTCTCAGAAACTCCTTTGTGATGTGTGTGTTCAACTCACAGAGTTTAACCTTTCTTTTCATAGAACAGTTAGGGAACACTCTGTTTGTAAAGTCTGCAAGTGGATATTCAGACCTCTTTGAGGCCTTCGTTGGAAACACGTTTTTTTAATCTAAGGCTAGACAGAAGAATTCCCAGTAACTTCCTTGTGTTGTGTGTGTTCAACTCACAGAGTTGAACTTTCATTTACACAGAGCAGATTTGAAACACTCTTTTTGTGGAATTTGCAGATGGAGATTTCAAGCGCTTTGAGGCCAAAGGCAGAAAAGGAAATATCTTCGTATAAAAACTAGACAGAATCATTCTCAGAAACTGCTCTGTGATGTGTGCGTTCAACTCTCAGAGTTTAACTTTTCTTTTCATTCAGCAGTTTGGAAACACTCTGTTTGTAAAGTCTGCACGTGGATAATTTGACCACTTAGAGGCCTTCGTTGGAAACGGGTTTTTTTCATGTAAGGCTAGACAGAATAATTCTCAGTAACTTCCTTTTGTTGTGGGTATTCAACTCAGAGTTGTACGATCCTTTACAGAGAGCAGACTTGAAACACTCTTTTTGTGGAATTTGCAAGTGGAGATTTCAGCCGCTTTGAGGTCAATGGTAGAATAGGAAATATCTTCCTATAGAAACTAGACAGAATGATTCTCAGAAACTCCTTTGTGATGTGTGCGTTCAACTCACAGAGTTTAACCTTTCTTTTCGTAGAGCAGTTAGGAAACACTCTGTTTGTAAAGTCTGCAAGTGGATATTCAGACCTCCTTGAGGCCTTCGTTGGAAATGGGATTTCTTCATATTCTGCTAGACAGAAGAATTCTCACTAACTTCCTTGTGTTGTGTGTATTCAACTCACAGAGTTGAACGATCCTTTACACAGAGCAGACTTGAAACACTCTTTTTGTGGAATTTGCAAGTGGAGATTTCAGCCGCTTTGAGGTCAACGGTAGAAAAGGAAATATCTCCGTATAAAGACTAGACAGAATCATTCTCAGAAACTGCTCTGCGATGTGTGCGTTCAACTCTCAGAGTTTAACTTTTCTTTTCATTCAGCAGTTTGGAAACACTCTGTTTGTAAAGTCTGCACGTGGATATTTTGACCATTTAGAGGCCTTCGTTGGAAACGGGTTTTTTTCATGTAAGGCTAGACAGAAGAATTCCCAGTAACTTCCTTGTGTTGTGTACATTCAACTCACAGAGTTGAACGTTCCCTTAGACAGAGCAGATTTGAAACACTCTTTTTGTGCAATTGGCAAGTGGTGATTTCAGCCGCTTTGAGGTCAATGGTAGAAAAGGAAATATCTTCCTATAAAAACTAGACAGAATCATTCCCACAAACTGCGTTGTGATGTGTTCGTTCAACTCACAGAGTTTAACCTTTCTGTTCATAGAGCAGTTAGGAAACACTCTGTTTGTAAAGTCTGCAAGTGGATATTCAGACCTCCTTGAGGCCTTCGTTGGAAACGGGATTTCTTCATATTACTGCTAGACAGAATAATTCTCAGTAACTTCCTTGTGTTGTGTGTATTCAACTCACAGAGTTGAAGGATCCTTTACAGAGAGCAGGCTTGAAACACTCTTTTTGTCGAATTTGCAAGTGGAGATTTCAGCCGCTTTGTGGTCAATGGTAGAAAAGTAAATATCTTCCTATAAAGACTAGACAGAATGATTCTCAGAAACTCCTTTGTGATGTGTGCGTTCAACTCACAGAGTTTAACCTTTCTTTTCATAGAGCAGTTAGGAAACACTCTGTTTGTAAAGTCTGCAAGTGGATATTCAGACAACTTTGAGGCCTTCGTTGGAAACGGGATTTCTTCATGTTCTGCTAGACAGAAGAATTCCCAGTAACTTTCCTTGTGTTGTGTGTGTTCAACTCACAGAGTTGAACTCTCATTTACACAGAGCAGATTTGAAACACTCTTTTTGTGGAATTTGCAAGTGGAGATTTCAAGCGCTTTGAGGCCAAAGGCAGAAAAGGAAATATCTTCGTATAAAAACTAGACAGAATCATTCTCAGAAACTGTTGCGTGATGTGTGCGTTCAACTCTCAGAGTTTAACTTTTCTTTTCATTCAGCGGTTTGGAAACACTCTGTTTGTAAAGTCTGCACGTGGATATTTTGACCACTTAGAGGCCTTCGTTGGAAACGGGTTTTTTTTCATGTAAGGCTAGACAGAAGAATTCCCAGTAACTTCCTTGTGTTGTGTGCATTCAACTCACAGAGTTGAACGTTCCCTTAGACAGACCAGATTTGAAACACTCTATTTGTGCAATTTGCAAGTGTAGATTTCAAGCGCTTTGAGGTCAATGGCAGAAAAGGAAATATCTTCGTTTCAAAACTAGACAGACAATCATTCTCACAAACTACGTTGTGATGTGTTCGTTCAACTCACAGAGTTTAAACTTTCTGTTCATAGAGCAGTTAGGAAACATTCTGTTTGTAAAGTCTGTAAGTGGATATTCTGACATCTTGTGGCCTTCGTTGGAAACGGGATTTCTTCATATTCTGCTAGACAGAAGAATTCTCAGTAACTTCCTTGTGTTGTGTGTATTCAACTCACAGAGTTGAACGATCCTTTACACAGAGCAGACTTGAAACACTCTTTTTGTGGAATTTGCAAGTGGAGATTTCTGCCGCTTTGAGGTCAATGGTAGAATAGGAAATATCTTCGTATAAAAACTAGACAGAATGATTCTCAGAAACTCCTTTGTGCTGTGTGTGTTCAACTCACAGAGTTTAACCTTTCTTTTCATAGAGCAGTTAGGAAACACTCTGTTTGTAAAGTCTGCAAGTGGATATTCAGACCTCTTTGAGGCCTTCGTTGGAAACGGGTTTTTTTCATATAAGGCTAGACAGAAGAATTCTCAGTAACTTCCTTGTGTTGTGTGTATTCAACTGACAGAGTTGAACTTTCCTTTAGAGAGAGCAGATTTGAAACACTGTTTTTGTGGAATTTGCAAGTGGAGATTTCAAGCGCTTTGGGGCCAAAGGCAGAAAAGGAAATATCTTCGTATAAAAACTAGACAGAATCATTCTCAGAAACTGCTCTGCGATGTGTGCGTTCAACTCTCAGAGTTTAACTTTTCTTTTCATTCAGCAGTTTGGAAACACTCTGTTTGTAAAGTCTGCACGTGGATATTTGACCACTTAGAGGCCTTCGTTGGAAACGGGTTTTTTTCCTGTAAGGCTAGACAGAATAAATCCCAGTAACTTCCTTGTGTTGTGTGCATTCAACTCACAGAGTTGAACGTTCCCTTAGACAGAGCAGATTTGAAACATTCTATTTGTGTAATTTGCAAGTGTAGATTTCAAGCGCTTTAAGGTCAATGGCAGAAAAGGAAATATCTTCGTTTCAAAACTAGACAGAATCATTCCCACAAACTGCGTTGTGATGTGTTCGTTCAACTCACAGAGTTTAACCTTTCTGTTCATAGAGCAGTTAGGAAACACTCTGTTTGTAAAGTCTGTAAGTGGATATTCTGACATCTTGTGGCCTTCGTTTTAAACGGGATTTCTTCATATTCTGCTAGACAGAAGAATTCTCAGTAACTTCTTTGTGTTGTGTGTATTCAACTCACAGAGTTGAACGATCCTTTACACAGAGCAGACTGGAAACACTCTTTTTGTGGAATTTGCAAGTGGAGATTTCAGCCGCTTTGAGGTCAATGTTAGAATAGGAAATATCTTCCTATAGAAACTAGAGAGAATGATTCTCATAAACTCCTTTGTGATGTGTGCGTTCAACTCACAGAGTTTAACCTTTCTTTTCATAGAGCAGTTAGGAAACACTCTGTTTGTAAATTCTGCAAGTGGATATTCAGACCTCCTTGAGGCCTTCGTTGGAAACGGGATTTCTTCATATTCTGCTAGACAGAAAAATTCTCAGTAACTTCCTTGTGTTGTGTGTATTCAACTCACAGAGTTGAACGATCCTTTACACAGAGCAGACTTGAAACGCTCTTTTTGTGGAATTTGCAAGTGGAGATTTCAGCCGCGTTGAGGTCAATGGTAGAAAAGGAAATATCTTCGTATAAAAACTAGACAGAATGATTCTCAAAAACTCCTTTGTGATGTGTGCGTTCAACTCACAGAGTTTAACCTTTCTGTTCATAGAGCAGTTAGGAAACACTCTGTTTGTAAAGTCTGCAAGTGGATATTCAGACCTCCTTGAGGCCTTCTTTGGAAACGGGATTTCTTCATATTCTGATAGACAGAAGAATTCTCAGTAACTTCCTTGTGTTGTGTGTATTCAACTCAAAGAGTTGAACGATCCTTTACACAGAGCAGACTTGAAACACACTTTTTGTGGAATTTGCAAGTGGAGATTTCAGCCGCTTTGAGGTCAAAGGTAGAAAAGGAAACTATGTTCGTATAAAGAGTAGACAGAATGATTCTGAGAAACTCCTTTGTGATGTGGCGTTCAACTCACAGAGTTTAACCTTTCTTTTCATAGAGCAGTTAGGAAACACTCTGTTTGTAACGTCTGCAAGTGGATATTCAGACCTCCTTGAGGCCTTCGTTGGAAACGGGTTTTCTTCATATTATGCTAGACAGAAGAATTCTCATTAACTTCCTTGTGTTGTGTGTATTCAACTCACAGAGTTGAACGATCCTTTACACAGAGCAGACTTGAAACACTCTTTTTGTGGAATTTGCAAGTGGAGATTTCAGCCGCTTTGAGTTCAATGGTAGAATAAGAAATATCTTCCTATAGAAACTATACAGAATGATTCTCAGAAACTCCTTTGTGATGTGTGCATTCAACTCACAGAGTTTAACCTTTCTTTTAATAGAGCAGTTAGGAAACACTCTGTTTGTAAAGTCTGCAAGTGGATATTCAGACCTCCTTGAGGCCTTCGTTGGAAACGGGATTTCTTCATATTATGCTAGACAGAAGAATTCTCAGTAACTTCCTTGTGTTGTGTGTATTCAACTGACAGAGTTGAACTTTCATGTAGAGAGAGCAGATTTGAAACACTGTTTTTGTGGAATTTGCAAGTGGAGATTTCAAGCGCTTTGGGGCCAAACGCAGAAAAGGAAATATCTTCGTATAAAACTAGACAGAATCATTCTCAGAAACTGCTCTGCGATGTGTGCGTTCAACTCTCAGAGTTTAACTTTTCTTTTCATTCAGCAGTTTGGAAACACTCTGTTTGTAAAGTCTGCACGTGGATATTTTGACCACTTAGAGGCCTTCGTTGGAAACGGGTTTTTTTCCTGTAAGGCTAGAAAGAAGAATTCCCAGTAACTTCCCTTGTGTTGTGTACATTCAACTCACAGAGTTGAACGTTACCTTAGACAGAGCAGATTTGAAACACTCTTTTTGTGCAATTGGCAAATGGAGATTTCAAGCGCTTTAAGGTCAATGGCAGAAAAGGAAATATCGTCGTTTCAAAACTAGACAGAATCATTCCCACAAACTGCGTTGTGATGTGTTCGTTCAACTCACAGAGTTTAACCTTTCTTTTCATAGAGCAGTTAGGAAACAGTCTGTTTGTCAATTCTGTAAGTGGATATTCTGACATCTTGTGGCCTTCGTTGGAAACGGGATTTCTTCATATTCTCCTAGACGGAAGAATTCTCAGTAACTTCCTTGTGTTTTGTGTATTCAACTCACAGAGTTGAATGATCCTTTACGCAGAACAGACTTGAAACACTCTTTTTGTGGAATTTGCAAGTGGAGATTTCAGCCGCTTTGAGGTCAATGGTAGAAAAGGAAATATATTCGTATAAAAACTAGACAGAATGATTCTCAGAAACTTCTTTGTGATGTGTGCGCTCAACTCACAGAGTTTAACCTTTCTTTTCATAGAGCAGTTAGGGAACACTCTGTTTGTAAAGTCTGCAAGTGGATATTCAGACCTCTTTGAAGCCTTCGTTGGAAACGGGATTTCTTCATATTATGCTAGACAGAAGAATTCTCAGTAACTTCCTTGTGTTGTGTGTATTCAACTCACAGAGTTCAACGATCCGTTACACAGAGCAGACTTGAAACACTCTTTTTGTGGAATTTGCAAGTGGAGATTTCTGCCGCTTTGAGGTCAATGGTAGACAAGGAAATATCTTCGTATAAAAACTAGACAGAATCATTCTCAGAAACTGCTCTGCGATGTGTGCGTTCAACTCTCAGAGTTTAACTTTTCTTTTCATTCAGCAGTTTGGAAACACTCTGTTTGTAAAGTCTGCACGTGGATATTTTGACCACTTAGAGGCCTTCGTTGGAAACGGGTTTTTTTCCTGTAAGGCTAGACGGTAGAATTCCCAGTAACTTTCCTTGTGTTGTGTACATTCAACTCACAGAGTTGAACGTTTCCTTAGAGAGAGCAGATTTGAAACACTCTTTTTGTGCAATTGGCAAGTGGTGATTTCAGCCGCTTTGAGGTCAATGGTAGAAAAGGAAATATCTTCGTATAAAAACTAGACAGAATCATTCCCACAAACTGCGTTGTGATGTGTTCGTTCAACTCACAGAGTTTAACCTCTCCGTTCATAGAGCAGTTAGGAAACACACTGTTTGTAAAGTCTGTAAGTGGATATTCTGACATCTTGTGGCCTTCGTTGGAAACGGGATTTCTTCATATTCTGCTAGACAGAAGAATTCTCAGAATCTTCCTTCTGTTGTGTGTATTCAACTCACAGAGTTGAACGATCCTTTACACAGAGCAGACTTGAAACACTCTTTTTGTGGAATTTGCAAGTGGAGATTTCAGCCGCTTTGAGGTCCATGGTAGAAAAGGAAATATCTTCGTATAAAAACTAGACAGAATGATTCTCAGAAAATCTTTTGTGATGTGTGCGTTCAACTCACAGAGTTTAACTTTTCTTCTCGTAGAGCAGTTAGGAAACACTCTGTTTGTAAAGTCTGCAAGTGGATATTCAGACCTCTTTGAGGTCTTCGTTGGAAACGGGATTTCTTCATATTATGCTAGACAGAAGAATTCTCAGTAACTTCCTTGTGTTGTGTGTATTCAACTCACAGAGTTGAACGACCCTTTACACAGAGCAGACTTGTAACACTCTTTTTGTGGAATTTGCAAGTGGAGATTTCAGCCGCTTTCAAGTCAAAGGTAGAAAAGGAAATATCTTCCTATAAAAACTAGACAGAACGATTCTCAGAAACTCCTTTGTGATGTGTGCGTTCAACTCACAGAGTTTAACTTTTCTTTTCATAGAGCCATTAGGAAACACTCTGTTTGTAAAGTCTGCATGTGGATATTCAGACCTCCTAGAGGCCTTCGTTGGAAACGGGATTTCTTCATATTCTGCTAGACAGAAGAATTCCCAGTAACTTCTTTCTGTTGTGTGTGTTCAACTCACAGAGTTGAACTTTGATTTACACAGAGCAGATTTGAAACACTCTTTTTGTGGAATTTGCAAGTGGAGATTTCAAGCGCTTTGAGGCCAAAGGCAGAAAAGGAAATATCTTCGTATAAAAACTAGACAGAATCATTCTCAGAAACTGCTGCGTGATGTGTGCGTTCAACTCTCAGAGTTTAACTTTTCTTTTCATTCAGCGGTTTGGAAACACTCTGTTTCTAAAGTCTGCACGTGGATATTTTGACCACTTAGACGCCTTCGTTGGAAACGGGTTTTTTTCATGTAAGGCTAGACAGAAGAATTCCCAGTAACTTCCTTGTGTTGTGTACATTCAACTCACAGAGTTGAACGTTCCCTTAGACAGAGCAGATTTGAAACACTCTTTTTGTGCAATTGGCAAGTGGTGATTTCAGCCGCTTTGAGGTCAATGGTAGAAAAGGAAATATCTTCGTATAAAAACTAGACAGAATCATTCCCACAAACTGCGTTGTGATGTGTTCGTTCAACTCACAGAGTTTAACCTTTCTTTTCATAGACCAGTTAGGAAACAGTCTGTTTGTAAATTCTGTAAGTGGATATTCTGACATCTTGTGGCCTTCGTTGGAAACGGGATTTCTTCATATTCTGCTAGACAGAAGAATTCTCAGTAACTTCCTTGTGTTGTGTGTATTCAACTCACAGAGTTGAACGATCCTTTACACAGAGCAGACTTGTAACACTCTTTTTGTGGAATTTGCAAGTGGGGATTTCAGCCGCTTTGAAGTCAAAGGTAGAAAAGGAAATATCTTCCTATAAAAACTAGACAGAATGATTCTCAGAAACTCCTTTGTGATGTGTGTGTTCAACTCACAGAGTTTAACCTTACTTTTCATAGAGCAGTTAGGAAACACTCTGTTTGTAAAGTCTGCAAGTGGATATTCAGACCTCTTTGAGGCCTTCGTTGGAAACGGGTTTTTTTCATATAAGGCTAGACAGAAGAATTCCCAGTAACTTCCTTGTGTTGTGTGTGTTCAACTCACAGAGTTGAACTTTCATTTACACAGAGCAGATTTGAAACACTCTTTTTGTGGAATTTGCAAGTGGAGATTTCAAGCGCTTTGAGGCCAAAGGCAGAAATGGAAATATCTTCGTTTCAAAACTAGACAGAATCATTCTCAGAAACTGCTCTGCGATGTGTGCATTCAACTCTCAGAGTTTAACTTTTCTTTTCATTCAGCAGTTTGGAAACACTCTGTTTGTAAAGTCTGCACGTGGATATTTTGACCACTTAGAGGCCTTCTTTGGAAACGGGTTTTTTTCCTGTAAGGCTAGACAGAAGAATTCCCAGTAACTTCCTTGTGTTGTGTGCATTCAACTAACAGAGTTGAACGTTCCCTTAAACAGAGCAGATTTGAAACACTCTATTTGTGCAATTTGCAAGTGTAGATTTCAAGCGCTTTAAGGTCAACGGCAGAAAAGGAAATATCTTCGTTTCAAAACTAGACAGAATCATTCCCACAAACTGCGTTGTGATGTGTTCGTTCAACTCACAGAGTTTAACCATTCTTTTCATAGAGCAGTTAGGAAACAGTCTGTTTGAAAATTCTGTAAGTGGATATTCTGACATCTTGTGGCCTTCGTTGGAAACGGGATTTCTTCATATTCTGCTAGACAGAAGAATTCTCAGTAACTTCCTTGTGTTGTGTGTATTCAACTCACAGAGTTGAACGATCCTTTACACAGAGCAGACTTGAAACACTCTTTTTGTGGAATTTGCAAGTGGAGATTTCAGCCGCTTTGAGGTCAATGGTAGAAAAGGAAATATCTTTGTATAAAGACTAGACAGAATGATTCTCAGAAACTCCTTTGTGATGTGTGCGTTCAACTCACAGAGTTCAACTTTTCTTTTCATAGAGCAGTTAGGAAACACTCTGTTTGTAAAGTCTGCAAGTGGATATTCAGACCTCTTTGAGGCCTTCGTTGGAAACGGGATTTTTTCATATTCTGCTAGACAGAAGAATTCCCAGTAACTTCCTTGAGTTGTGTGTGTTCAAATCACAGAGTTGAACTTTCATTTACACAGAGCAGATTTGAAACACTCTTTTTGTGGAATTTGCAAGTGGAGATTTCAAGCGCTTTGAGGCCAAAGGCAGAAAAGGAAATATCTCCGTTTCAAAACTAGACAGAATCATTCTCAGAAAATGCTCTGTGAAGTGTGCGTTCAACTCTCAGAGTTTAACTTTTCTTTTCATTCAGCAGTTTGGAAACACTCTGTTTGTAAAGTCTGCACGTGGATATTTTGACCACTTAGAGGCCTTCGTTGGAAACGGGTTTTTTTCATGTAAGGGTAGACAGAAGAATTCCCAGTAACTTCCTTGTGTTGTGTACATTCAACTCACAGAGTTGAACGTTCCCTTAGACAGAGCAGATTTGAAACACTCTTTTTGTGCAATTGGCAAGTGGTGATTTCAGCCTCTTTGAGGTCAATGGTAGAAAAGGAAATATCTTCGTATAAAAACTAGACAGAATCATTCCCACAAACTGCGATGTGATGTGTTCGTTCAACTCACAGAGTTTAACCTTTCTGTTCATAGAGCAGTTAGGAAACACTCTGTTTGGAAAGTCTGTAAGTGGATATTCTGACATCTTGTGGCCTTCGTTGGAAACGGGATTTCTTCATATTCTGCTAGACAGAAGAATTCTCAGTAACTTCCCTTGTGTTGTGTGTATTCAACTCACAGAGTTGAACGATCCTTTACACAGAGCAGACTTGAAACACTCTTTTTGTGGAATTTGCAAGTGGAGATTTCAGCCGCGTTGAGGTCAATGGTAGAAAAGGAAATATCTTCGTATAAAAACTAGACAGAATGATTCTCAGAAACTCCTTTGTTATGTGTGCGTTCAACTCACAGAGTTTAACTTTTCTTTTCATAGAGCAGTTAGGAAACACTCTGTTTGTAAAGTCTGCAAGTGGATATTCAGACCTCTTTGACGCCTTCGTTGGAAACGGGATTTCTTCATATTCTGCTAGACAGAAGAATTCTCAGTAACTTCCTTGTGTTGTGTGTATTCAACTCACAGAGTTGAACGATCCTTTACAGAGAGCAGACTTGAAACACTCTTTTTGTGGAATTTGCAAGTGGAGATTTCAGCCGCTTTGAGGTCAATGGTAGAAAAGGAAATATCTTCCTCTAAAGACTAGACAGAATCATTCTCAGAAACTGCTCTGCGATGTGTGCGTTCAACTCTCAGAGTTTAACTTATCTTTTCATTCAGTAGTTTGGAAACACTCTGTTTGTAAAGTCTGCACGTGGATAATTTGACCACTTAGAGGTCTTCGTTGGAAACGGGTTTTTTTCATGTAAGGCTAGACAGAAGAATTCCCAGTAACTTCCTTGTGTTGTGTACATTCAACTCACAGAGTTGAACGTTCCCTTAGAAAGAGCAGATTTGAAACACTCTTTTTGTGCAATTGGCAAGTGGAGATTTCAAGCAATTTAAGGTCAATGGCAGAAAAGGAAATATCTTCGTTTCAAAACTAGACAGAATGATTCTCAGAAACTCCTTTGTGATGTGTGCGTTCAACTCACAGAGTTTAACTTTTCTTTTCATAGAGCCGTTAGGAAACACTCTGTTTGTAAAGTCTGCAAGTGGATATTCAGACCTCTTTGAGGCCTTCGTTGGAAACGGGATTTCTTCATATTCTGCTAGACAGAAGAATTCTCAGTAACTTCCTTGTGTTGTGTGTATTCAACTCAGAGACTTGAATGATCCTTTACACAGAACAGTCTTGAAACACTCTTTTTGTGGAATTTGCAAGTGGAGATTTCAGCCGCTTTGAGGTCAATGGTAGAATAGGAAATATCTTCCTATAGAAACTAGACAGAACGATTCTCAGAAACTCCTTTGTGATGTGTGCGTTCAACTCACAGAGTTTAACCTTTCTTTTCATACAGCAGTTAGGAAACACTCTGTTTGTAAAGTCTGCAAGTGGATATTCAGACCTCTTTGAGACCTTCGTTGGAAACGGGATTTCTTCATATTCTGCTAGACAGAAGAATTCTCAGTAACTTCCTTGTGTTGTGTGTATTCAACTCACAGAGTTGAATGATCCTTTACAGAGAGCAGACTTGAAACACTCTTTTTGTGGAATTTGCAAGTGGAGATTTCAGCCGCTTTGAGGTCAATGGTAGAATAGGAAATATCTTCGAAGAAAAACTATACAGAATGATTCTCAGAAACTGCTTTTTGATGTGTGCGTTCAACTCACAGCGTTTAACCTTTCTTTTCATAGAGCAGTTAGGAAACACTCTGTTTGTAAAGTCTGCAAGTGGATATTCAGACCTCTTTGAGGCCTTCGTTGGAAACGGGATTTCTTCATATTCTGCTAGACAGAGGAATTCTCAGTAACTTCCTTGTGTTGTGTGTATTCAACTGACAGAGTTGAACTTTCATTTAGAGAGAGCAGATTTGAAACACTGTTTTTGTGGAATTTGCAAGTGGAGATTTCAAGCGCTTTGGGGCCAAAGGCAGAAAAGGAAATACCTTCGTATAAAAACTAGACAGAATCATTCTCAGAAACTGCTGCGTGATGTTTGCGTTCAACTCTCAGAGTTTAACTTTTCTTTTCATTCAGCGGTTTGGAAACACTCTGTTTGTAAAGTCTGCACGTGGAAATTGTGACCACTTAGAGGCCTTCGTTGGAAACGGGTTTTTTTCATGTAAGGCTAGACAGAAGAATTCCCAGTAACTTCCTTGTGTTGTGTGCATTCAACTCACAGAGTTGAACGTTCCCTTAGACAGAGCAGATTTGAAACACTCTATTTGTGCAATTTGCAAGTGTAGTTTTCAAGCTCTTTAAGGTCAACGGCAGAAAAGGAAATATCTTGGTTTCAAAACTAGACAGAATCATTCCCAGAAACTGCGTTGTGATGTGTTCGTTCAACTCACAGAGTTTAACCTTTCTGTTCATAGAGCAGTTAGGAAACACTCTGTTTGTAAAGTCTGTAAGTGGATATTCAGACATCTTGTGGCCTTCGTTGGAAACGGGATTTCTTCATATTCTGCTAGACAGAAGAATTCTCAGTAACTTCCTTGTGTTGTGTGTATTCAACTCACAGAGTTGAACGATCCTTTACACAGAGCAGACTTGAAACACTCTTTTTGTGGAGTTTGCAAGTGGAGATTTCAGCCGCTTTGAGGTCAATGGTAGAAAAGGAAATATCTTCGTATAAAGACTAGACAGAACGATTCTCAGAAACTCCTTTGTGATGTGTGCGTTCAACTCACAGAGTTTAACCTTTCTTTTCATAGAGCAGTTAGGAAACACTCTGTTTGTAAAGTCTGCAAGTGGATATTCAGACCTCTTTGAGGCCTTCGTTGGAAACGGGATTTCTTCATATTCTGCTAGAAAGAAGAATTCTCAGTAACTTCCTTGTGTGGCGTGTATTCAACTGACAGAGTTGAACTTTCATTTAGAGAGAGCAGATTTGAAACACTGTTTTTGAGGAATTTGCAAGTGGAGATTTCAAGCGCTTTGGGGCCAAAGGCAGAAAAGGAAATATCTTCGTATAAAAACTAGACAGAATCATTCTCAGAAACTGCTCTGCGATGTGTGCGTTCAACTCTCAGAGTTTAAATTTCCTTTTCATTCAGCAGTTTGGAAACACTCTGTTTGTAAAGTCTGCACGTGGATAACTTGACCACTTAGAGGCCTTCGTTGGAAACGGGTTTTTTTCATGTAAGGCTAGACAGAAGAATTCCCAGTAACTTCCTTGTGTTGTGTGCATTCAACACACAGAGTTGAACGTTCCCTTAGACAGAGCAGATTTGAAACACTCTATTTGTGCAATTTGCAAGTGTAGATTTCAAGCGCTTTATGGTCAACAGCAGAAAAGGAAATATCTTCGTTTCAAAACTAGACAGAATCATTCTCAGAAACTGCTGCGTGATGTGTGCGTTCAACTCTCAGAGTTTAACTTTTCTTTTCATTCAGCTGTTTGGAAACACTCTGTTTGTAAAGTCTGCAAGTGGATATTCAGACCTCTTGAGGCCTTCGTTGGAAACGGGATTTCTTCATATTATGCTAGACAGAATAATTCTCAGTAACTTCCTTTTGTTCTGTGTATTCAACTCACAGAGTTGAACGATCCTTTACAGAGAGCAGACTTGAAACACTCTTTTTGTGGAATTTGCAAGTGGAGATTTCAGCCGCTTTGAGGTCAATGGTAGAAAAGGAAATATCTTCGTATAAAGACTAGACAGAATCATTCTCAGAAACTGCTCTGCGATGTGTGCGTTCAACTCTCAGAGTTTAACTTTTCTTTTCATTCAGCTGTTTGGAAACACTCTGTTTGTAAAGTCTGCACGTGGATATTTTGACCACTTAGAGGCCTTCGTTGGAAACGGGTTTTTTTCCTGTAAGGCTAGACAGAAGAATTCTCAGTAACTTCCTTGTGTTGTGTGTATTCAACTCACAGAGTTGAATGATCCTTTACACAGAGCAGACTTGAAACACTCTTTTTGTGGAATTTGCAAGTGGAGATTTCATCCGCTTTGAGGTCAATGGTAGAAAAGGAGACTATCTTCATATAAAGACTAGACAGACTGATTCCCAGAAACTCCTTTGTGATGTGTGCGTTCAACTCACAGAGTTTAACCTTTCTTTTCATAGAGCAGTTAGGAAACACTCTGTTTGTAAAGTCTGCAAGTGGATATTCAGACCTCTTTGAGGCCTTCGTTGGAAACGGGTTTTTTTCATATAAGGCTAGACAGAAGAATTCTCAGTAACTTCCTTGTGTTGTGTGTATTCAACTGACAGAGTTGAACTTTCATTTAGGGAGAGCAGATTTGAAACACTGTTTTTGTGGAATTTGCAAGTGGAGATTTCAAGCGCTTTGGGGCCAAAGGCAGAAAAGGAAATATCTTCGTATAAAAACTAGACAGAATCATTCTCAGAAACTCCTGCGTGATGTGTGCGTCCAACTCTCAGAGTTTAACTTTTCTTTTCATTCAGCGGTTTGGAAACACTCTGTTTGTAATGTCTGCACGTGGTTATTTTGACCACTTAGAGGCCTTCGTTGGAAACGGGTTTTTTTCATGTAAGGCTAGACAGAAGAATTCACAGTAACTTCCTTGTGTTGTGTGCATTCAACTCACAGAGTTGAACGTTCCCTTAGACAGAGCAGATTTGAAACACTCTATTTGTGGAATTTGCAAGTGTAGATTTCAAGCGCTTTAAGGTCAATGGCAGAAAAGGAAATATCTTCGTTTCAAAACTAGACAGAATCCTTCCCACAAACTGCGTTGTGATGTGTTCGTCCAACTCACAGAGTTTAACTTTTCTTTTCATAGAGCAGTTAGGAAACAGTCTGTTTGTAAAGTCTGTAAGTGGATATTCTGACCTCTTGTGGCCTTCGTTGGAAACGGGATTTCTTCATATTCTGCTAGACAGAAGAATTCTCAGAATCTTCCTTGTGTTGTGTGTATTCAACTCACAGAGTTGAACGATCCTTTACACAGAGCGGACTTGAAACACTCTTTTTGTGGAATTTGCAAGTGGAGATTTCAGCCGCTTTGAGGTCCATGGTAGAAAAGGAAATATCTTCGTATAAAAACTAGACAGAATGATTCTCAGAAACTCCTTTGTGATGTGTGCGTTCAACTCACAGAGTTTAACCTTTCTTTTCATAGAGCAGTTAGGAAACACTCTGTTTGTAAAGTCTGCAAGTGGATATTCAGACCTCCCTGAGGCCTTCTTTGGAAACGGGATTTGTCCATATTATGCTAGACAGAAGAATTCTCAGTAACTTCCTTGTGTTGTGTGTATTCAACTGACAGAGTTGAACTTTCATTTAGAGAGAGCAGATTTGAAACTCTGTTTTTGTGGAATTTGCAAGTGGAGATTTCAAGCGCTTTGGGGCCAAAGGCAGAAAAGGAAATATCTTCGTATAAAAACTAGACAGAATCATTCTCAGAAACTGCTGCGTGATGTGTGCGTTCAACTCTCAGAGTTTAACTTTTCTTTTCATTCAGCGGTTTGGAAACACTCTGTTTGTAAAGTCTGCACGTGGAAAATTTGACCACTTAGAGGCCTTCGTTGGAAACGGGTTTTTTTCATGTAAGGCTAGACAGAAGAATTCCCAGTAACTTCCTTGGGTTGTGTGCATTCAACTCACAGAGTTGAACGTTCCCTTAGACAGAGCAGATTTGAAACACTCTATTTGTGCAATTTGCAAGTGTAGATTTCAAGCGCTTTAAGGTCAACGGCAGAAAAAGAAATATCTTCTTTTCAAAACTAGACAGAATCATTCCCACAAACTGCGCTGTGATGTGTTCGTTCAACTCACAGAGTTTAACCTTTCTGTTCATAGAGCAGTTAGGAAACACTCTGTTTGTAAAGTCTGCAAGTGGATATTCAGACCTCCTTGAGGCCTTCGTTGGAAACGGGATTTCTTCATATTCTGCTAGACAGAAGAATTCTCAGTAACTTCCTTGTGTTGTGTGTATTCAACTCACAGAGTTGAACGATCCTTTACACAGAGCAGACTTGAAACACTCTTTTTGTGGAATTTGCAAGTGGAGATATCAGCCGCTTTGAGGTCAATGGTAGAATAGGAAATATCTTCATATAAAAACTAGACAGAATGATTCTCAGAAACTCCTTTGTGATGTGTGCGTTCAACTCACAGAGTTTAACCTTTCTTTTCATAGAGCAGTTAGGAAACACTCTGTTTGTAAAGTCTGCAAGTGGATATTCAGACATCCTTGAGGCTTTCGTTGGAAACGGGATTTCTTTATATTCTGCTAGAAAGAATAATTCTCAGTAACTTCCTTGTGTTGTGTGTATTCAACTCACAGATTTGAACGATCCATTACAGAGAGCAGACTTGAAACACTCTTTTTGTGGAATTTGCAAGTGGAGATTTCAGCCGCTTTGAGGTCAATGGTAGAATAGGAAATATCTTCCTATAGAAACTAGACAGAATGATTCTAAGAAACTCCTTTGTGATGTGTGCGTTCAACTCACAGAGTTTAACCTTTCTTTTCATAGAGCAGTTAGGAAACACTCTGATTGTAAAGTCTGCAAGTGGATATTCAGACCTCCTTGAGGCCTTCGTTGGAAACGGGATTTCTTCATATTATGCTAGACAGAAGAATTCTCAGTAACTTCCTTGTGTTGTGTGTATGCATCTCACTGAGTTGAACGATCCTTTGCACAGAGCAGACTTGAAACACTCTTTTTGTGGAATTTGCAAGTGGAGATTTCAGCCGCTTTGAGGTCAATGGTAGAAAAGGAAATATCTTCGTATAAAAACTAGACAGAATGATTCTCAGAAACTTCTTTGTGATGTGTGCGTTCAACTCACAGAGTTTAACCTTTCTTTTCATAGAGCAGTTAGGAAACACTCTGTTTGTAAACTCTGCAAGTGGATATATAGACCTCTTTGAGGCCTTCGTTGGAAACGGGATTTCTTCATAGTATGCTAGACAGAAGAATTCTCAGTAACTTCCTTGTGTTGTGTGTATTCAACTGACAGAGTTGAACTTTCATTTAGAGAGAGCAGATTTGAAACACTGTTTTTGTGGAATTTACAAGTGGAGATTTCAAGCGCTTTGGGGCCAAAGGCAGAAAAGGAAATATCTTCGTATAAAAACTAGACAGAATCATTCTCAGAAACTGCTGCGTGATGTGTGCGTTCAACTCTCAGAGTTTAACCTTTCTTTTCATTCAGCGGTTTGGAAACACTCTGTTTGTAAAGTCTGCACGTGGATATTTTGACCACTTAGAGGCCTTCGTTGGAAACGGGTTTTTTTCATGTAAGGATAGACAGAAGAAATTCCCAGTAACTTCCTTGTGTTGTGTGCATTCAACTCACAGAGTTGAACGTTCCCTTAGACAGAGCAGATTTGAAACACTCTATTTGTGCAATTTACAAGTGTAGATTTCAAGCGCTTTAAGGTCAACGGCAGAAAAGGAAATATCTTCGTTTCAAACCTAGACAGAATCATTCCCACAAACTGCGTTGTGATGTGTTCGTTCAACTCACAGAGTTTAACCTTTCTGTTCATAGAGCAGTAAGGAAACACTCTGTTTCTAAAGTCTGTAAGTGGATATTCTGACATCTTGCGGCCTTCGTTGGAAACGGGATTTCTTCATATTCTGCTAGACAGAAGAATTCTCAGTAACTTCCTTGTGTTGTGTGTATTCAACTCACAGAGTTGAACGATCCTTTACACAGAGCAGACTTGAAACACTCTTTTTGTGGAATTTGCAAGTGGAGATTTCAGCCGCTTTGAGGTCAATGGTAGAAAAGGAAATATCTTCGAATAAAGACTAGACAGAATGATTCTCAGAAAATCTTTTGTGATGTGTGCGTTCAACTCACAGAGTTTAACTTTTCTTCTCATAGAGCAGTTAGGAAACACTCTGTTTGTAAAGTCTGCAAGTGGATATTCAGACCTCTTAGAGGTCTTCGTTGGAAACGGGATTTCTTCATATTATGCTAGACAGAAGAATTCTCAGTAACTTCCTTGTGTTGTGTGTATTCAACTGACAGAGTTGAACTTTCATTTAGAGAGAGCAGATTTGAAACACTGTTTTTGTGGAATTTGCAAGTGGAGATTTCAAGCGCTTTGGGGCCAAGGGCAGAAAAGGAAATATCTTCGTATAAAAACTGGACAGAATCATTCTCAGAAACTGCTGCGTGATGTGTGCGTTCAACTCTCAGAGTTTAACTTTTCTTTTCATTCAGCGGTTTGGAAACACTCTGTTTGTAAAGTCTGCACGTGGATATTTTGACCACTTAGAGGCCTTCGTTGGAAACGGGTTTTTTTTCATGTAAGGCTATACAGAAGAATTCCCAGTAACTTCCTTGTGTTGTGTGCATTCAACTCACAGAGTTGAACGTTCCCTTAGACAGAGCAGATGTGAAACACTCTATTTGTGCAATTTGCAAGTGTAGATTTCAAGCGCTTTAAGGTCAATGGCAGAAAAGGAAATATCTTCGTTTCAAAACTAGACAGAGATCATTCCCACAAACTGCGTTGTGATGTGTTCGTTCATCTCACAGAGTTTAACCTTTCTTTTCATAGAGCAGTTAGGAAACACTATGTTTGTAAATTCTGTAAGTGGATATTCTGACATCTTGTGGCCTTCGTTGGAAACGGGATTTCTTCATATTCTGCTAGACAGATAATTCTCAGTAACTTCCTTGTGTTCTGTGTATTCAACTCACAGAGTTGAACGATCCTTTACAGAGAGCAGACTTTAAACACTCTTTTTGTGGAATTTGCAAGTGGAGATTTCAGCCGCTTTGAGGTCAATGGTAGAAAAGGAAATATCTTCGTACAAAGACTAGACAGAATGATTCTCAGAAACTCCTTTGTGATGTGTGCGTTAAACTCACAGAGTTTTACCTTTCTGTTCATAGAGCAGTTAGGAAACACTCTGTTTGTAAAGTCTGCAAGTGGATATTCAGACCTCCTTGAGGCCTTCGTTGGAAACGGGATTTCTTCATATTCTGCTAGACAGAAGAATTCTCAATAACTTCCTTGTTTTGTGTGTATTCAACTCACAGAGTTGAACGATCCTTTACACAGAGCAGACTTGTAACACTCTTTTTGTGGAATTTGCAAGTGGAGATTTCAGCCGCTTTGAAGTCAAAGGTAGAAAAGGAAATATCTTCCTATAAAAACTAGACAGAATGATTCTCAGAAACTCCTTTGTGCTGTGTGCGTTCAACTCACAGAGTTTAACCTTTCTTTTCATAGAGCAATTAGGAAACTCTCTGTTTGTAAAGTCTGCAAGTGGATATTCAGACATCTTTGAGGCTTTCGTTGGAAACGGGATTTCTTCATATTCTGCTAGACAGAAGAATTCTCAGAAATTTCCTTTTGTTGTGTGTTTTCAACTCACAGAGTTGAACGAACCTTTACACAGAGTAGACTTGAAACACTCTTTTTGTGGAATTGGCAAGTGGAGATTTCAGCCGCTTTGAGGTCAATGGTAGAAAAGGAAATATCTTCGTATAAAAACTAGACAGAATGATTCTCAGAAACTTCTTTGTGATGTGTGCGTTCAACTCACAGAGTTTAACCTTTCTTTTCATAGAGCAGTTAGGGAACACTCTGTTTGTAAACTCTGCAAGTGGATATTCAGACCTCTTTGAGGCCTTCGTTGGAAACGGGATTTCTTCATACTATGCTAGACAGAAGAATTCTCAGTAACTTCCTTGTGTTGTGTGTATTCAACTCATAGAGTTGAACGATCCTTTACACAGAGCAGACTTGTAACACTCTTTTTGTGGAATTTGCAAGTGGAGATTTCAGCCGCTTTGACGTCAAAGGTAGAAAAGGAAATATCTTCCTATAAAAACTAGACAGAATGATTCTCATAAACTCCTTTGTGATGTGTGCGTTCAACGCACAGAGTTTAACCTTTCTTTTCATAGAGCAGTTAGGAAACACTGTGTTTGTAAAGTCTGCATGTGGATATTCAGACCTCCTTGAGGCCTTCGTTGGAAACGGGAATTCCTCATATTCTGCTAGACAGAAGAATTCCCAGTAACTTCCTTGTGTTGTGTGTGTTCGACTCACAGAGTTGAACTTTCATTTACACAGAGCAGATTTGAAACACTCTTTTTGTGGAATTTGCAAATGGAGATTTCAAGCGCTTTGAGGCCAAAGGCAGAAAAGGAAATATCTTTGTATAAAAACTAGACAGAATCATTCTCAGAAACTGCTCTGCGATGTGTGCGTTCAACTCTCAGAGTTTAACTTTTCTTTTCATTCAGCAGTTTGGAAACACTCTGTTTGTAAAGTCTGCACGTGGATAACTTGACCACTTAGAGGCCGTCGTTGGAAACGGGTTTTGTTCATGTAAGGCTAGACAGAAGAATTCCCAGTAACTTCCTTGTGTTGTGTACATTCAACTCACAGAGTTGAACGTTCCCTTAGACAGAGCAGATTTGAAACACTCTTTTTGTGGAATTGGCAAGTGGTGATTTCAGCCGCTTTGAGGTCAATGGTAGAAAAGGAAATATCTTCGTATAAAAACTAGACAGAATCATTCCCACAAACTGCGTTGTGATGTGTTCGTTCAACTCACAGAGTTTAACCTTTCTTTTCATAGACCAGTTAGGAAACAGTCTGTTTGTCAATTCTGTAAGTGGATATTCTGACATCTTGTGGCCTTCGTTGGAAACGGGATTTCTTCATATTCTGCTAGAAAGAAGAATTCTCAGAATCTTCCTTGTGTTGTGTGTATTCAACTCAAAGAGTTGAACGATCCTTTACACAGAGCAGGCTTGAAACACTCTTTTTGTGGAATTTGCAAGTGGAGATTTCAGCCGCTTTGAAGTCAATGGTAGAAAAGGAAATATCTTCGTATAAAAACTAGACAGAATGATTCTCAGAAACTTCTTTGTGATGTGTGCGTTCAACTCACAGAGTTTAACCTTTCTTTTCATAGAGCAGTTAGGAAACACTCTGTTTGTAAACTCTGCAAGTGGATATTCAGACCTCTTTGAGGCCTTCGTTGTAAAAGGGATTTCTTCATACTATGCTAGACAGAAGAATTCTCAGTAACTTCCTTGTGTTGTGTGTATTCAACTCACAGAGTTGAACGATTCTTTACACAGAGCAGACTTGTAACACTCTTTTTGTGGAATTTGCAAGTGGAGATTTCAGCCTCTTTGAAGTCAAAGGTAGAAAAGGAAATATCTTCCTATAAAAACTAGACAGAATGATTCTCAGAAACTCCTTTGTGATGTGTGCGTGCAACTCACAGAGTTTAACTTTTCTTTTCATAGAGCAGTTAGGAAACACTCTGTTTGTAAAGTCTGGAAGTGGATATTCAGACCTCCTTGAGGCCTTCGTTGGAAACGGGATTTCTTCATATTCTGCTAGACAGAAGAATTCCCAGTAACTTCCTTGTGTTGTGTGTGTTCGACTCACAGAGTTGAACTTTCATTTACACAGAGCAGATTTGAAACACTCTTTTTGTGGAATTTGCAAATGGAGATTTCAAGCGCTTTGAGGCCAAAGGCAGAAAAGGAAATATCTTCGTATAAAAACTAGACAGAATGATTCTCAGAAACTCCTTTGTGATGTGTGTGTTCAACTCACAGAGATTAACCTTTCTTTTCATAGAGCAGTTAGGAAACACTCTGTTTGTAAAGTCTGCAAGTGGATATTCAGACCTCTTTGAGGCCTTCGTTGGAAACGGGATTTCTCCATACTATGCTAGACAGAAGAATTCTCAGTCACTTCCTTGTGTTGTGTGTATTCAACTCACAGAGTTGAACGATCCTTTACACAGAGCAGACTTGAAACACTCTTTTTGTGGAATTTGCAAGTGGAGATTTCAGCAGCTTTGAGGTCAATAGTAGAAAAGGAAATATCTTCGTAGAAAAACTAGACAGAATGATTCTCAGAAACTCCTTTGTGATGTGTGCGTTCAAGTCACAGAGTTTAACCTTTCTTTTCATAGAGCAGTTAGGAAACACTCTGTTTGTAAAGTCTGCAAGTGGATATTCAGACCTCTTTGAGGCCTTCGTTGGAAACGGGATTTCTTCATATTCTGTTAGACAGAAGAATTCTCAGTAACTTCCCTTGTGTTGTGTGTATTCAACTGACAGAGTTGAACTTTCATTTAGAGAGAGCAGATTTGAAACACTGTTTTTGTGGAATTTGCAAGTGGAGATTTCAAGCGCTTTGTGGCCAAAGGCAGAAAACGAAATATCTTCGTATAAAAACTAGACAGAATCATTCTCAGAAACTGCTCTGCGATGTGTGCGTTCAACTCTCAGAGTTTAACTTTGCTTTTCATTCAGCAGTTTGGAAACACTCTGTTTGTAAAGTCTGCACGTGGATAATTTGACCACTTAGAGGCCTTCGTTGGAAACGGGTTTTTTTCCTGTAAGGCTAGACAGAAGAATTCTCAGTAACTTCCTTGTGTTGTGTGTATTCAACTCACAGAGTTGAACGATCCTTTACAGAGAGCAGACTTTAAACACTCTTTTTGTGGAATTTGCAAGTGGAGATTTCAGCCGCTTTGAGGTCAATGGAAGAAAAGGAAATATCTTCGTATAAAGACTAGACAGAATGATTCTCAGAAACTCCTTTGTGATGTGTGCGTTCAACTCACAGAGTTTAACCTTTCTTTTCATAGAGCAGTTAGGAAACACTCTGTTTGTAAAGTCTGCAAGTGGATATTCAGACCTCTTTGAGGCCTTCGTTGGAAACGGGTTTTTTCCATATAAGGCTAGTCAGAAGAATTCTCAGTAACTTCCTTGTGTTGTGTGTGTTCAACTCACAGAGTTGAAATTTCATTTACACAGAGCAGATTTGAAACACTCTTTTTGTGGAAATTGCAAATGGAGATTTCAAGCGCTTTGAGGCCAAAGGCAGAAAAAGAAATATCTTCGTATAAAAACTGGACAGAATCATTCTCAGAAACTGCTCTGCGATGTGTGCGTTCAACTCTCAGAGTTTAACTTTGCTTTTCATTCAGCAGTTTGGAAACACTCTGTTTGTAAAGTCTGCACGTGGATAATTTGAACACTTAGAGGCCTTCGTTGGAAACGGGTTTTTTTCATGTAAGGCTAGACAGAAGAATTCCCAGTAACTTCCTTGTGTTGTGTACATTCAACTCACAGAGTTGAACGTTCCCTTAGACAGAGCAGATTTGAAACACTCTTTTTGTGCAATTGGCAAGTGGTGATTTCAGCCGCTTTGAGGTCAATGGTAGAAAAGGAAATATCTTCGTATAAAAACTAGACAGAATGATTCTCAGAAACTCCTTTAGGATGTGTGCGTTCAACTCACAGGGTTTAACCTTTCTTTTCATAGAGTAGTTAGGAAACACTCTGTTTGTAAACTCTGCAAGTGGATATTCAAACCTCTTTGAGGCCTTCGTTGCAAACGGGATTTCTTCATATTATTGCTGACAGAAGAATTCTCAGAAACTTCCCTTGTGTTTTGTGTATTCAACTCACAGAGTTGAACGATCCTTTAAACAGAGCAGACTTGAAACACTCTTTTTGTGGAATTTGCAAGTGGAGATTTCAGCCGCTTTGAGGTCAATGGTAGAAAAGGAAATATCTTCGTATAAAAACTAGACAGAATGATTCTGAGAAACTCCTTTGTGATGTGTGCGTTCAACTCACAGAGTTTAACCTTTCTTTTCATAGAGCAGTTAGGAAACACTCTGTTTGTAAAGTCTGCAAGTGGATATTCAGACCTCTTTGAGGCCTTCGTTGGAAACGGGATTTTTTCATATAAGGCTAGACAGAAGAATTCTCAGTAACTTCCTTGTGTTGTGTGTATTCAACTCACAGAGTTGAACGATCCTTTACACAGAGCAGACTTGAAACAGTCTTTTTGTGGAATTTGCAAGTGGAGATTTCAGCCGCTTTGAGGTCAATGGTAGAATAGGAAATATCTTCCTATAGAAACTAGACAGAATGATTCTCAGAAACTCCTTTGTGATGTGTGCGTTCAACTCACAGAGTTTAACCTTTCTTTTCATAGAGCAGTTAGGAAACACTCTGTTTGTAAAGTCTGCAAGTGGATATTCAGACATCCTTGAGGCTTTCGTTGGAAACGGGATTTCTTCATATTCTGCTAGACAGAAGAATTCCCAGTAACTTCCTTGTGTTGTGTGTGTTCAATTCACAGAGTTGAACTTTCATGTACACAGAGCAGATTTGAAACACTCTTTTTGTGGAATTTGCAAATGGAGATTTCAAGCGCTTTGAGGCCAAAGGCAGAAAAGGAAATATCTTCGTATAAAAACTAGACAGAATCATTCTCAGAAACTGCTCTGCGATGTGTGCGTTCAACTCTCAGAGTTTAACTTTTCTTTTCATTCAGCAGTTTGGAAACACTCTGTTTGTAAAGTCTGCACGTGGATATTTTGACCACTTAGAGGCCTTCGTTGGAAACGGTTTTCTTTCCTGTAAGGCTAGACAGAAGAATTCCCAGTAACTTCCTTGTGTTGTGTGCATTCAACTCACAGAGTTGAACGTTCCCTTAGACTGAGCAGATTTGAAACACTCTATTTGTGCAATTTGCAAGTGTAGATTTCAAGCGCTTTAAGGTCAATGGCAGAAAAGGAAATATCTTCGTTTCAAAACTAGACAGAATCATTCCCACAAACTGCGTTGTGATGTGTTCGTTCAACTCACAGAGTTTAACCTTTCTGTTCATAGAGCAGTTAGGAAACACTCTGTTTGTAAAGTCTGCAAGTGGATTTTGAGACCTCCTTGAGGCCTTCGTTGGAAACGGGATTTCTTCATATTCTGCTAGACAGAAGAATTCTCAGTAACTTCCTTGTGTTGTGTGTATTCAACTCACAGAGTTGAACGATCCTTTACACAGAGCAGACTTGTAACACTCTTTTTCTGGAATTTCCAAGTGGAGATTTCAGCCGCTTTGAAGTCAAAGGTAGAAAAGGAAATATCTTCCTATAAAAACTAGACAGAATGATTATCATAAAATCCTTTGTGATGTGTGCGTTCAACTCACAGAGTTTAACTTTTCTTTTCATAGAGCAGTTAGGAAACACTCTGTTTGTAAAGTCTGCAAGTGGATATTCAGACCCCTTTGAGGCCTTCGTTGGAAACGGGATTTCTTCATATTATGCTAGACAGAAGAATTCCCAGTAACTTCCTTGTGTTGTGTGTGTTCAACTCACAGAGTTGAACTTTCATTTACACAGAGCAGATTTGAAACACTCTTTTTGTGGAATTTGCAAGTGGAGATTTCAAGCGCTTTGAGGCCAAAGGCAGAAAAGGAAATATCTTCGGTATAAAAACTAGACAGAATGATTCTCAGAAACTCCTTTGTGATGTGTGCGTTCAACTCACAGAGTTTAACCTTTCTTTTCATAGAGCAGTTAGGAAACACTCTGTTTGTAAAGTCTGCAAGTGGATATTCAGACCTCTTTGAGGCCTTCGTTGGAAACGGGATTTCTTCATAATATGCTAGACAGAAGAATTCTCAGTAACTTCCTTGTGTTGTGTGTATTCAACTCACAGAGTTGAACGAACCTTTACACAGAGCAGACTTGAAACACTCTTTTTGTGGAATTTGCAAGTGTAGATTTCATCCGCTTTGAGGTCAATGGTAGAAAAGGAAATATCTTCGTATAAAAACTAGACAGAATGATTCTCATAAACTCCTTTGTGATGTGTGCGTTCAACTCACAGAGTTTAACTTTTCTTTTCATAGAGCAGTTAGGAAACACTCTGTTTGTAAAGTCTGCAAGTGGATATTCAGACCTCCTTGACTCCTTCGTTGGAAACGGGATTTCTTCATATTCTGCTAGACAGAAGGATTCCCAGTAACTTCCTTGTGTTGTGTGTGTTCAACTCACAGAGTTGAACTTTCATTTACAAAGAGCAGATTTGAAACACTCTTTTTGTGGAATTTGCAATTGGAGATTTCAAGCGCTTTGAGGCCAAAGGCAGAAAAGGAAATATCTTCGTATAAAAACTAGACAAAATGATTCTCAGAATCTTCTTTGTGATGTGTGTGTTCAACTCACAGAGTTTAACCTTTCTTTTCATAGAGCAGTTAGGAAACACTCTGTTTGTAAACTCTGCAAGTGGATATTCAGACCTCATTGAGGCTTTCGTTGGAAACGGGATTTCTTCATACTCTGCTAGACAGAAGAATTCTCAGTAACTTCCTTGTGTTGTGTGTATTCAACTCACAGAGTTGAACGACCCTTTACACAGAGCGGACTTGAAACACTCTTTTTGTGGAATTTGCAAGTGGAGATTTCAGCCGCGTTGAGGTCAATGGTAGAAAAGGAAATATCTTCGTATAGAAACTTGACAGAATGATTCTCAGAAACTCCTTTGTGATGTGTGCGTTCAACTCACAGAGTTCAACCTTTCTTTTAATAGAGCAGTTGGGAAACACTCTGTTTCTAAAGTCTGCAAGTGGATATTCAGACTTCTTTGAGGCCTTCGTTGGAAACGGGATTTCTTCATATTCTGCTAGACAGAAGAATTCTCAGTAACTTCCTTGTGTTGTGTGTATTCAACTGACAGAGTTGAACTTTCATTTAGAGAGGGCAGATTTGTAACACTGTTTTTGTGGAATTTGCAAGTGGAGATTTCAAGCGCTTTGCGGCCAAAGGCAGAAAAGGAAATATCTTCGTATAAAAACTAGACAGAATCATTCTCAGAAACTGCTGCGTGACGCGTGCGTTCAACTCTCAAAGTTTAACTTTTCTTTTCATTCAGCGGTTTGGAAACACTCTGTTTGTAAAGTCTGCACGTGGATATTTTGACCACTTAGAGGCCTTCGTTGGAAACGGGTTTTTTTCATGTAAGGCTAGACAGAAGAATTCCCAGTAACTTCCTTGTGTTGTGTACATTCAACTCACAGAGTTGAACGTTCCCTTAGAAAGAGCAGATTTGAAACACTCTTTTTGTGCAATTGGCAAGTGGTGATTTCAGCCGCTTTGAGGTCAATGGTATAAAAGGAAATACCTTCGTATAAAAACTAGACAGAATCATTCCCACAAACTGCGTTGTGATGTGTTCGTTGAACTCACAGAGTTTAACCTTTCTTTTCATAGAGCAGTTAGGAAACAGTCTGTTTGTAAATTCTGTAAGTGGATATTCTGACATCTTGTGGCCTTCGTTGGAAACGGGATTTCTTCATATTCTGCTAGACAGAAGAATTCTCAGAAACTTCCTTGTGTTTTGTGTTTTCAACTCACAGAGTTGAACGATGCTTTACACAGAGTAGACTTGAAACACTCTTTTTGTGTAATTTGCAAGTGGAGATTTCAGCCGCTTTGAGGTCAATGGTAGAAAAGGAAATATCTTCGTATAAAAACTAGACAGAATGATTCTCAGAAACTCCTTTGTGATGTGTGCGTTCAACTCACAGAGTTTAACCTTTCTTTTCATAGAGCAGTTAGGAAACACTCTGTTTGTAAAGTCTGCAAGTGGATATTCAGACCTCCTTGAGGCCTTCGTTGGATACGGGATTTCTTCATATTATGCTAGACAGAAGAATTCTCAGTAACTTCCTTGTGTTGTGTGTATTCAACTCACAGAGTTGAACGATCCTTTACACAGAGCAGAGTTGAAACACTCTTTTTGTGGAATTTGCAAGTGGAGATTTCAGCCGCTTTGAGGTCAATGGTAGAATAGGAAATATCTTCCTATAGAAACTAGACAGAATGATTCTCAGAAAATCTTTTGTGATGTGTGCGTTCAACTCACAGAGTTTAACTTTTCTTCTCATAGAGCAGTTAGGAAACACTCTGTTTGTAAAGTCTGCAAGTGGATATTCAGACCTCTTTGAGGCCTTCGTTGGAAACGGGATTTCTTCATATTATGCAAGACAGAATAATTCTCAGTAACTTCCTTGTGTTGTGTGTATTCAACTCACAGAGTTGAAGGATCCTTTACAGAGAGCAGGCTTGAAACACTCTTTTTGTCGAATTTGCAAGTGGAGATTTCAGCCGCTTTGAGGTGAATGGTAGAATAGGAAATATCTTCTTATAGAAACTAGACAGAATCATTCTCAGAAACTGCTCTGCGATGTGTGCGTTCAACTCTCAGAGTTTAACTTTTCTTTTCATTCAGCAGTTTGGAAACACTCTGTTTGTAAAGTCTGCACGTGGATAATTTGACCACTTAGAGGCCTTCGTTGGAAACGGGTTTTTTTCATATAAGGCTAGACAGAAGAATTCCCAGTATCTTCCTTGTGTTGTGTGCATTCAACTCACAGAGTTGAACGTTCCTTTAGACAGAGCAGATTGGAAACACTCTTTTTGTGCAATTTGCAAGTGGAGATTTCAAGCGCTTTAAGGGCAATTGCAGAAAAGGAAATATCTTCGTTTCAAAACTAGACAGAATCATTCCCACAAACTGCGTTGTGATGGGTGCGTTCAACTCACAGAGTTTAACCTTTCTTTTCATAGAGCAGTTAGGAAACACTCTGTTTGTAAAGTCTGGAAGTGGATATTCTGACCTCTTTGTGGCCTTCGCTGGAACCGGGATTTCTTCATATAATACTAGACAGAAGAATTCTCAGTAACTTCTTTGTGTTGTGTGTATTCAACTCACAGAGTTGAACGATCCTTTACACAGAGCAGACTTGAAACACTCGTTTTGTGGAATTTGCAAGTGGAGATTTCAGCCGCTTTGAGGTCCATGGTAGAAAAGGAAATATCTTCGTATAAAAACTTGACAGAATGATTCTCATGAACTCCTTTGTGATGTGTGCGTTCAACTCAAAGAGTTTAACCTTTCTGTTCATAGAGCAGTTAGGAAACACTCTGTTTGTAAAGTCTGCAAGTGGATATTCAGACCTCCTTGAGGCCTTCGTTGGAAACGGGATTTCTTCATATTCTGCTAGACAGAAGAATTCTCAGTAACTTCCTTGTGTTGTGTGTATTCAACTCAAAGAGTTCAACGATCCTTTATACAGAGCAGACTTGAAACACTCTTTTTGTGGAATTTGCAAATGGAGATCTCAGCCGCTTTGTGGTCAGTAGTAGAAAAGGAAATATCTTCGTATAAAAACTAGACAGAATGATTCTCAGAAACTTCTTTGTGATGTGTGCGTTCAACTCACAGAGTTTAACCTTTCTTTTCATAGAGCAGTTAGGAAACACTCTGTTTGTAAAGTCTGCAAGTGGATATTCAGACCTCTTTGAGCCCTTCGTTGGAAACGGGTTTTTTTCATTTAAGGCTAGACAGAAGAATTCTCAGTAACTTCCTTGTGTTGTGTGTATTCAACTCAAAGAGTTGAACTTTCATTTAGAGAGAGCAGATTTGAAACACTGTTTTTGTGGAATTTGCAAGTGGAGATTTCAAGCGCTTTGGGGCCAAAGGCAGAAAAGGAAATATCTTCGTATAAAAACTAGACAGAATCATTCTCAGAAAACTGCTCTGTGATGTGTGCGTTCAACTCTCAGAGTTTAACTTTTCTTTTCATTCAGCAGTTTGGAAACACTCTGTTTCTAAAGTCTGCACGTGGATAATTTGACCACTTAGAGGCCTTCGTTGGAAACGGGTTTTTTTCATGTAAGGCTAGACAGAAGAATTCCCAGTAACTTCCTTGTGTTGTGTGCATTCAACTCACAGAGTTGAACGTTCCCTTAGACAGAGCAGATTTGAAACACTCTATTTGTGCAATTTGCAAGTGTAGATTTCAAGCGCTTTAAGGTCAACGGCAGAAAAGGAAATATCTTCGTTTCAAAACTAGACACAATCATTCTCAGAAACTGCTCTGCGATGTGTGCGTGCAACTCTCAGAGTTTAACTTTTCTTTTCATTCAGCAGTTTGGAAACACTCTGTTTGTAAAGTCTGCACGTGGATAACTTGACCACTTAGAGGCCTTCGTTGGAAACGGGTTTTTTTCATGTAAGGCTAGACAGAAGAATTCTCAGTAACTTCCTTGTGTTGTGTGTATTCAACTCACAGAGTTGAACGATCGTTTACACAGAGCAGACTTGTAACACTCTTTTTGTGGAATTTGCAAGTGGAGATTTCAGCCACTTTGAAGTCAAAGGTAGAAAAGGAAATAACTTCCTATAAAAACTAGACAGAATGATTCTCAGAAACTTCTTTGTGATGTGTGCGTTCAACTCACAGAGTTTAACCTTTCTTTTCATAGAGCAGTTAGGAAACACTCTGTTTGTAAACTCTACAAGTGGATATTCACACCTCTTTGAGGCCTTCGTTGGAAACGGGATTTCTTCATACTGTGCTAGACAGAAGAATTCTCATTAACTTCCTTGTGTTGTGTGTATTCAACTGACAAAGTTGAACTTTCATTTAGAGAGAGCAGATTTGAAACACTGTTTTTGTGGAATTTGCAAGTGGAGATTTCAAGCGCTTTGGGGCCAAAGGCAGAAAAGGAAATATCTTCGTATAAAAACTAGACAGAATCATTCTCAGAAACTGCTCCGTGATGTGTGCGTTCAACTCTCAGAGTTTAACTTTTCTTTTCATTCAGCGGTTTGGAAACACTCTGTTTGTAAAGTCTGCACGTGGAAATTTTGACCACTTAGAGGCCTTCGTTGGAAACGGGATTTTTTCATGTAAGGCTAGACAGAAGAATTCCCCGTAACTTCCTTGTGTTGTGTGCATTCAACTCACAGAGTTGAACGTTCCCTTAGACAGAGCAGATTTGAAACACTCTATTTGTGCAATTTGCAAGTGTAGTTTTCAAGCTCTTTAAGGTCAACGGCAGAAAAGGAAATATCTTCGTTTCAAAACTAGACAGAATCATTCCCACAAACTGCGTTGTGATGTGTTCGTTCAACTCACAGAGTTTAACCTTTCTGTTCATAGAGCAGTTAGGAAACACTCTGTTTGTAAAGTCTGTAAGTGGATATTCTGACATCTTGTGGCCTTCAGTTGGAAACGGGATTTCTTCATATTCTGCTAGACAGAAGAATTCTCAGTAACTTCCTTGTGTTGTGTGTATTCAACTCACAGAGTTGAACGATCCTTTACACAGAGCAGACTTGAAACACTCTTTTTGTGGAATTTGCAACTGGAGATTTCAGCCGCTTTGAGGTCAATGGTAGAAAAGGAAACTATCTTCATATAAAGACTAGACAGAATGATTCTCAGAAACTCCTTTGTGATGTGTGCGTTCAACTCACAGAGTTTAACCTTTCTTTTCATAGAGCAGTTAGGAAACACTCTGTTTGTAAAGTCTGCAAGTGGATATTGAGACATCTTTGAGGCTTTCGTTGGAAACAGGATTTCTTCATATTCTGCTAGACAGAAGAATTCTCAGTAACTTCCTTGTGTTGTGTGTATTAAACTGACAGAGTTGAACTTTCATTTAGAGAGAGCAGATTTGTAAAACTGTTTTTGTGGAATTTGCAAGTGGAGATTTCAAGCGCTTTGGGGCCAAAGGCAGAAAAGGAATTATCTTGGTATAAAAACTAGACAGAATCATTCTCAGAAACTGCTCTGCGATGTGTGCGTTCAACTCTCAGAGTTTAACTTTTCTTTTCATTCAGCAGTTTGGAAACACTCTGTTTGTAAAGTCTGCACGTGGATAACGTGACCACTTAGAGGCCTTCGTTGGAAACGGGTTTTTTTCATGTAAGGCTAGACAGAAGAATTCTCAGAAACTTCCTTGTGTTGTGTGTATTCAACTCACAGAGTTGAATGATCCTTTACACAGAGCAGACTTGAAACACTCTTTTTGTGGAATTTGCAAGTGGAGATTTCAGCCGCTTTGAGGTCAATGGTAGAATAGGAAATATCTTCCTATGGAAACTAGACAGAATGATTCTCAGAAACTCCTTTGTGCTGTGTGCGTTCAACTCACAGAGTTTAACCTTTCTTTTCATAGAGCAGTTAGGAAACACTCTGTTTGTTAAGTCTGCAGGTGGATATTCAGACCTCTTTGAGGCCTTCGTTGGAAAGGGGATTTCTTCATATTATGCTAGACAGAAAGAATTCTCAGTAACTTCCTTGTGTTGTGTGTATTCAACTGACAGAGTTGAACTATCATTTAGAGAGAGCAGATTTGAAACACTGTTTTTGTGGAATTTGCAAGTGGAGATTTCAAGCGCTTTGGGGCCAAAGGCAGAAAAGGAAATATCTTCGTATAAAAACTAGACAGAATGATTCTCAGAAACTCCTTTGTGATGTGGGCGTTCAACTCACAGAGTTTAACCTTTCTTTTCATAGAGCAGTTAGGAAACACTCTGTTTGTAAAGTCTGCAAGTGGATATTCAGACCTCTTTGTGGCCTTCATTGGAAACGGGATTTCTTCATATTCTGCTAGAGAGAAGTATTCTGAGAAACTTCCTTGCGTTGTGTGTATTCAACTCACAGAGTTCAACGATCCTTTACACAGAGCAGACTTGAAACACTCTTTTTGTGGAATTTGCAAGTGGAGATTTCAGCCGCTTTGAGGTCAATGGTAGAATAGGAAATATCTTCGTATAAAAACTAGACAGAAATGATTCTCAGAAACTCCTTTGTGATGTGTGCGTTCAAGTCACAGAGTTTAACCTTTCTTTTCATAGAGCAGTTAGGAAACACTCTGTTTGTAAAGTCTGCAAGTGGATATTCAGACCTCTTTGAGGCCTTCGTTGGAAACGGGATTTCTTCATATTCTGCTAGACAGAAGAATTCCCAGTAACTTCCTTGTGTTGTGTGTCTTCAACTCACAGAGTTGAACTTTCATTTACACAGAGCAGATTTGAAACACTCTTTTTGTGGAATTTGCAAATGGAGATTTCAAGCGCTTTGAGGCCAAAGGCAGAAAAGGAAATATCTTCGTATAAAAACTTGACAGAATCATTCTCAGAAACTGCTCTGCGATGTGTGCGTTTAACTCTCAGAGTTTAACTTTTCTTTTCATTCAGCAGTTTGGAAACACTCTGTTTGTAAAGTCTGCACGTGGATAATTTGACCACTTAGAGGCCTTCGTTGGAAACGGGTTTTTTTCATGTAAGGCTAGACAGAAGAATTCTCAGTAACTTCCTTGTGTTGTGTGTATTCAACTCACAGAGTTGAACGATCCTTTACACAGAGCAGACTTGAAACATTCTTTTGGTGGAATTTGCAAGTGGAGATTTCAGCCGCTTTGAGGTCAATGGTAGAATAGGAAATATCTTCCTATACAAACTAGACAGAGTGATTCTCAGAAACTCCTTTGTGATGTGTGCGTTCAACTCACAGAGTTTAACCTTTCTTTTCATAGAGCAGTTAGGAAACACTCTGTTTCTAAAGTCTGCAAGTGGATATTCAGACCTCTTTGAGGCCTTCGTTGGAAACGGGTTTTTTTCATATAAGGCTAGAGAGAAGAATTCCCAGTAACTTCCTTGTGTTGTGTGTGTTCCACTCACAGAGTTGAACTTTCGTTTACACAGAGCAGATTTGAAACACTCTTTTTGTGGAATTTGCAAGTGGAGATTTCAAGCGCTTTGAGGCCAAAGGCAGAAAAGGAAATATCTTCGTATAAAAACTAGACAGAATCATTCTCAGAAACTGCTGCGTGATGTGTGCGTTCAACTCTCAGAGTTTAACATTTCTTTTCATTCAGCGGTTTGGAAACACTCTGTTTGTAAAGTCTGCACGTGGAAATTTTGACCACTTAGAGGCCTTCGTTGGAAACGGGTTTTTTTCATGTAAGGCTAGACAGAAGAATTCTCAGTAACTTCCTTGTGTTGTGTGTATTCAACTCACAGAGTTGAACGATCCTTTACACAGAGCAGACTTGTAACACTCTTTTTGTGGAATTTGCAAGTGGAGATTTCAGCCGCTTTGAAGTCAAAGGTAGAAAAGGAATTATCTTCCTATAAAAACTAGACAGAATGATTCTCAGAAACTCCTTTGTGATGTGTGTGTTCAACTCACAGAGTTTAACATTTCTTTTCATAGAGCAGTTAGGAAACACTCTGTTTGGAAAGTCTGCAAGTGGATATTCAGACCTCTTTGAGGCCTTCGTTGGAAACGGGTTTTTTTCATATAAGGCTAGACAGAAGAATTCTCAGTAACTTCCTTGTGTTGTGTGTATTCAACTGACAGAGTTGAACTTTCATTTAGAGAGAGCAGATTTGAAACTCTGTTTTTGTGGAATTTGCAAGTGGAGATTTCAAGGGCTTTGGGGCCAAAGGCAGAAAAGGAAATATCTTCGTATAAAAACTAGACAGAATCATTCTCAGAAACTGCTGCGTGATGTGTGCGTTCAACTCTCAGAGTTTAACTTTTCTTTTCATTCAGCGGTTTGGAAACACTCTGTTTGTAAAGTCTGCACGTGGATAATTTGACCACTTAGAGGCCTTCGTTGGAAACGGGTTTTTTTTCATGTAAGGCTAGACAGAAGAATTCCCAGTAACTTCCTTCTGTTGTGTGCATTCAACTCACAGAGTTGAACGTTCCCTTAGACAGAGCAGATTTGAAACACTCTATTTGTGCAATTTGCAAGTATAGATTTCAAGCGCTTTAAGGTCAACGGCAGAAAAGGAAATATCTTCATTTCAAAACTAGACAGAATCATTCCCACAAACTGCGTTGTGATGTGTTCGCTCAACTTACAGAGTTTAACCTTTCTTTTCATAGAGCAGTTAGGAAACAGTCTGTTTGTAAATTCTGTAAGTGGATATTCTGACATCTTGTGGCCTTCGTTGGAAACGGGATTTCTTCATATTCTGCTAGACAGAAGAATTCTCAGTAACTTCCTTGTGTTGTGTTTATTCAACTCACAGAGTTGAATGATCCTTTACACAGAGCAGACTTGAAACACTCTTTTTGTGGAAATTGCAAGTGGAGATTTCAGCCGCTTTGAGGTCAACGGTAGAAAAGTAAATATCTTCGTATAAAGACTAGACAGAATGATTCTCAGAAACTCCTTTGTGATGTGTGCGATCAACTCACAGAGTTTAACCTTTCTTTTCATAGAGCAGTTAGGATACACTCTGTTTGTAAAGTCTGCAAGTGGATATTCAGACATCCTTGAGGCTTTCGTTGGAAACGGGATTTCTTCATATTCTGCTAGAAAGAAGAATTCCCAGTAACTTCCTTGTGTTGTGTGTGTTCAACTCACAGAGTTGAACTTTCATTTACACAGAGCAGATTTGAAACACTCTTTTTGTGGAATTTGCAAGTGGAGGTTTCAAGCGCTTTGAGGCCAAAGGCAGAAAAGGAAATATCTTCGTATAAAAACTAGACAGAATCATTCTCAGAAACTGCTCTGCGATGTGTGCGTTCAACTCTCAGAGTTTAACTTTTCTTTTCATTCAGCAGTTTGGAAACACTCTGTTTGTAAAGTCTGCACGTGGATAATTTCACCACTTAGAGGTCTTCGTTGGAAACGGGTTTTTTTCATGTAAGGATAGACAGAAGAATTCCCAGTAACTTCCTTGTGTTGTGTACATTCAACTCACAGAGCTGAACGTTCCCTTAGACAGAGCAGATTTGAAACACTCTTTTTGTGCAATTGGCAAGTGGTGATTTCAGCTGCTTTGAGGTCAATGGTAGAAAAGGGAATATCTTCGTATAAAAACTAGACAGAATCATTCCCACAAACTGCGTTGTGATGTGTTCGTTCAACTCACAGAGTTTAACCTTTCTGTTCATAGAGCAGTTAGGAAACACTGTGTTTGTAAAGTCTGTAAGTGGATATTCTGACATCTTGTGGCCTTCGTTGGAAACGGGATTTCTTCATTTTCTGCTAGAAAGTATAATTCTCAGTAACTTCCTTGTGTTGTGTGTATTCAACTCCCAGAGTTGAACGATCCTTTACACAGAGCAGACTTGAAACATTCTTTTTGTGGAATTTGCAAGTGGAGATTTCAGCTGCTTTGAGGTCAATGGTAGAATAGGAAATATCTTCCTATAGAAACTAGACAGAATGATTCTCAGAAAGTCCTTTGTGATGTGTGCGTTCAACTCACAGAGTTTAACCTTTCTTTTCATAGAGCAGTTAGGAAACACTCTGTTTGTAAAGTCTGCAAGTGGATATTCAGACCTCCTTGAGGCCTTCGTTGGAAACAGGATTTCTTCATATTCTGCTAGACAGAAGAATTCTCAGTAACTTCCCTTGTGTTGTGTGTATTCAACTCACAGATTTGAACGATCCTTTACAGAGAGCAGACTTGAAACACTCTTTTTGTGGAATTTGCAAGTGGAGATTTCAGCTGCTTTGAGGTCAATGGTAGAAAAGGAAATATCTTCGTAGAAAAACTAGACAGAATGATTCTCAGAAACTTCTTTGTGATGTGTGCGTTCAACTCACAGAGTTTAACCTTTCTTTTCATAGAGCAGTTAGGAAACACTCTGCTTGTAAACTCTGCAAGTGGATATTCAGACCTCTTTGAGGCCTTCGTTGGAAACGGGATTTCTTCATACTATGCTAGACACAAGAATTCTCAGTAACTTCCTTGTGTTGTGTGTATTCAACTGACAGAGTTGAACTTTCATTTAGACAGAGCAGATTTGAAACACTCTTTTTGTGGAATTTGCAAGTAGAGATTTCAAGCGCTTTGAGTCCAAAGGCAGAAAAGGAAATATCTTCGTATAAAAACTAGACAGAATCATTCTCAGAAACTGCTGCGTGATGTGTGCGTTCAACTCTCCGAGTTTAACTTTTCTTTTCATTCAGCGGTTTGGAAACACTCTGTTTGTAAAGACTGCACGTGGATATTTTGACCACTTAGAGGCCTTCGTTGGAAACGGGTTTTTTTTCATGTAAGGCTAGACAGAAGAATTCCCAGTAACTTCCTTGTGTTGTGTGCATTCAACTCACAGAGTTGAACGTTCCCTTAGACAGAGCAGATTTGAAACACTCTATTTGTGCAATTTGCAAGTGTAGATTTCAAGCGCTTTAAGGTCAATGGTAGAAAAGGAAATATCTTCGTTTCAAAACTAGACAGAATCATTCCCACAAACTGCGTTGTGATGTGTTCGTTCAACTCACAGAGTTTAACCTTTCTTTTCATAGAGCAGTTAGGAAACAGTCTGTTTGTAAACTCTGCAAGTGGATATTCAGACCTCTTTGAGGCCTTCGTTGGAAACGGGATTTCTCCATACTGTGCTAGACAGAAGAATTCTCAGTAACTTCCTTGTGTTGTGTTTATTCAACTCACAGAGCTGAATGATCCTTTACACAGAGCAGACTTGAAACACTCTTTTTGTGGAATTTGCAAGTGGAGATTTCAGCCGCTTTGCGGTCAATGGTAGAAAAGTAAATATCTTCGTATAAAGACTAGACAGAATGATTCTCAGAAACTCCTTTGTGATGTGTGCGTTCAACTCACAGAGTTCAACCTTTCTTTTCATAGAGCAGTTGGGAAACCCTCTGTTTGTAAAGTCTGCAAGTGGATATTCAGACTTCTTTGAGGCCTTCGTTGGAAGCGGGATTTCTTCATGTTCTGCTAGACAGAAGGATTCTCAGTAACTTCCTTGTGTTGTGTGTATTCAACTCACAGAGTTGAACGATCCTTTACACAGAGCAGACTTAAAACACTCTTTTTGTGGAATTTGCAAGTGGAGATTTCAGCCGCTTTGAGGTCAATGTTAGAAAAGGAGATATCTTCGTATAAAAACTAGACAGAATGATTCTCAGAAACTCCTTTGTGATGTGGGCGTTCAACTCACAGAGTTTAACCTTTCTTTTCATAGAGCAGTTAGGAAACACTCTGTTTGTAAGATTGCAAGTGGATATTCAGATATCTTTGAGGCTTTCGTTGGAAACGGGATTTCTTCATATTCTGCTATACAGAAGAATTCTCAGAAACTTCCTTGTGTTGTGTGTATTCAACTCACAGAGTTGAACGATCGTTTACACAGAGCAGACTTGAGACACTCTGTTTGTGGAATTTGTAAGTGGAGATTTCAGCCGCTATGAGGTCAATGGTAGAATAGGAAATATCTTCCTATAGAAACTAGACAGAATCATTCTCAGAAACTGCTCTGTGATGTGTGCGTTCAACTCTCAGAGTTTAACTTTTCTTTTCATTCAGCAGTTTGGAAACACTCTGTTTGTAAAGTCTGCACGTGGATAATTTGACCACTTAGAGGCCTTCATTGGAAAAGGGTTTTTTTCATGTGAGGCTAGACAGAAGAATTCCCAGTAACTTCCTTGTGTTGTGTACATTGAACTCACAGAGTTGAACGTTCCCTTAGACAGAGCAGATTTGAAACACTCTTTTTGTGCAATTGGCAAGTGGAGATTTCAAGCGCTTTAAGGTCAATGGCAGAAAAGGAAATATCTTCGTTTCAAAACTAGACAGAATCATTCCCACAAACTGCGTTGTGAGGTGTTCGTTCAACTCACAGAGTTTAACCTTTCTTTTCATAGAGCAGTTAGGAAACAGTCTGTTTGTAAATTCTGTAAGTGGATATTCTGACATCTTGTGGCCTTCTTTGGAAACGGGATTTCTTCATATTCTGCTAGACAGAAGAATTCTCAGTAACTTCCTTGTGTTGTGTGTATTCAACTCACAGAGTTCAACGATCCTTTACACAGAGCAGACTTGAAACACTCTTTTTGTGGAATTTGCAAGTGGAGATTTCAGCCGACTTGAGGTCAATGGTAGAAAAGGAAATATCTTCTTATAAAAACTAGACAGAATGATTCTCAGAAACTCCTTTGTGATGTGTGCGTTCAACTCACAGAGTTTAACCTTTCTTCTCATAGAGCAGTTAGGAAACATTCTGTTTGTAAAGTCTGCAAGTGGATATTCAGACCTCTTTGAGGCCTTCGTTGGAAACGGGATTTCTTCATATTATGCTAGACAGAAGAATTCTCAGTAACTTCCTTGTGTTGTGTGTATTCAACTCACAGAGTTCAATGATCATTTACACAGAGCAGACTTCAAACACTCTTTTTGTGGAATTTGCAAGTGGAGATTTCAGCCGACTTGAGGTCAATGGTAGAAAAGGAAATATCTTCGTATAAAAACTAGACAGAATGATTCTCAGAAACTCCTTTGTGATGTGTGCGTTCAACTCACAGAGTTTCACCTTTCTTTTCATAGAGCAGTTAGGAAACACTCTGTTTCTAAAGTCTGCAAGTGGATATTCAGACCTCTTTGAGGCCTTCGTTGGAAACGGGTTTTTTTCATATAAGGCTAGAGAGAAGAATTCCCAGTAACTTCCTTGTGTTGTGTGCGTTCAACTCACAGAGTTGAACTTTCATTTACACAGAGCAGATTTGAAACACTCTTTTTGTGGAATTTGCAAGTGGAGATTTCAAGCGCTTTGAGGCCAAAGGCAGAAAAGGAAATATCTTCGTTTCAAAACTAGACAGAATCATTCTCAGAAAGTGCTCTGCGATGTGTGCGTTCAACTCTCAGAGTTTAACTTTTCTTTTCATTCAGCAGTTTGGAAACACTCTGTTTGTAAAGTCTGCGCGTGGATATTTTGACCACTTAGAGGCCTTCGTTGGAAACGGGTTTTTTTCTTGTAAGGCTAGACAGAAGAATTCCCAGGAACTTCCATGTGTTGTGTACATTCAACTCACAGAGTTGAACGTTCCCTTAGACAGAGCAGATTTGAAACACTCTTTTTGTGCAATTGGCAAGTGGTGATTTCAGCCGCTTTGAGGTCAATGGTAGAAAAGGAAATATCTTCGTATAAAAACTAGACAGAATGATTCTCAGAAACTTCATTGTGACGTGTGCGTTCAACTCACAGAGTTTAACCTTTCTTTTCATAGAGCAGTTAGGAAACACTCTGTTTGTAAAGTCTGCAAGTGGATATTCAGACCTCTTTGAGGCCTTCGTTGGAAACGGGATTTCTTCCTACTGTGCTAGACAGAAGTATTCTCAGTAACTTCCTTGTGTTGTGTGTATTCAACTCACAGAGTTGAACGATCCTTTACACAGAGCAGACTTGAAACACTGTTTTTGTGGAATTTGCAAGTGGAGATTTCAAGCGCTTTGAGGCTAAAGGCAGAAAAGGAAATATCTTCGTTTCAAAACTAGACAGAATCATTCTCAGAAACTGCTCTGCGATGTGTGCGTTCAACTCTCAGAGTTTAACTTTTCTTTTCATTCATAAGTTTGGAAACACTCTGTTTGTAAAGTCTGCACGTGGATAACTTGACCACTTAGAGGCCTTCGTTGGAAACGGGTTTTTTTCATGTAAGGCTAGACAGAAGAATTCTCAGTAACTTCCTTGTGTTGTGTGTATTCAACTCACAGAGTTGAACGATCCTTTACACAGAGCAGACTAGAAACACTCTTTTTGTGGAATTTGCAAGTGGAGATTTCAGCCCCTTTGAGGTCAAAGGTAGAAAAGGAAATATCTTCGTATAAAAACTAGACAGAATGATTCTCAGAAACTCCTTTGTGATGTGTGCGTTCAACTCACAGAGTTTAACCTTTCTTTTCATAGAGCAGTTGGGAAACACTCTGTTTGTAAAGTCTGCAAGTGGATATTCAGACATCCTTGAGGCTTTCGTTGGAAACGGGATTTCTTCATATTCTGCTAGAAAGGAGAATTCCCAGTAACTTCCTTGTGTTGTGTGTGTTCAACTCACAGAGTTGAACTTTAATTTACGCAGAGCAGATTTGAAACACTCTTTTTGTGGAATTTGCATTTGGAGATTTCAAGCGCTTTGAGGCCAAAGGCAGAAAAGGAAATATCTTCGTATAAAAACTAGACAGAATCATTCTCAGAAACTGCTCTGTGATGTGTGCGTTCAACTCTCAGAGTTTAACTTTTCTTTTCATTCAGCAGTTTGGAAACACTCTGTTTGTAAAGTCTGCAAGTGGATAATTTGACCACTTAGAGGCCTTCGTTGGAAACGGGTTTTTTTCATGTAAGGCTAGACAGAAGAATTCTCAGTAACTTCCTTGTGTTGTGTGTATTCAACTCACAGAGTTGAACGATCCTTTACACAGAGCAGAATTGAAACACTGTTTTTGTGGAATTTACAAGTGGAGATTTCAGCCGCTTTGAGGTCAATGGTAGAAAAGGAAATATCTTCCTATAGAAACTAGACAGAATGATTCTCAGAAACTCCTTTGTGATGTGTGCGTTCAACTCACAGAGTTTAACCTTTCTTTTCATAGAGCAGTTAGGAAACACTCTCTTTGTAAAGTCTGCAAGTGGATATTCAGACATCTTTGAGGCTTTCGTTGGAAACGGGATTTCTTCATATTCTGCTAGACAGAAGAATTCTCAGTAACTTCCTTGTGTTGTGTGTATTCAACTCACAGAGTTGAACTTTCATTCACACAGAGCAGATTTGAAACACTCTTTTTATGGAATTTGCAAGTGGAGATTTCAAGCGCTTTGAGGCCAAAGGCAGAAAAGGAAATATCTTCGTTTCAAAACTAGACAGAATCATTCTCAGAAACTGCTCTGCGATGTGTGCGTTCAACTCTCAGAGTTTAACTTTTCTTTTCATTCAGCAGTTTGAAAACACTCTGTTTGTAAAGTCTGCACGTGGATATTTTGACCACTTAGAGGTCTTCGTTGGAAACGGGTTTTTTTCCTGTAAGGCTAGACAGAAGAATTCCCAGTAACTTCCTTGTGTTGTGTACATTCAACTCACAGAGTTGAACGTTTCCTTAGACAGAGCAGATTTGAAACACTCTTTTTGTGCAATTGGCAAGTGGTGATTTCAGCCGCTTTGAGGTCAATGGTAGAAAAGGAAATATCTTCGTATAAAAACTAGACAGAATCATTCCCACAAACTGCGTTGTGATGTGTTCGTTCAACTCACAGAGTTTAACCTTTCTTTTCATAGAGCAGTTAGGAAACAGTCTGTTTGTAAATTCTTTAAGTGGATATTCTGACATCTTGTGACCTTCGTTGGAAACGGGATTTCTTCATATTCTGCTAGACATAAGAATTCTCAGTAACTTCCTTGTGTTCTGTGTATTCAACTCACAGAGTTGAACCATCCTTTACACAGAGCAGACTTGAAACACTCTTTTTGTGGAATTTGCAAGTGGAGATTTCAGCCGCTTTGAGGTCAATGGTAGAAAAGGAAATATCTTCGTATAAAGACTAGACAGAATGATTCTCATAAACTCCTTTGTGATGTGTGCGTTCAATTCACAGAGTTTAACCTTTCTTTTCATAGAGCAGTTAGGAAACACTCTGTTTGTAAAGTCTGCAAGTGGATATTCAGACATCCTTGAGGCCTTCGTTGGAAACGGGATTTCTTCATATTCTGCTAGACAGAAGAATTCTCAGAATCTTCCTTGTGTTGTGTGTATTCAACTCACAGAGTTGAACGATCCTTTACACAGAGCAGACTTGAAACACTCTTTTTGTGGAATTTCCAAGTGGAGATTTCAGCCGCTTTGAGGTCCATGGTAGAAAAGGAAATATCTTCGTATAAAAACTAGACAGAATGATTCTCAGAAACTCCTTTGTGATGTGTGCGTTCAACTCACAGAGTTTAACCTTTCTTTCCATAGAGCAGTTAGGAAACACTCTGTTTGTAAAGTCTGCAAGTGGATATTCAGACCTCCTTGAGGCCTTCGTTGGAAACGGGATTTCTTCATATTATGCTAGACACAAGAATTCCCAGTAACTTCCTTGTGATGTGTGTGTTCAACTCACAGAGTTGAACTTTCATTTACACAGAGCAGATTTGAAACACTCTTTTTGTGGAATTTGCAAGTGGAGATTTCAAGCGCTTTGAGGCCAAAGGCCGAAAAGGAAATATCTTCGTATAAAAACTACACAGAATCATTCTCAGAAACTGCTCTGTGATGTGTGCGTTCAACTCTCAGAGTTTAACTTTTCTTTTCATTCAGCAGTTTGGAAACACTCTGTTTTTAAAGTCTGCACGTGGATAATTTGACCACTTAGAGGCCTTCGTTGGAAACGGGATTTTTCATGTAAGGCTAGACAGAAGAATTCCCAGTAACTTCCTTGTGTTGTGTACATTCAACTCACAGAGTTGAACGTTCCCTTAGACAGAGCAGATTTGAAACACTCTTTTTGTGCAATTGGCAAGTGGTGATTTCAGCCGCTTTGAGATCAATGGTAGAAAAAGAAATATCTTCGTATAAAAACTAGACAGAATCATTCGCACAAACTGCGTTGTGATGTGTTCGTTCAACTCACAGAGTTTAACCTTTCTTTTCATAGAGCAGTTAGGAAACAGTCTGTTTGTCAATTCTGTAAGTGGATATTCTGACATCTTGTGGCCTTCGTTGGAAACGGGATTTCTTCATAATCTGCTAGACAGAAGAATTCTCAGAATCTTCCTTGTGTTGTGTGTATTCAACTCACACAGTTGAACGATTGTTTACACAGAGCAGATTTGAAACACTCTTTTTGTGGAATTTGCAAGTGGAGATTTCAGCCGCTTTGAAGTCAAAGGTAGAAAAGGGAATATCTTCCTATAAAAACTAGACAGAATGATTCTCAGAAACTCCTTTGTGATGTGTGCGTTCACCTCACAGAGTTTAACCTTTCTGTTCATAGAGCAGTTAGGAAACACTCTGTTTGTAAAGTCTGCAAGTGGATATTCAGACCTCTTTGAGGCCTTCGTTGGAAACGGGATTTCTTCATATTCTGCTAGACAGAAGAATTCTCAGTAACTTCCTTGTGTTGTGTTTATTCAACTGACAGAGTTGAACTTTCATTTAGAGAGAGCAGATTTGAAACACTGTTTTTGTGGAATTTGCAAGTGGAGATTTCAAGCACTTTGGGGCCAAAGGCAGAAAAGGAAATATCTTCGTATAAAAACTAGACAGAATCATTCTCAGAAACTGCTCTGCGATGTGTGCATTCAACTCTCAGAGTTTAACTTTTCTTTTCATTCAGCAGTTTGGAAACACTCTGTTTGTAAAGTCTGCACGTGGATATTTTGACCACTTACAGGCCTTCGTTGGAAACGGGTTTTTTTCCTGTAAGGCTAGACAGAAGAATTCCCAGTAACTTCCTTGTGTTGTGTGCATTCAACTCACAGAGTTGAACGTTCCCTTAGACAGAGCCGATTTGAAACACTCTATTTGTGCAATTTGCAAGTGTAGATTTCAAGCGCTTTAAGGTCAATGGCAGAAAAGGAAATATCTTCGTCTCAAAACTAGACAGAATGATTCCCATAAACTCCTTTGTGATGTGTGCGTTCAACACACAGAGTTTAACCTTTCTGTTCATAGAGCAGTTAGGAAACACTCTGTTTGTAAAGTCTGTAAGTGGATATTCTGACATCTTGTGGCCTTCGCTGGAAACGGGATTTCTTCATATTCTGCTAGACAGAAGAATTCTCAGTAACTTCCTTGTGTTGTGTGTATTCAACTCACAGAGTTGAACGATCCTTTACACAGAGCAGACTTGAAACACACTTTTTGTGGAATTTGCAAGTGGAGATTTCAGCCGCTTTGAGGTCAATGGTAGAAAAGGAAATATCTTCGTATAAAGACTACACAGAATGATTCTCAGAAAATCTTTTGTGATGTGTGCGTTCAACTCACAGAGTTTAACTTTTCTTCTCATAGAGCAGTTAGGAAACACTCTGTTTGTAAAGTGTGCAAGTGGATATTCAGACCTCTTTGAGGTCTTCGTTGGAAACGGGATTTCTTCATATTATGCTAGACAGAAGAATTCCCAGTAACTTCCTTGTGTTGTGTGTGTTCAACTCACAGAGTTAAACTTTGATTTACACAGAGCAGATTTGAAACACTCTTTTTGTGGAATTTGCAAGTGGAGATTTCAAGCGCTTTGAGGCCAAAGGCAGAAAAGGAGATGTCTTCGTATAAAAACTAGACAGAATCATTCTCAGAAACTGCTCTGCGATGTGTGCGTTCAACTCTCAGAGTTTAACTTTTCTTTTCATTCAGCAGTTTGGAAACACTCTGTTTGTAAAGTCTGCACGTGGACATTTTGACCATTTAGAGGCCTTCGTTGGAAACGGGTTTTTTTCTTGTAAGGCTAGACAGAGAATTCCCAGTAACTTCCTTGTGTTGTGTGCATTCAACTCACAGAGTTGAACGTTCCCTTAGACAGAGCAGATTTGAAACACTCTATTTGTGCAATTTGCAAGTGTAGATTTCAAGCGCTTTAAGGTCAATGGCAGAAAAGGAAATATCTTCGTTTCAAAACTAGACAGAATCATTCCCACAAACTGCGTTGTGATGTATTCGTTCAACTCACAGAGTTTAACCTTTCTGTTCATAGAGCAGTTAGGAAACACTCTGTTTGTAAAGTCTGTAAGTGGATATTCTGACATCTTGTGGCCTTCGTTGGAAACGGGATTTCTTCATATTCTGCTAGACAGAAGAATTCTCAGTAACTTCCTTGTGTTGTGTGTATTCAACTCACAGAGTTGAACGATCCTTTACACAGAGCAGACTTGAAACACTCTTTTTGTGGAATTTGCAAGTGGAGATTTCAGCCGCTTTGAGGTCAATGGTAGAAAAGGAAATATCTTCGTATAAGAACTAGACAGAATGATTCTCAGAAACTCCTTTATGATGTGTGCATTCAACTCACAGAGTTTAACCTTTCTTTTCATAGAGCAGTTAGGAAACACTCTGTTTGTAAAGTCTGCAAGTGGATATTCAGACCTCTTTGAGGCTTTCGTTGGAAACGGGATTTCTTCATATTCTGCTAGACAGAAGAATTCTCAGAAACTTCATTGTGTTGTGTGTATTGAACTCAAAGAGTTGAACGATCCTTTACACAGTGCAGACTTGAAACACTCTTTTTGTGGAATTTGCAAGTGGAGATTTCAGCCGCTTTGAGGTCAATGGTAGAATAGGAAATATCTTCCTATAGGAACTAGACAGAGAATCTTCTCAGAAACTGCTCTGCGATGTGTGCGTTCAACTCTCAGAGTTTAACTTTTCTTTTCATTCAGCAGTTTGGAAACACTCTGTTTGTAAAGTCTGCACGTGGATAACTTGACCACTTAGAGGCCTTCGTTGGAAACGGGTTTTTTTCATGTAAGGCTAGACAGAGAATTCTCAGTAACTTCCTTGTGTTGTGTGTATTCACCTCACAGAGTTGAACGATCCTTTACACAGAGCAGACTTGTAACACTCTTTTTGTGGAATTTGCAAGTGGAGATTTCAGCCGCTTTCAAGTCAAAGGTAGAAAAGGAAATATCTTCCTATAAAAACTAGACAGAATAATTCCCACAAACTGCGTTGTGATGTGTTCGTTCAACTCACAGAGTTTAACCTTTGTTTTCATAGAGGAGTTAGGAAACAGTCTGTTTGTAAATTCTGTAAGTGGATATTGTGACATCTTGTGGCCTTCGTTGGAAACGGGATTTCTTCATATTCTGCTATACAGAAGAATTCTCAGTAACTTCCTTGTGTTGAGTGTATTCAACTCACAGAGTTGAACGATCCTTTACACAGAGCAGACTTGAAACACTCTTTTTGTGGAATTTGCAAGTGGAGATTTCAGCCGCTTTGAGGTCAATAGTAGAAAAGGAAATATCTTCGTAGAAAAACTAGGCAGAATGATTCTCAGAAAATCCTTTGTGATGTGTGTGTTCAACTCACAGAGTTTAACTTTTCTTTTCATAGAGCAGTTAGGAAACACTCTGTTTGTAAAGTCTGCAAGTGGATATTCAGACCTCTTTGAGGCCTTCGTTGGAAACGGGATTTCTTCATATTATGCTAGACAGAAGAATTCTCAGTAACTTCCTTGTGTTGTGTGTATTCAACTGACACAGTTGAACTTTCATTTAGAGAGAGCTGATTTGAAACACTGTTTTTGTGGAATTTGCAAGTGGAGATTTCAAGCGCTTTGGGGCCAAAGGCAGAAAAGGAAATATCTTCGTATAAAAACTAGACAGAATCATTCTCAGAAACTGCTGCGTGATGTGTGCGTTCAACTCTCAGAGTTTAACTTTTCTTTTCATTCAGCGGGTTGGAAACACTCTGTTTGTAAAGTCTGCACGAGGATATTTTGACCCCTTAGAGGCCTTCGTTGGAAACGGGTTTTTTTCATGTAAGGCTAGACAGAAGAATTCCCAGTAACTTCCTTGTGTTGTGTGCATTCAACTCACAGAGTTGAACGTTCCCCTAGACAGAGCAGATTTGAAACACTCTATTTGTGCAATTTGCAAGTGTAGATTTCAAGCGCTTTAAGGTCAATGGCAGAAAAGGAAATATCTTCGTTTCAAAACTAGACAGAATCATTCCCACAAACTGCGTTGTGATGTGTTCGTTCAACTCACAGAGTTTAACCTTTCTGTTCATAGAGCAGTTAGGAAACACTCTGTTTGTAAAGTCTGCAAGTGGGTATTCAGACCTCCTTGAGGACTTCGTTGGAAACGGGATTTCTTCATATTCTGCTAGACAGAAGAATTCTCAGAATCTTCCCTTGTGTTGTGTGTATTCAACTCACAGAGTTGAACGATGGTTTACACAGAGCAGATTTGAAACACTCTTTTGGTGGAATTTGCAAGTGGAGATTTCAGCCGCTTTGAGGTCAATGGTAGAAAAGGAAATATCTTCGTATAAAAACTAGACAGAGTGATTCTCAGAAACTTCTTTGTGATGTGTGCGTTCAACTCACAGAGTTTAACCTTTCTTTTCATAGAGCAGTTAGGAAACACTCTGTTTGTAAACTCTGCAAGTGGATATTCAGACCTCTTTGAGGCCTTCGTTGGAAACGGGATTTCTTCATACTATGCTAGACAGAAGAATTCCCAGTAACTTCCTTGTGTTGTGTGTGTTCAACTCACAGAGTTGAACTTTCATTTACACAGAGCAGATTTGAAACACTCTTTTTGTGGAATTTGCAAGTGGAGATTTCAAGCGCTTTGAGGCCAAAGGCAGAAAAGGAAATATCTTCGTATAAAAACTAGACAGATCATTCTCAGTAAACTGCTGCGTGATGTGTGCGTTCAAGTCTCAGAGTTTAACTTTTCTTTTCATTCAGCGGTTTGGAAACACTCTGTTTGTAAAGACTGCACGTGGATATTTTGACCACTTAGAGGCCTTCGTTGGAAACGGGTTTTTTTTCATGTAAGGCTAGACAGAAGAATTCTCAGTAACTTCCTTGTGTTGTGTGTATTCAACTCACAGTGTTGAACGATCCTTTACAAAGAGCAGACTTGAAACACTCTTTTTGTGAAATTTGCAAGTGGAGATTTCTGCCGCTTTGAGGTCAATGGTAGAATAAGAAATATCTTCCTATAGAAACTAGACAGAATGATTCTCAGAAACTCCTTTGTGATGTGTGCGTTCAACTCACACAGTTTAACCTTTCTTTTCATAGAGCAGTTAGGAAACACTCTGTTTGTAAAGTCTGCAAGTGGATATACAGACCTCTTTGAGGCCTTCGTTGGAAAGGGGATTTCTTCATATGATGCTAGACAGAAGAATTCCCAGTAACTTCCTTGTGTTGTGTGTGTTCAACTCACAGAGTTGAACTTTCATTTACACAGAGCAGATTTGAAACACTCTTTTTGTGGAATTTGCAAATGGAGATTTCATGCGCTTTGAGGCCAAAGGCAGAAAAGGAATTATCTTCGTATAAAAACTAGACAGAATCATTCTCAGAAACTGCTCTGCGATGTGTGCATTCAACTCTCAGAGTTTAATTTTTCTTTTCATTCAGCAGTTTGGAAACACTCTCTTTGTAAAGTCTGCACGTGGATATTTTGACCACTTAGAGGCCTTCGTTCGAAACGGGTTTTATTCTTGTAAGGCTAGACAGAAGAATTCGCAGTAACTTCTTTGTGTTGTGTACATTCAACTCACAGAGTTGAACGTTCCCTTAGACAGAGCAGATTTGAAACACTCTTTTTGTGCAATTGGCAAGTGGAGATTTCAAGCGCTTTAAGGTCAATGGCAGAAAAGGAAATATCTTCGTTTCAAAACTAGACAGAATCATTCCCACAAACTGCGTTGTGATGTGTTCGTTCAACTCACAGAGTTTAACCTTTCTTTTCATAGAGCAGTTAGGAAACAGTCTGTTTGTCAATTCTGTAAGTGGATATTCTGACATCTTGTGGCCTTCGTTGGAAACGGGATTTTTTCATATTCTGCTAGACAGAGGAATTCTCAGTAACTTCCTTTTTTTGTGTGTATTCAACTCACAGAGTTGAACGATCCTTTACACAGAGCAGACTTGAAACACTCTTTTTGTGGAATTTGCAAGTGGAGATTTCAGCCGCTTTGAGGTCAATGGTAGAATAGGAAATATCATCGTAGAAAAACTAGACAGAATGATTCTCAGAAACTCCTTTGTGATGTGTGCGTTCAACTCACAGTGTTTAACTTTTCTTTTCATAGAACAGTTAGGAAACACTCTGTTTGTAAAGTCTGCAAGTGGATATTCAGACCTCTTTGAGGCCTTCGTTGGAAACGGGATTTCTTCATATTCTGATAGACAGAAGAATTCTCAGTAACTTCCTTGTGTTGTGTGTATTCAACTCACAGATTTCAACGATCCTTTACACAGAGCAGACTTGAAACACTCTTTTTGTGGAATTTGCAGGTGGAGATTTCAGCCGCTTTTTGTTCAATGGTAGAATAGGAAATATCTTCCTATAGAAACTAGACAGAATGATTCTCAGAAACTCCTTTGTGATATGTGCGTTCAACTCACAGAGTTTAACCTTTCTTTTCATAGAGCAGTTAGGAAACACTCTGTTTGTAAAGTCTGCAAGTGGATATTCAGACCTCTTTGAGGCTTTCGTTGGAAACGGGATTTCTTCATATTCTGCTAGACAGAAGAATTCTCAGTAACTTCCTTGTGTTGTGTGTATTCAACTCACAGAGTTGAACGATCCTTTACACAGAGAAGACTTGAAACACTCTTTTTGTGGAATTTGCAATAGGAGATTTCAGCCGCTTTGAGGTCAATAGTAGAAAAGGAAACATCTTCGTAGAAAAACTAGACAGAATGATTCTCAGAAACTCCTTTGGGATGTGTGCGTTCAACTCACAGAGTTTAACCTTTCTTTTCATAGAGCAGTTAGGAAACACTCAGTTTGTAAAGTCTGCAAGTGGATATTAAGACCTCTTTGAGGCCTTCGTTGGAAACGGGATTTCTTCATATTCTGCTAGACAGAAGAATTCCCAGTAACTTCCTTGTGTTGTGTGTGTTCAAGTCACAGAGTTGAACTTTCATTTACACAGAGAAGATTTGAAACACTCTTTTTGTGGAATTTGCAAGTGGAGATTTCAAGCGCTTTGAGGCCAAAGGCAGAAAAGGAAATAACTTCGTTTCAAAACTAGACAGAATCATTCTCAGAAACTGCTCTGCGATGTGTGCGTTCAACTCTCAGAGTTTAACTTTTCTTTTCATTCAGCAGTTTGGAAACACTCTGTTTGTAAAGTCTACACGTGGATAACTTGACCACTTAGAGGCCTTCGTTGGAAACGGGTTTTTTTCATGTAAGGCTAGACAGAAGAATTCCCAGTAACTTCCTTGTGTTGTGTACATTCAACTCACAGAGTTGAACGTTACCTTAGACAGAGCAGATTTGAAACACTCTTTTTGTGCAATTGGCAAATGGAGATTTCAAGCGCTTTAAGGTCAATGGCAGAAAAGGAAATATCGTCGTTTCAAAACTAGACAGAATCATTCCCACAAACTGCATTGTGATGTGTTTGTTCAACTCACAGAGTTTAACCTTTCTGTTCATAGAGCAGTTAGGAAACACTCTGTTTGTAAAGTCTGTAAGTGGATATTCTGACATCTTGTGGCCTTCGTTGGAAACGGGATTTCTTCATATTCTGCTAGACAGAAGAATTCTCAGTAACTTCCTTGTGTTGTGTGTATTCAACTCACAGAGTTCAACGATCCTTTACACAGAGCAGACTTGAAACACTCTTTTTGTGGAATTTGCAAGTGGAGATTTCAGCCGCTTTGTGGTCAAAGGTAGAATAGGAAATATCTTCCTATAGAAACTAGACAGAATGATTCTCAGAAACTTCTTTGTGATGTGTGCGTTCAACTCACAGAGTTTAACTTTTCTTTTCATAGAGCAGTTAGGAAACACTCTGTTTGTAAACTCTGCAAGTGGATATTCAGACCTCTTTGAGGCCTTCGCTGGAAACGGGATTTCTTCATACTGTGCTAGACAGAAGAATTCTCAGTAACTTCATTGTGTTGTGTGTATTCAACTCACAGATTTCAACGATCCTTTACACAGAGCAGACTTGAAACACTCTTTTTCTGGTATTTGCAAGTGGAGATTTCAGCCGCTTTGAGGTCAATGGTAGAAAAGGAAATATCTTCGTATAAAAACTAGACAGAGTGATTCTCAGAAACTCCTTTGTGATGTCTGCGTTTAACTCACAGAGTTTAACCATTCTTTTCATAGAGCAGTTAGGAAACACTCTGTTTGTAAAGTGTGCAAGTGGATTTTCAGACCTCCTTGAGGCCTTCGTTGGAAACGGGATTTCTTCATATTATGCTAGACAGAAGAATTCTCAGTAACTTCCTTGTGTTGTGTGTATTCAACTCACAGAGTTGAACGATCCTTTACACAGAGCAGACTTGTAACACTCTTTTTGTGGAATTCGCAAGTGGAGATTTCAGCAGATTTGAAGTCAAAGGTAGAAAAGGAAATATCTTCCTATAAAAACTAGACAGAATGATTCTCAGAAACTCCTTTGTGATGTGTGTGTTCAACTCACACAGTTTAACCTTTCTTTTCATAGAGCAGTTAGGAAACACTCTGTTTGTAAAGTCTGCAAGTGGATATTCAGACCTCTTTGAGGCCTTCGTTGGAAACGGGTTTTTTTCATATAAGGCTAGACAGAAGAATTCTCAGTAACTTCCTTGTGTTGTGTGTATTCAACTCACAGAGTTGAATGATCCTTTACACAGAGCAGACTTGAAACACTCTTTTTGTGGAATTTGCAAGTGGAGATTTCAGCCGCTTTGTGGTCAATGGTAGAAAAGGAAATATCTTCGTATAAAGACTAGACAGAATGATTCTCAGAAACTCCTTTGTGATGTGTGCGTTGAACTCACAGAGTTTAACCTTTCTTTTCATAGAGCAGTTAGGAAACACTCTGTTTGTAAAGTCTGCAAGTGGATATTCAGACCTCTTTGAGGCCTTCGTTGGAAACGGGTTTTTTTCATATAAGGCTAGACAGAAGAATTCTCAGTAACTTCCTTGTGTTGTGTGTATTCTACTCACAGAGTTGAACGATCCTTTACACAGAGCAGACTTGAAACACTCTTTTTGTGGAATTTGCAAGTGGAGATTTTAGCCGCTTTGAGGTCAATGGTAGAAAAAGAAATATCTTCGTATAAAGACTAGACAGAATGATTCTCAGAAACTCCTTTGTGATGTGTGTGTTCAACTCACAGAGTTTAACCTTTCTTTTCATAGAGCAGTTAGTAAACACTCCGTTTATAAAGTCTGCAAGTGGATATTCAGACCCCTTTGAGGCCTTCGTTGGAAACGGCATTTCTTCATATTATGCTAGACAGAAGAATTCTCAGTATCTTCCTTGTGTTGTGTCTATTCAACTCACAGAGTTGAACGATCCTTTACACAGAGCAGACTTGAAACACCCTTTTGGTGGAATTTGCAAGTGGAGATTTCAGCCGCTTTGAGGTCAATGGTAGAATAGGAAATATCTTCCTATAGAAACTAGACAGAATGATTCTCAGAAACTCCTTTGTGATGTGTGCATTCAACTCACAGAGTTTAACCTTTCTTTTCATAGAGCAGTTAGGAAACACTCTGTTTGTAAAGTCTGCAAGTGGATATTCAGACCTCCTTGAGGCCTTCGTTGGAAACGGGATTTCCTCATATTCTGCTAGACAGAAGAATTCTCAGTAACTACCTTGTGTTGTGTGTATTCAACTCACAGAGTTGAACGATCCTTTACAGAGAGCAGACTTGAAACACTCTTTTTGTGGAATTTGCAAGTTGAGATTTCAGCCGCTTTGAGGTCAATGGTAGAATAGGAAATATCTTCCTATAGAAACTAGACAGAATGATACTCAGAAACTCCTTTGTGATGTGTGCGTTCAAGTCACAGAGTTTAACCTTTCTTTTCATAGAGCAGTTAGGAAACACTCTGTTTGTAAAGTCTGCAAGTGGATATTCAGACCTCTTTGAGGCCTTCGTTGGAAACGGGTTTTTTTCATATAAGGCTAGACAGAAGAATTCCCAGTAACTTCCTTGTGTTGTGTGTGTTCAACTCACAGAGTTGAACTTTCATTTACACAGAGCAGATTTGATACACTCTTTTTGTGGAATTTGCAAATGGAGATTTCAAGCGCTTTGAGGCCAAAGGCAGAAAAGGAAATATCTTCGTATAAAAACTAGACAGAATCATTCTCAGAAACTGCTCTGCGATGTGTGCGTTTAACTCTCAGAGTTTAACTTTTCTTTTCATTCAGCAGTTTGGAAACACTCTGTTTGTAAAATCTGCACGTGGATAATTTGACTACTTAGAGGCCTTCGTTGGAAACTGGTTTTTTTCATGTAAGGCTAGACAGAAGATTCTCAGTAACTTCCTTGTGTTGTGTGTATTCAACTCACAGAGTTGAACGATCCTTTACACAGAGCAGACTTGAAACACTCTTTTTGTGGAATTTGCAAGTGGAGATTTCAGCCGCGTTGAGGTCAATGGTAGAAAAGGAAATATCTTCGTATAAAAACTAGACAGAATGATTCTCAGAAACTCCTTTGTGATGTGTGCGTTCAACTCACAGAGTTTAACTTTTCTTTTCATAGAGCAGTTAGGAAACACTCTGTTTGTAAAGTCTGCAAGTGGATATGTCAGACCTCTTTGAGGCCTTCGTTGGAAACGGGATTTCTTCGTATTCTGCTAGACAGAAGAATTCTCAGTAACTTCCTTGTGTTGTGTGTAATCAACTGACAGAGTTGAACTTTCATTTAGAGAGAGCAGATTTGTAACACTGTTTTTGTGGAATTTGCAAGTGGAGATTTCAAGCGCTTTGGGGCCAAAGGCAGAAATGGAAATATCTTCGTATAAAAACTAGACAGAATCATTCTCAGAAACTGCTCTGCGATGTGTGCGTTCAACTCTCAGAGTTTAACTTTTCTTTTCATTCAGCAGTTTGGAAACACTCTGTTTGTAAAGTCTGCACGTGGATATTTTCACCATTTAGAGGCCTTCGTTGGAAACGGGTTTTTTTCTTGTAAGGCTAGACAGAAGAATTCCCAGTAACTTCCTTGTGTTGTGTACATTCAACTCACAGAGTTGAACGTTCCCATAGACAGAGCAGATTTGAAACACTCTTTTTGTGCAATTGGCAAGTGGAGATTTCAAGTGCTTTAAGGTCAATGGCAGAAAAGGAAATATCTTCGTTTCAAAACTAGACAGAATCATTCCCACAAACTGCGTTGTGATGTGTTCGTTCAACTCACAGAGTTTAACCTTTCTGTTCATAGAGCAGTTAGGAAACACTCTGTTTGTAAAGTCTACAAGTGGATATTCAGACCTCCTTGAGGCCTTCGTTGGAAACGGGATTTCTTCATATTCTGCTAGACAGAAGAAATCTCAGAATCTTCCTTGTGTTGTGTGTATTCAACTCACAGAGTTGAACGATCCTTTACACAGAGCAGACTTGAAACACTCTTTTTGTGGAATTTGCAAGTGGAGATTTCAGCCGCTTTGAGGTCCATGGTAGAAAAGGAAATATCTTCGTATAAAAACTAGACAGAATGATTCTCAGAAACTCCTTTGTGATGTGTACGTTCAACTCACAGAGTTTAACCTTTCTTTTCATAGAGCAGTTAGGAAACACTCTGTTTGTAAAGTCTGCAAGTGGATATTGAGACCTCTTTGAGGCGTTCGTTGGAAACGGGTTTTGTTCATATAAGGCTAGACAGAAAGAATTCTCAGTAACTTCCTTGTGTTGTGTGTATTCAACTCACAGAGTTGAACGATCCTTTACACAGAGCAGACTTGTAACACTCTTTTTGTGGAATTTGCAAGTGGAGATTTCAGCCGCTTTGAAGTCAAAGGTAGAAAAGGAAATATCTTCCTATAAAAACTACACAGTAATGATTCTCAGAAACTCCTTTGTGATGTGTGCGTTCAACTCACAGAGTTTAACCTTTCTTTTCATAGAGCAGTTAGGAAACACTCTGCTTGTAAAGTCTGCAAGTGGATATTCAGCCCTCTTTGAGGCCTTCGTTGGAAACGGGTTTTTTTCATATAAGGCTAGACAGAAGAATTCTCAGTAACTTCCCTTGTGTTGTGTGTATTCAACTGACAGAGTTGAACTTTCATTTAGAGAGAGCAGATTTGAAACACTGTTTTTGTGGAATTTGCAAGTGGAGATTTCAAGTGCTTTGGGGCCAAAGGCAGAAAACGAAATATCTTCGTATAAAAAGTAGACAGAATCATTCTCAGAAACTGCTCTGCGATGTGTGCGTTCAACTCTCCGAGTTCAACTTTTCTTTTCATTCAGCAGTTTGGAAACACTCTGTTTGTAAAGTCTGCACGTGGATAATTTGACTACTTAGAGGCCTTCGTTGGAAACGGGTTTTTTTCATGTAAGGCTAGACACAAGAATTCCCAGTAACTTCCTTGTGTTGTGTACATTCAACTCACAGAGTTGAACGTTCCCTTAGACAGAGCAGATTTGAAACACTCTTTTTGTGCAATTGGCAAATGGAGATTTCAAGCGCTTTAAGGTCAATGGCAGAAAAGGAAATATCTTCGTTTGAAAACTAGACAGAATCATTCCCACAAACTGCGTTGTGATGTGTTCGTTCAACTCACAGAGTTTAACCTTTCTGTTCATAGAGCAGTTAGGAAAAACTCTATTTGTAAAGTCTGTAAGTGGATATTCTGACATCTTGTGGCCTTCGTTGGAAACGGGATTTCTTCATATTCTGCTAGACAGAAGAATTCTCACAATCTTCCTTGTGTTGTGTGTATTCAACTCACAGAGTTGAACGATGGTTTACACAGAGCAGATTTGAAACACTCTTTTTGTGGAATTTGCAAGTGGAGATTTCAGCCGCTTTGAGGTCAATGGTAGAAAAGGAAATATCTTCGTATAAAAACTAGACAGAATGATTCTGAGAAACTACTTTGTGATGTGTGCGTTCAACTCACAGAGTTTAACTTTTCTTTTCATAGAGCAGTTAGGAAACACTCTGTTTGTAAAGCCTGCAAGTGGATATTCAGACCTCCTTGAGGCCTTCGTTGGAAACGGGATTTCTTCATATTATGCTAGACAGAAGAATTCTCACTAACTTCCTTGTGTTGTGTGTATTCAACTCACAGAGTTGAACGATCCTTTACACAGAGCAGACTTTAAACACTCTTTTTGTGGAATTTGCAAGTGGAGATTTCAGCCGCTTTGAGGTCAACGGTAGAAAAGGAAATATCTCCGTATAAAGACTAGACAGAATGATTCTCAGAAACTCCTTTGTGATGTGTGCGTTCAACTCACAGAGTTTAACTTTTCTTTTCATAGAGCAGTTAGGAAACACTCCGTTTGTAAAGTCTGCAAGTGGATATTCAGACCTCTTTGAGGCCTTCGTTGGAAACGGGATTTCTTCATATTATGCTAGACAGAAGAATTCCCAGTAACTTCCTTGTGTTGTGTGTGTTCAACTCACAGAGTTGAACTTTCATTTACACAGAGCAGATTTGAAACACTCTTTTTGTGGAATTTGCAAATGGAGATTTCAAGAGCTTTGAGGCCAAAGGCAGAAAAGGAAATATCTTCGTATAAAAACTAGACAGAATCATTCTCAGAAACTGCTCTGCGATGTGTGCGTTCAACTCTCAGAGTTTAACTTTGCTTTTCATTCAGCAGTTTGGAAACACTCTGTTTGTAAAGTCTGCACGTGGATAATTTGACCACTTAGAGGCCTTCCTTGGAAACGGGTTTTTTTCATGTAAGGCTAGACAGAAGAATTCTCAGTAACTTCCTTGTGCTGTGTGTATTCAACTCACAGAGTTGAACGATCCTTTACACAGAGTGGACTTGAAACACTCTTTTTGTGGAATTTGCAAGTGGAGATTTCAGCCGCGTTGAGGTCAATGGTAGAAAAGGAAATATCTTCGTATAAAAACTAGACAGAATGATTCTCAGAAACTCCTTTGTGATGTGTGCGCTCAACTCACAGAGTTTAAACTTTCTTTTCATAGAGCAGTTAGGAAACACTCTGTTTGTAAAGTCTGCAAGCGGATATTCAGACCTCTTTGAAGCCTTCGTTGGAAACGGGATTTCTTCATATTCTGCTAGACAGAAGAATTCCCAGTAACTTCCTTGTGTTGTGTGTGTTCAACTCACAGAGTTGAACGATCCTTTACACAGAGCAGATTTGAAACACTCTTTTTGTGGAATTTGCAAGTGGAGATTTCAAGCGCTTTGAGGCCAAAGGCAGAAAAGGAAATATCTTCGTAGAAAAACTAGACAGAATGATTCTCAGAACCTTCTTTGTGATGTGTGCGTTCAACTCACAGAGTTTAAACTTTCTTTTCATAGAGCAGTTAGGAAACACTCTGTTTGTAAACTCTGCAAGTGGATATTCAGACCTCTTTGAGGCCTTCGTTGGAAACGGGATTTCTTCATACTATGCTAGACAGAAGAATTCTCAGAAACTTCCTTGTGTTGTGTGTATTCAACTCACAGAGTTTAACGATCGTTTACACAGAGCAGACTTGAGACACTCTTTTTGTGGAATTTGTAAGTGGAGATTTCAGCCGCTTTGGGGTCAATGGTAGAAAAGGAAATATCTTCATGTAAAAACTAGACAGAATCATTCTCAGAAACTGCTCTGTGATGTGTGCGTTCAACTCTCAGAGTTTAACTTTTCTGTTCATTCAGCAGTTTGGAAACACTCTGTTTGTAAAGTCTGCACGTGGATAATTTGACCACTTAGAGGCCTTCGTTGGAAACGGGTTTTTTTCATATAAGGCTAGACAGAAGAATTCTCAGTAACTTTCTTGTGTTGTGTGTATTCAACTGACAGAGTTGAACTATCATTTAGAGAGTGCAGATTTGAAACACTGTTTTTGTGGAATTTGTAAGTGGAGACTTCAAGCGCTTTGGGGCCAAAGGCAGAAAAGGAAATATCTTCGTATAAAAACTAGACAGAATCATTCTCAGAAACTGCTCTGCGATGTGTGCGTTCAACTCTCAGAGTTTAAGTTTTCTTTTCATTCAGCAGTTTGGAAACACTCTGTTTGTAAAGTCTGCACGTGGATAATTTGACCACTTAGAGGCCTTCATTGGAAACGGGTTTTTTTCATGTAAGGCTAGACAGAATAATTCTCAGTAACTTCCTTGTGTTGTGTGTATTCAACTCACAGAGTTGAACGATCCTTTACAGAGAGCAGACTTGAAACACTCTTTTTGTGGAATTTGCAAGTGGAGATTTCAGCCGCTTTGAGGTCAATGGTAGAAAACGAAATATCTTCGTATAAAGACTAGACAGAATGATTCTGAGAAACTCCTTTGTGATGTGTGCGTTCAACTCACAGAGTTTAACCTTTCTTTTCATAGAGCAGTTAGGAAACACTCTCTTTGTAAAGTATGCAAGTGGATATTCAGACATCCTTGAAGCTTTCGTTGGAAACGGGATTTCTTCATATTCTGCTAGAAAGAAGAATTCTCAGTAACTTCCTTGTGTTGTGTGTATTCAACTCACAGAGTTGAATGATCCTTTACACAGAACAGTCTTGAAACAGTCTTTTTGTGGAATTTGCAAGTGGAGATTTCAGCCGCTTTGAGGTCAATGGTGGAATAGGAAATATCTTCCTATAGAAACTAGACAGAATCATTGTCAGAAACTGCTCTGTGATGTGTGCGTTCAACTCTCAGAGTTTAACTTTTCTTTTCATTCAGTAGTTTGGAAACACTCTGTTTGTAAAGTCTGCACGTGGATATTTTGACCACTTAGAGGCCTTCGATGGAAACGGGGTTTTTTCATTTAAGGCTAGACAGAAGAATTCCCAGTAACTTCCTTGTGTTGTGTGCATTCAACTCACAGAGATGAACGTTCCCTTAGACAGAGCAGATTTGAAACACTCTATTTGTGCAATTTGCAAGTGTAGATTTCAAGGGCTTTAAGGTCAATGGCAGAAAAGGAAATATCTTCGTTTCAAAACTAGACAGAATCATTCCCACAAACTGCGTTGTGATGTGTTCGTTCAACTCACAGAGTTTAACCTTTCTTTTCATAGAGCAGTTAGGAAACAGTCTGTTTGTCAATTCTGTAAGTGGATATTCTGATATCTTGTGGCCTTCGTTGGAAACGGGATTTCTTCATATTCTGCTAGACAGAAGAATTCTCAGAATCTTCCTTGTGTTGTGCGTATTCAACTCACAGAGTTGAACGATCCTTTACACAGAGCAGACTTGAAACACTCTTTTTGTGGAATTTGCAAGTGGAGATTTCAGCCGCTTTGAGGTCCATGGTAGAAAAGGAAATATCTTCGTATAAAAACTAGACAGAATGATTCTCAGAAACTCCTTTGTGATGTGTGCGTTCAACACACAGAGTTTAACCTTTCTTTTCATAGAGCAGTTAGGAAACACTCTGTTTGTAAAGTCTGCAAGTGGATATTCAGACCTCCTTGAGGCCTTCGTTGGAAACGGGATTTCTTCATATTATGCTAGACAGAAGAATTCTCAGTAACTTCCTTTTATTGTGTGTATTCAACTCACAGAGTTGAACGATCCTTTACACAGAGCAGATTTGAAACACTCTTTTTGTGGAATTTGCAAGTGGAGATTTCAGCCGCTTTGAGGTCAATGGTAGAAAAGGAAATATCTTCGTATAAAAATTAGACAGAATGATTCTCAGAAACTCCTTTGTGATGTGTGCGTTCAACTCACAGAGTTTAACCTTTCTTTTCATAGAGCAGTTAGGAAACACTCTGTTTGTAAAGTCTGCAAGTGGATATTCAGACCTCTTTGAGGCTTTCGTTGGAAACTGGATTTCTTCATATTCTGCTAGACAGAAGAATTCTCAGTAACTTCCTTGTGTTGTGTGTATTCAACTCACAGAGTTGAAAGATCCTTTACAGAGAGCAGACTTGAAACACTCTTTTTGTGGAATTTGCAAGTGGAGATTTCAGCCGCTTTGAAGTCAATGGTAGAAAAGGAAATATCTTCGTATAAAGACTAGAGAGAATGATTCTCAGAAACTCCTTTGTGATGTGTGTGTTCAACTCACAGAGTTTAACCTTTCTTTTCATAGAGCAGTTAGTAAACACTCTGTTTATAAAGTCTGCAATTGGATATTCAGACCCCTTTGAGGCCTTCGTTGGAAACGGGATTTCTTCATATTATGCTAGACAGAAGAATTCCCACTAACTTTCCTTGTGTTGTGTGTGTTCAACTCACAGAGTTGAACTTTCATTTACACAGAGCAGATTTGAAACACTCTTTTTGTGGAATTTGCAAGTGGAGATTTCAAGCGCTGTGAGGCCAAAGGCAGAAAAGGAAGTATGCTTCGTATAAAAACTAGACAGAATCATTCTAAGAAACTGCTCTGCGATGTGTGTGTTCAACTCTCAGAGTTTAACTTTTCTTTTCCTTCAGCAGTTTGGAAACACTCTGTTTGTAAAGTCTGCACGTGGATAATTTGACCACTTAGAGGCCTTCGTTGGAAACGGGTTTTTTTCATGTAAGGCTAGACAGAAGAATTCCCAGTAACTTCCTTGTGTTGTGTGCATTCAACTCACAGAGTTGAACGTTCCCTTAGACAGAGCAGATTTGAAACACTCTATTTGTGCAATTTGCAAGTGTAGATTTCAAGCGCTTTAAGGTCAATGGCAGAAAAGGAAATATCTTCGTTTCAAAACTAGGCAGAATGATTCTCAGAAACTCCTTTGTGATGTGTGCGTTCAACTCACAGAGTTTAACCTTTCTTTTCATAGAGCAGTTAGGAAACACTCTGTTTGTAAAGTCTGCAAGTGGATATTCAGACCTCCTTGAGGCCTCCGTTGGAAACGGGATTTCTTAATATTCTGCTAGACAGAAGAATTCTCAGTAACTTCCTTGCGTTGTGTGTATTCAACTCACAGAGTTGAACGATCCTTTACACAGAGCAGACTTGAAACACTCTTTTTGTGGAATTTGCAAGGGGAGATTTCAGCCGCTTTGAGGTCAATAGTAGAAAAGGAAATATCTTCGTATAGAAACTAGACAGAATGATTCTCAGAAACTCCTTTGTGATGTGTGCGTTCAACTCACAGAGTTTAACCTTTCTTTTCATAGAGCAGTTACGAAACACTGTGTTTTTAAACTCTGCAAGTGGATATTCAGACCTCTTTGAGGCCTTCGTTGGAAACGGGTTTCTTCATACTGTGCTAGACAGAAGAATTCTCAGAATCTTCCTTGTGTTGTGTGTATTCAACTCACAGAGTTGAACGATCGTTTACACAGAGCAGATTTGAAACACTCATTTGGTGGAATTTGCAAGTGGAGATTTCAGCCGCTTTGAGGTCAATGGTAGAAAAGGAAATATCTTCGTATAACAACTAGACAGAATGATTCTCAGAAACTCCTTTGTGATGTGTGCGTTCAACTCACAGAGTTTAACCTTTCTTTTCATAGAGCAGTTAGGAAACACTCTGTTTGTAAAGTCTGCAAGTGGATGTTCAGACCTCTTTGAGGCCTTCGTTGGAAAGGGGTTTTTTTCATATAAGGCTAGACAGAATAATTCTCAGTAAGTTCCTTGTTTTGTGTGTATTCAACTCACAGAGTTGAAGGATCCTTTACACAGAGCAGGCTTGAAACACTCTTTTTGTCGAAATTGCAAGTGGAGATTTCAGCCGCTTTGAGGTCAATGGTAGAATAGGAAATATCTTCCTATAGAAACTAGACAGAATGATTCTCAGAAACTTCTTTGTGATGTGTGCGTTCAACTCACAGAGTTTAAACCTTTCTTTTCATAGAGCAGTTAGGAAACACTCTGTTTGTAAACTCTGCAAGTGGATATTCAGACCTCTTTGAGGCCTTCTTTGCAAACGGGATTTCTTCATACTATGCTAGACAGAAGAATTGTCAGTAACTTTCCTTGTGTTGTGTGTATTCAACTCACAGAGTTGAATGATCCTTTACACAGAGCAGACTTGAAACACTCTTTATGTGGAATTTGCAAGTGGAGATTTCAGCCGCTTTGAGTTCAATGGTAGAATAGGAAATATCTTCCTATAGAAACTAGACAGAATGATTCTCAGAAACTCCTTTGTGATGTGTGCGTTCAACTCACAGAGTTTAACCTTTCTTTTCATAGAGCAGTTAGGAAACACTCCGTTTGTAAAGTCTGCAAGTGGATATTCAGACCTCTTAGAGGCCTTCGATGGAAACGGGATTTCTTCATATTCTGCTAGACAGAAGAATTCTCAGTAACTTCCTTGTGTTGTGTGTATTGAACTCACAGAGTTGAACGATCCTTTTCAGAGAGCAGACTTGAAACACTCTTTTTGTGGAATTTGCAAGTGGAGATTTCAGCCGCTTTGAGGTCAATGGTAGAAAAGGAAATATCTTCGTATAAAGACTAGACAGAATGATTCTCAGAAACTCCTTTGTGATGTGTGTGTCCAACTCACAGAGTTTAACCTTTCTTTTCATAGAGCAGTTAGGAAACACTCTGTTTGTAAAGTCTGCAAGAGGATATTCAGACCTCTTTGAGGCCTTCGTTGGAAACGGGTTTTTTCCATATAAGGCTAGACAGAAGATTTCTCAGAAACTTCGTTGTGTTGTGTGTTTTCAAATCACAGAGTTCAACGATCCTTTACACAGAGTAGACTTGAAACACTCTTTTTGTGGAATTGGCAGTGTGGAGATTTCAGCCGCTTTTAGGTCAATGGTAGAAAAGGAAATATCTTCGTATAAAAACTAGACAGAATCATTCTCAGAAACTGCTGCGTGATGTGTTCGTTCAACTCTCAGAGTTTAACTTTTCTTTTCATTCAGCGGTTTGGAAACACTCTGTTTGTAAAGTCTGCACGTGGATATTTTGACCACTTAGAGGTCTTCGTTGGAAACGGGTTTTTTTCATGTAAGGCTAGACAGAAGAATTCTCAGTAACTGCCTTGTGTTGTGTGTATTCAACTCACAGAGTTGAACGATCCTGTACACAGAGCAGACTTGAAACACTCCTTTTGTGGAATTTGCAAGTGGAGATTTCAGCCGCTTTGAGGTCAATGGTAGAATAGGAAATATCTTCCTATAGAAACTAGACAGAATGATTCTCAGAAACTCCTTTGTGATGTGTGCGTTCAACTCACAGAGTTTAACCGTTCTTTTCATAGAGCAGTTAGGAAACACTCTGTTTGTAAAGTCTGCAAGTGGATATTCAGACATCTTTGAGGCTTTCTTTGGAAACGGGATTTCTTCATATTCTGCTAGACAGAAGAATTCTCAGAAACTTCCTTGTGTTGTGTGTATTCAACTCACAGAGTTGAACGATCCTTTACTCAGAGCAGACTTGAAACACTCCTTTTGTGGAATTTGCAAGTGGAGATTCCAGCCGCTTTGAGGTCAATGGTAGAATAGGAAATATCTTCCTATGGAAACTAGACAGAAATCATTCTCAGAAAACTGCTCTGCGATGTGTGCGTTCAACTCTCAGAGTTTAACTTTTCTTTTCATTCAGCAGTTTGGAAACACTCTGTTTGTAAAGTCTGCACGTGGATATTTTGACCACTTAGAGGCCTTCGTTGGAAACGGGTTTTTTTCCTGTAAGGCTAGACAGAAGAATTCCCAGTAACTTCCTTGTGTTGTGTACATTCAACTCACAGAGTTGAACGTTCCCTTAGACAGAGCAGATTTGAAACACTCTTTTTGTGCAATTGGCAAATGGAGATTTCAAGCGCTTTAAGTTCAATGGCAGAAAAGGAAATATCTTCGTTTCAAAACTAGACAGAATCATTCCCACAAACTGCGTTGTGATGTGTTCGTTCAACTCACAGAGTTTAACCTTTCTGTTCATAGAGCAGTTAGGAAACACTCTGTTTGTAAAGTCTGTCAGTGGATATTCTGACATCTTGTGGCCTTCGTTGGAAACGGGATTTCTTCATATTCTGCTAGACAGAAGAATTCTCAGTAACTTCCTTGTGTTGTGTGTATTCAACTCACAGAGTTGAACGATCCTTTACACAGAGCAGACTTGTAACACTCTTTTTGTGGAATTTGCAAGTGGAGATTTCAGCCGCTTTGAGGTCCATGGTAGAAAAGGAAATATCTTCCTATAAAAACTAGACAGAATGATTCTCAGAAACTTCTTTGTGATGTGTGCGTTCAACTCACAGAGTTTAACCTTTCTTTTCATAGAGCAGTTAGGAAACACTCTGTTTGTAAACTCTGCAAGTGGATATTCAGACCTCTTTGAGGCCTTCGTTGGAAACGGGATTTCTTCATTCTATGCTAGACAGAAGAATTCTCAGTAACTTTCCTTGTGTTGTGTGTATTCAACTCACAGAGTTGAACGATCCTTTACACAGAGCAGACTTGAAACACTCTTTTTCTGGAATTTGCAAGCGGAGATTTCAGCTGCGTTGAGGTCAATGGTAGAAAAGGAAATATCTTCGTATAAAAACTAGACAGAATGATTCTCAGAAACTCCTTTGTGATGTGTGCGTTCAACTCACAGAGTTTAACCTTTCTTTTCATAGAGCAGTTAGGAAACACTCTGTTTGTAAAGTCTGCAAGTGGATATTCAGACCTCTTTGAGGCCTTCGTTGGAAACGGGTTTTTTTCATATACGGCTAGACAGAAGAATTCTCAGTAACTTCCTTGTGTTGTGTGTATTCAGCTGACAGAGTTGAACTTTCATTTAGAGAGAGCAGATTTGAAACACTGTTTTTGTGGAATTTGCAATTGGAGATTTCAAGCGCTTTGGGGCCAAAGGCAGAAAAGGAAATATCTTCGTAAAAAACTAGACAGAATGTTTCTCAGAAACTTCTTTGTGATGTGTGCATTCAACTCACAGAGTTTAACCTTTCTTTTCATAGAGCAGTTAGGAAACACTGTGTTTGTAAAGTCTGCAAGTGGATATTCAGACCTCTTTGAGGCCTTCGTTGGAAACGGGATTTCTTCATACTGTGCTAGACAGAAGAATTCTCAGTAACTTCCTTGTGTTGTGTGTATTCAACTCACAGAGTTGAACGATCCTTTACACAGAGCGGACAGGAAACACTCTTTTTCTGGAATTTGCAAGCGGAGATTTCAGCTGCGTTGAGGTCAATGGTAGAAAAGGAAATATCTTCGTATAAAAACTAGACAGAATGATTCTCAGGAAACTCCTTTGTGATGTGTGTGTTCAACTCACAGAGTTTAACCTTTCTTTTCATAGAGCAGTTAGGAATCACTCTGTTTGTAAAGTCTGCAAGTGGATATTCAGACCTCTTTGAGGCCTTCGTTGGAAACGGGTTTTTTTCATATAAGGCTAGACAGAAGAATTCTCAATAACTTCCTTCTGTTGTGTGTATTCAACTGACAGAGTTGAACTTTCATTTAGAGAGAGCAGATTTGAAACACTGTTTTTGTGGAATTTGCAAGTGGAGATTTCAAGCGCTTTGGGGCCAAAGGAAGAAAAGGAAATATCTTCGTATAAAAACTAGACAGAATCATTCTCAGAAACTGCAGCGTGATGTGTGCGTTCAACTCTCAGAGTTTAACTTTTCTTTTCATTCAGCGGTTTGGAAACACTCTGTTTGTAAAGTCTGCACGTGGATATTTTGACCACTTAGAGGCCTTCGTTGGAAACGGGTTTTTTTCATGTAAGGCTAGACAGAAGAATTCCCAGTAACTTCCTTGTGTTGTGTGCATTCAACTCACAGAGTTGAACGTTCCCTTAGACAGAGCAGATTTGAAACACTCTATTTGTGCAATTTGCAAGTGTAGATTTCAAGCGCTATAAGGTCAACGGCAGAAAAGGAAATATCTTCGTTTCAAAACTAGACAGAATCATTCCCACAAACTGCGTTGTGATGTGTTCGTTCAACTCACAGAGTTTAACCTTTCTTTTCATAGAGCAGTTAGGAAACAGTCTGTTTGTAAATTCTGTAAGTGGATATTCTGACATCTTGTGGCCTTCGTTGGAAACGGGATTTCTTCATATTCTGCTAGGCAGAAGAATTCTCAGTAACTTCCTTGTGTTGTGTTTATTCAACTCACAGAGTTGAATGATCCTTTACACAGAGCAGACTTGAAACACTCTTTTTGTGGAATTTGCAAGTGGAGATTTCAACCGCTTTGAGGTCAATGGTAGAAAAGTAAATATCTTCGTATAAAGACTAGACAGAATGATTCTCAGAAACTTCTTTGTGATGTGTGCGTTCAACTCACAGAGTTTAACCTTTCTTTTCATAGAGCAGTTAGGAAACCCTCTGTTTGTAAACTCTGCAAGTGGATATTCAGACCTGTTTGAGGCCTTCGTTGGAAACGGGATTTCTTCATACTATGCTAGACAGAAGAATTCCCAGTAACTTCCTTGTGTTGTGTGTGTTCAACTCACAGAGGTGAACTTTCATTTACACAGAGCAGATTTGAAACACTCTTTTTGTGGAATTTGCAAGTGGAGATTTCAAGCGCTTTGAGGCCAAAGGCAGAAAAGGAAATATCTTCGTATAAAAACTAGACAGAATCATTCTCAGAAACTGCTCTGCGATGTGTGCGTTCAACTCTCAGAGTTTAACTTTTCTTTTCATTCAGCAGTTTGGAAACACTCTGTTTGTAAAGTCTACACGTGGATAATTTGACCACTTAGAGGCCTTCGTTGGAAACGGGTTTTTTTCATGTAAGGCTAGACAGAAGAATTCTCAGTAACTTCCTTGTGTTGTGTGTATTCAACTCACAGAGGTGAACGATCCTTTACACAGAGCAGACTTGTAACACTCTTTTTGTGGAATTTGCAAGTGGAGATTTCAGCCGCTTTGAAGTCAAAGGTAGAAAAGGAAATAACTTCCTATAAAAACTAGACAGAATGATTCTCATAAACTCCTTTGTGATGTGTGCGTTCAACTCACAGAGTTTAACCTTTCTTTTCATAGAGCAGTTAGGAAACACTCTGTTTGTAAAGTCTGCAAGTGGATATTCAGACCCCTTTGAGTCCTTCGTTGGAAACGGGATTTCTTCATATTCTGCTAGACAGAAGAATTCCCAGTAACTTCCTTGTGTTGTGTGTGTTCAACTCACAGAGTTGAACTTTCATTTACACAGAGCAGATTGGAAACACTCTTTTTGTGGAATTTGCAAGTGGAGATTTCAAGCGCTTTGAGGCCAAAGGCAGAAAAGGAAATATCTTTGTATAAAAACTAGACAGAATCATTCTCAGAAACTGCTCTGCGATGTGTGCGTTCAACTCTCAGAGTTTAACTTTTCTTTTCCTTCAGCAGTTTGGAAACACTCTGTTTGTAAAGTCTGCACGTGGATAACTTGACCACTTAGAGGCCTTCGTTGGAAACGGGTTTTTTTCATGTAAGGCTAGACAGAAGAATTCTCAGTAACTTCCTTGTGTTGTGTGTATTCAACTCACAGAGTTGAACGATCCTTTACACAGAGCAGACTTGAAACACTCTTTTTGTGGAATTTGCAAGTGGAGATTTCAGCCGCTTTGAGGTCAATGGTAGAAAAGGAAACTTTCTTCGTATAAAGACTAGACAGAATGATTCTCATAAACTCCTTTGTGATGTGTGCGTTCAACTCACAGAGTTTAACCTTTCTTTTCATAGAGCAGTTAGGAAACACTCTGTTTGTAAAGTCTGCAAGTGGATATTCAGACATCCTTGAGGCCTTCGTTGGAAACGGGATTTCTTCATATTCTGCTAGACAGAAGAATTCCCAGTAACTTCCTTGTGTTGTATGTGTTCAACTCACAGAGTTGAACTTTCATTTACACAGAGCAGATTTGAAACACTCTTTTTGTGGAATTTGCAAATGGAGATTTCAAGCGCTTTGAGGCCAAAGACAGAAAAGGAAATATCTTCGTATAAAAACTAGACAGAATCATTCTCAGTAAACTGCTGCGTGATGTGTGCGTTCAACTCTCAGAGTTTAACTTTTCTTTTCATTCAGCGGTTTGGAAACACTCTGTTTGTAAAGTCTGCACGTGGATATTTTGACCACTTAGAGGCCTTCGTTGGAAACGGGTTTTTTGCATGTAAGGCTAGACAGAAGAATTCCCAGTAACTTCCTTGTGTTGTGTACATTCAACTCACAGAGTTGAACGTTCCCTTAGACAGAGCAGATTTGAAACACTCTTTTTGTGCAATTGGCAAATGGAGATTTCAAGCGCTTTATGTTCAATGGCAGAAAAGGAAATATCTTCGTTTCAAAACTAGACAGAATCATTCCCACAAACTGCGTTGTGATGTGTTCGTTCAACTCACAGAGTTTAACCTTTCTGTTCATAGAGCAGTTAGGAAACACTCTGTTTGTAAAGTCTGTAAGTGGATATTCTGACATCTTCTGGCCTTCGATGGAAACGGGATTTCTTCATATTCTCCTAGACAGAAGATTCTCAGAATCTTCCTTGTGTTGTGTGTATTCAACTCACAGAGTTGAACGATCCTTTACACAGAGCAGACTTGAAACACTCTTTTTGTGGAATTTGCAAGTGGAGATTTCAGCCGCTTTGAGGTCCATGGTAGAAAAGGAAATATCTTCGTATAAAAACTAGACAGAATGATTCTCAGAAAATCTTTTGTGATGTGTGCCTTCAACTCACAGAGTTTAACTTTTCTTCTCATAGAGCAGTTAGGAAACACTCTGTTTGTAAAGTCTGCAAGTGGATATTCAGACCTCTTTGAGGTCTTCGTTGGAAACGGGATTTCTTCATATTATGCTAGACAGAAGAATCCTCAGTAACTTCCTTGTGTTGTGTGTATTCAACTCACAGAGTTGAACGATCCTTTACACAGAGCAGACTTGAAACACTCTTTTTGTGGAATTTGCAAGTGGAGATTTCAGCCGCTTTGAGGTCAATAGTAGAAAAGGAAATATCTTCGTAGAAAAACTAGACAGAATGATTCTCAGAAACTCCTTTGTGATGTGTGCGTTCAACTCACAGAGTTTAACCTTTCTTTCCATAGAGCAGTTAGGAAACACTCTGTTTGTAAAGTCTGCAAGTGGATATTCAGACCTCTTTGAGGCCTTCGTTGGAAACGGGTTTTTTCCATATAAGGCTAGACAGAAGAATTCCCAGTAACTTCCTTGTGTTGTGTGTGTTCCACTCACAGAGTTGAACTTTCGTTTACACAGAGCAGATTTGAAACACTCTTTTTGTGGAATTTGCAAATGGAGATTTCAAGCGCTTTGAGGCCAAAAGCAGAAAAGGAAATATCTTCGTATAAAAACTAGACAGAATCATTCTCAGAAACTGCTGCGTGATGTGTGCGTTCAACTCTCAGAGTTTAACTTTTCTTTTCATTCAGCGATTTGGAAAAACTCTGTTTGTAAAGACTGCACGTGGATATTTTGACCACTTAGAGGCCTTCGTTGGAAACGGGTTTTTTTTCATGTAAGGCTAGACAGAAGAATTCTCAGTAACTTCCTTGTGTTGTGTGTATTCAACTCACAGAGTTGAACGATCCTTTAAACAGAGCAGACTTGAAACACTCTTTTTGTGGAATTTGCAATTGGAGATTTCAGCCGCTTTGAGGTCAATAGTAGAAAAGGAAATATCTTCGTAGAAAAACTAGACAGAATGATTCTCAGAAACTCCTTTGAAATGTGTGCGTTCAACTCACAGAGTTTAACCTTTCTTTTCATAGAGCAGTTAGGAAACACTCTGTTTGTAAAGTCTGCAAGTGGATATTCAGACCTCCTTGAGGCCTTCGTTGGAAACGGGATTTCTTCATATTATGCTAGACAGAAGAATTCCCAGTAACTTCCTTGTGTTGTGTGTGTTCAACTCACAGAGTTGAACTTTCACTTACACAGAGCAGATTTGAAACACTCTTTTTGTGGAATTTGCAAATGGAGATTTCAAGCGCTTTGAGGCCAAAGGCAGAAAAGGAAATATCTTCGTATAAAAACTAGACAGAATCATTCTCAGAAACTGCTCTGTGATATGTCCGTTCAACTCTCAGAGTTTAACTTTTCTTTTCATTCAGCAGTTTGGAAACACTCTGTTTGTAAAGTCTGCACGTGGATAATTTGACCACTTAGAGGCCTTCGTTGGAAACGGGTTTTTTTCATGTAAGGCTAGACAGAATAATTCTCAGTAACTTCCTTGTGTTGTGTGTATTCAACTCACAGAGTTGAAGGATCCTTTACAGAGAGCAGGCTTGAAACACTCTTTTTGTCGAATTTGCAAGTGGAGATTTCAGCCGCTTTGAGGTCAATGGTAGAATAGGAAATATCTTTTTATAGAAACTAGACAGAATGATTCTCAGAAACTCCTTTGTGATGTGTGCGTTCAACTCACAGAGTTTAACCTTTCTTTTCATAGAGCAGTTAGGAAACACTCTGTTTCTAAAGTCTGCAAGTGGATATTCAGACCTGTTTGAGGCCTTCGTTGGAAACGGGTTTTTTTCATATAAGGCTAGAGAGAAGAATTCCCAGTAACTTCCTTGTGTTGTGTGTGTTCAACTCACAGAGTTGAACTTTCCTTCACACAGAGCAGATTTGAAACACTCTTTTTGTGGAATTTGCAAGTGGAGATTTCAAGCGCTTTGAGGCCAAAGGCAGAAAAGGAAATATCTTCGTATAAAAACTAGACAGAATTATTCTCAGAAACTGCTCTGCGATGTGTGCGTTCAACTCTCAGAGTTTAACTTTTCTTTTCATTCAGCAGTTTGGAAACACTCTGTTTGTAAAGTCTGCACGTGGATATTTTGACCACTTAGAGGCCTTTGTTGGAAACGGGTTTTTTCCTGTAAGGCTAGACAGAAGAATTCCCAGTAACTTCCTTGTGTTGTGTACATTCAACTCACAGAGTTGAACGTTCCCTTAGACAGAGCAGATTTGAAACACTCTTTTTGTGCAACTGGCAAGTGGAGATTTCAAGCGCTTTAAGGTCAATGGCAGAAAAGGAAATATCTTCGTTTCAAAACTAGACAGAATCATTCCCACAAACTGCGTTGTGATGTGTTCGTTCAACTCACAGAGTTTAACTTTTCTGTTCATAGAGCAGTTAGGAAACACTCTGTTTGTAAAGTCTGTAAGTGGATATTCTGACATCTTGTGGCCTTCGTTGGAAACGGGATTTCTTCATATTCTGCTAGACAGAAGAATTCTCAGAATCTTCCTTGTGTTGTGTGTATTCAACTCACAGAGTTGAACGATGGTTTACAGAGAGCAGATTTGAAACACTCTTTTTGTGGAATTTGCAAGTGGAGATTTCAGCTGCTTTGAGGTCAATGGTAGAAAAGGAAATATCTTCGTATAAAAACTAGACAGAATGATTCTCAGAAACTCCTTTGTGATGTGTGCGTTCAACTCACAGGAGTTTAACCTTTCTTTTCATAGAGCAGTTAGGAAACACTCTGTTTGTAAAGTCTGCAAGTGGATATTCAGACCTCCTTGAGGCCTTCGTTGGAAACGGGATTTCTTCCTATTATGCTAGACAGAAGAATTCTCAGTAACTTCCTTGTGTTGTGTGTATTCAACTCACAGATTTGAACGATCCTTTACACAGAGCAGACTTGAAACACTCTTGTTGTGGAATTTGCAAGTGGAGATTTCAGCCGCTTTGAGGTCAATGGTAGAAAAGGAAATATCTTCCTATAGAAATTAGACAGAATGATTCTCAGAAACTCCTCTGTGATGTGTGCGTTCAACTCACAGAGTTTAACCTTTCTTTTCATAGAGCAGTTAGGAAACACTCTGTTTGTAAAGTCTGCAAGTGGATATTCAGACATCTTTGAGGCTTTCTTTGGAAAAGGGATTTCTTCATATTCTGCTATACAGAAGAATTCTCAGTAACTTCCTTGTGTTGTGTGTATTCAAGTGACAGAGTTGAACTTTCATTTACAGAGAGCAGATTTGAAACACTGTTTTTGTGGAATTTGCAAGTGGAGATTTCAAGCGCTTTGGGGCCAAAGGCAGAAAAGGAAATATCTTCGTATAAAAACTAGACAGAATCATTCTCAGAAACTGCTGCGTGATGTGTGCGTTCAACTCTCAGAGTTTAACTTTTCTTTTCATTCAGCGGTTTGGAAACACTCTGTTTGTAAAGTCTGCACGTGGAAATTGTGACCACTTAGAGGCCTTCGTTGGAAACGGGTTTTTTTCATGTAAGGCTAGACAGAAGAATTCCCAGTAACTTCCTTGTGTTGTGTGCATTCAACTCACAGAGTTGAACGTTCCCTTAGACAGAGCAGATTTGAAACACTCTATTTGTGCAATTTGCAAGTGTAGTTTTCAAGCTCTTTAAGGTCAACGGCAGAAAAGGAAATATCTTGGTTTCAAAACTAGACAGAATCATTCCCACAAACTGCGTTGTGATGTGTTCGTTCAACTCACAGAGTTTAACCTTTCTGTTCATAGAGCAGTTAGGAAACACTCTGTTTGTAAAGTCTGTAAGTGGATATTCAGACATCTTGTGGCCTTCGTTGGAAACGGGATTTCTTCATATTCTGCTAGACAGAAGAATTCTCAGTAACTTCCTTGTGTTGTGTGTATTCAACTCACAGAGTTGAACGATCCTTTACACAGAGGAGACTTGAAACACTCTTTTTGTGGAATTTGCAAGTGGAGATTTCAGCCGCTTTGAGGTCAATGGTAGAAAAGGAAAAATCTTCGTATAGAAACAAGACAGAATGATTCTCAGAAACTCCTTTGAGATGTGTGTGTTCAACTCACAGAGTTTAACCTTTGTTTTCATAGAGGAGTTAGGAAACACTCTGTTTGTAAAGTCTGCAAGTGGATATTCAGACCTCTTTGAGGCCTTCGTTGGAAACGGGTTTTTTTCATATAAGGCTAGACAGAAGAATTCTCAGTAACTTCCTTGTCTTGTGTGTATTCAACTCACAGAGTTGAACGATCCTCTACACAGAGCAGACTTGTAACACTCTTTTTGTGGAATTTGCAAGTGGAGATTTCAGCCGCTTTGAAGTCAAAGGTAGAAAAGGAAATATCTTCCTATAAAAACTAGACAGAATGATTCTCAGAAACTCCTTTGTGATGTGTGCGTTCAACTCACAGAGTTTAACCTTTCTTTTCATAGAGCAGTTAGGAAACACTCTGTTTGTAAAGTCTGCAAGTGGATATTCAGACATCCTTGAGGCTTTCGTTGGAAACGGGATTTCTTCATATTCTGTTAGAAAGAAGAATTCTCAGTAACTTCCTTGTGTTGTGTGTATTCAACTGACAGAGTTGAACTTTCATTTAGAGAGAGCAGATTTGAAACACTGTTTTTGTGGAATTTGCAAGTGGAGATTTCAAGCGCTTTGGGGCCAAAGGCAGAAAAGGAAATATCTCCGTATAAAAACTAGACAGAATCATTCTCAGAAACTGCTCTGTGATGTGTGCGTTCAACTCTCAGAGTTTAACATTTCTTTTCATTCAGCAGTTTGGAAACACTCTGTTTGTAAAGTCTGCACGTGGATAATTTGACCACTTAGAGGCCTTCGTTGGAAACGGGTTTTTTTCATGTAAGGCTAGACAGAAGAATTCTCAGAAACTTCCTTGTGTTGTGTGTATTCAACTCACAGAGTTGAACGATCGTTTACACGGAGCAGACTTGAGACACTCTTTTTGTGGAATTTGCAAGTGGAGATTTCAGCCGCTTTGAGTTCAATGGTAGAATAGGAAATATCTTCATATAAAAACTAGACAGAATGATTCTCAGAAACTCCTTTCTGATGTGTGCGTTCAACTCACAGAGTTTAAACTTTCTTTTCATAGAGCAGTTAGGAAACACTCTGTTTGTAAAGTCTGCAAGTGGATATTCAGACCTCTTTGAGGCCTTCGTTGGAAACGGGATTTCTTCATATTATGCTAGACAGAAGAATTCTCAGAAAATTCCTTGTGTTGTGTGTATTCAACTCACAGAGTTGAACGATCCTTTACAGAGAGCAGACTTGAAACACTCTTTTTGTGGAATTTGCAAGTGGAGATTTCAGCCGCTTTGAGGTCAATGGTAGAATAGGAAATATCTTCCTATAGAAACTTGACAGAATGATTCTCAGAAACTACTTTGTGATGTGTACGTTCAACTCACAGAGTTTAACCTTTGTTTTCATAGAGCAGTTAGGAAACACTCTGTTTGTAAAGTCTGCAAGTGGATATTCAGACCTCTTTGAGGCCTTCGTTGGAAACGGGTTTTTTTCATATAAGGCTAGACAGACGAATTCTCAGTAACTTCCTTGTGTTGTGTGTATTCAACTCACAGAGTTGAACGATCCTTTACACAGAGCAGACTTGAAACACTCTTTTTGTGGAATTTGCAAGTGGAGATTTCAGCCGCTTTGAGGTCAATGGTAGAATAGGAAATATCTTCCTATAGAAACTAGACAGAATGATTCTCAGAAACTCCTTTGTGCTGTGTGCGTTCAACTCACAGAGTTTAACCTTTCTTTTCATAGAGCAGTTAGGAAACTCTCTGTTTGTAAAGTCTGCAAGTGGATATTCAGACATCTTTGAGGCTTTCGTTGGAAACGGGATTTCTTCATATTCTGCTAGACAGAAGAATTCTCAGTAACTTTCCTTGTGTTGTGTGTATTCAACTCACAGAGTTGAACGATCCTTTACACAGAGCGGACAGGAAACACTCTTTTTCTGGAATTTGCAAGCGGAGATTTCAGCTGCGTTGAGGTCAATGGTAGAAAAGGAAATATCTTCGTATAAAAACTAGACAGAATGATTCTCAGAAACTCCTTTGTGATGTGTGCGTTCAACTCACAGAGTTTAACCTTTCTTTTCATAGAGCAGTTAGGGAACACTCTGTTTGTAAAGTCTGCAAGTGGATATTCAGACCGCTTTGAGGCCTTCGTTGGAAAGGGGATTTCTTCATATTCTGCTAGACAGAAGAATTCTCAGTAACTTCATTGTGTTGTGTGTATTCAACTCACAGATTTCAACGATCCTTTACACAGAGCAGACTTGAAACACTCTTTTTGTGGAATTTGCAAGTGGAGATTTCAGCCTCTTTGAGGTCAATGGTAGAATAGGAAATATCTTCCTATAGAAACCAGACAGAATGATTCTCATAAACTCCTTTGTGATGTGTGCGTTCAACTCACAGAGTTTAACCTTTCTTTTCATAGAGCAGTTAGGAAACACTCTGTTTGTAAAGTCTGCAAGTGGATATTCAGACCTGCTTGAGGCCTTCTTTGGAAAAGGGATTTCTGCATATTATGCTAGACAGAAGGAATTCTCAGTAACTTCCTTGTGTTGTGTGTATTCAACTGACAGAGTTGAACTTTCATTTAGAGAGAGCAGATTTGAAACACTGTTTTTGTGGAAGTTGCAAGTGGAGATTTCAAGCGCTTTGGGGCCAAAGGCAGAAAAGGAAATATCTTCGTATAAAAACTAGACAGAATGATTCTCACAAACTCCTTTGTGATGTGTGTGTTCAACTCACAGAGTTTAACCTTTCTTTTCATAGAGCAGTTAGTAAACACTCTGTTTATAAAGTCTGCAAGTGGATATTCAGACCTCCTTGAGGCCTTCGTTGGAAACGGGATTTCTTCATATTATGCTAGACAGAAGAATTCCCAGTAACTTCCTTGTGTTGTGTGCATTCAACTCACAGAGTTGAACGTTCCCTTAGACAGAGCAGATTTGAAACACTCTATTTGTGCAATTTGCAAGTGTAGTTTTCAAGCTCTTTAAGGTCAACGGCAGAAAAGGAAATATCTTCGTTTCAAAACTAGACAGAATGATTCTCAGAAACTCCTTTGTGATGTGTGCGTTCAACTCACAGAGTTTAACCTTTCTTTTCATAGAGCAGTTAGGAAACACTCTGTTTGTAAAGTCTGCAAATGGATATTCCGACCTCCTTGAGGGCTTCGTTGGAAACGGGATTTCTTCATATTCTGCTATACAGAAGAATTCTCAGAAACTTCATTGTGTTGTGTGTTTTCAACTCACAGAGTTCAACGATCCTTTACACAGAGTAGATTTGAAACACTCTTTTTGTGGAATTGGCAGGGTGGAGATTTCAGCCGCTTTGCGGTCAATGGTAGAAAAGGAAATATCTTCGTATAAAAACTAGACAGAATGATTCTCAGAAACTCCTTTGTGATGTGTGCGTTCAACTCACAGAGTTTAACCTTTCTTTTCATAGAGCAGTTGGGAAACACTCTGTTTGTAAAGTCTGCAAGTGGATATTCAGACATCCTTGAGGCTTTCGTTGGAAATGGGATTTCTTCATATTCTGCTAGAAAGAATAATTCTCAGTAACTTCCTTTTGTTGTGTGTATTCAACTCACAGAGCTGAACGATCCTTTACAGAGAGCAGACTTTAAACACTCTTTTTGTGGAATTTGCAAGTGGAGATTTCAGCCGCTTTGAGGTCAATGTTAGAATAGGAAATAACTTCCTATAGAAACTAGACAGAATGATTCTCAGAAACTCCTTTGTGATGTGTGCGTTCAACTCACAGAGTTTAACTTTTCTTTTCATAGAGCAGTTAGGAAACACTGTGTTTGTAAAGTCTGCAAGTGGATATTCAGACCTCTTTGAGGCCTTCGTTGGAAACGGGATTTCTTCATATTATGCTAGACAGAAGAATTCTCAGTAAATTCCTTGTGTTGTGTGTATTCAACTCACAGAGTTGAACGATCCTTTACACAGAGCAGACTTGAAACACTCTTTTTGTGGAATTTGCAAGTGGAGATTTCAGCCGCTTTGAGGTCAATGGTAGAATAGGAAATATCTTCCTATAGAAAATAGACAGAATGATTCTCAGAAACTCCTTTGTGATGTGTGTGTTCAACTCACAGAGTTTAACCTTTCTTTTCATAGAGCAGTTAAGAAACACTCTGTTTGTAAAGTCTGCAAGTGGATATTCAGACCTCCTTGAGGCCTTCGTTGGAAACGGGATTTCTTCATATTCTGCTAGACAGAAGAATTCCCAGTAACTTCCTTGTGTTGTGTGTGTTCAACTCACAGAGTTGAACTTTCATTTACACAGAGCAGATTTGAAACACTCTTTTTGTGGAATTTGCAAGTGGGGATTTCAAGCGCTGTGAGGCCAAAGGCAGAAAAGGAAATATCTTCTTATAAAAACTAGACAGAATCATTCTCAGAAACTGCTGCGTGATGTGTGCGTTCAACTCTCAGAGTTTAACTTTTCTTTTCATTCAGCGGTTTGGAAACACTCTGTTTGTAAAGTCTGCACGTGGAAATTTTGACCACTTAGAGGCCTTCGTTGGAAACGGGATTTTTTCATGTAAGGCTAGACAGAAGAATTCCCAGTAACTTCCTTGTGTTGTGTGCATTCAACTCACAGAGTTGAACGTTCCCTTAGACAGAGCAGATTTGAAACACTCTATTTGTGCAATTTGCAAGTGTAGTTTTCAAGCTCTTTAAGGTCAACGGCAGAAAAGGAAATATCTTCGTTTCAAAACTAGACAGAATCATTCCCACAAACTGCGTTGTGATGTGTTCGTTCAACTCACAGAGTTTAACCTTTCTGTTCATAGAGCAGTTAGGAAACACTCTGTTTGTAAAGTCTGTAAGTGGATATTCTGACATCTTGTGGCCTTCGTTGGAAACGGGATTTGTTCATATTCTGCTAGACAGAAGAAGTCTCAGTAACTTCCTTGTGTTTTGTGTATTCAACTCACAGAGTTGAACGATCCTTTACACAGAGCAGACTTGAAACACTCTTTTTGTGGAATTTGCAACTGGAGATTTCAGCCGCTTTGAGGTCAATGGTAGAATAGGAAATATCTTCCTATAGAAACTAGACAGAATGATTCTCAGAAACTCCTTTGTGATGTGTGCGTTCAACTCACAGAGTTTAACCTTTCTTTTCATAGAGCAGTTAGGAAACACTCTGTTTGTAAAGTCTGCAAGTGGATATTTAGACATCTTTGTGGATTTCGTTGGAAACGGGATTTCTTCATATTCTGCTATACAGAAGAATTCTCAGAAACTTCCTTGTGTTGTGTGTATTCAACTCACAGAGTTCAACGATAGTTTACACAGAGCAGACTTGAAACACTCTTTTTGTGTAATTTGCAAGTGGAGATTTCAGCCGCTTCGAGGTCAATGGTAGAAAAGGAAATATCTTCGTATAAAAACTAGACAGAATCATTCTCAGAAACTGCTCTGCGATGTGTGCGTTCAACTCTCAGAGTTTAACATTTCTTTTCATTTAGCAGTTTGGAAACACTCTGTTTGCAAAGTCTGCACGTGGATAATTTGACCACTTAGAGGCCTTCGTTGGAAACGGGTTTTTTTCATGTAAGGCTAGACAGAAGAATTCCCAGTAACTTCCTTGTTTTGTGTACATTCAACTCACAGAGTTGAACGTTCCCTTAGACAGAGCAGATTTGAAACACTCTTTTTGTGCAATTGGCAAATGGAGATTTCAAGCGCTTTAAGGTCAATGGCAGAAAAGGAAATATCTTCGTTTCAAAACTAGACAGAATCATTCCCACAAACTGCGTTGTGATGTGTTCGTTCAACTCACAGAGTTTAACCTTTCTGTTCATAGAGCAGTTAGGAAACACTCTGTTTGTAAAGTCTGTAAGTGGATATTCTGACATCTTGTGGCCTTCGTTGGAAACGGGATTTCTTCCTATTCTGCTAGACAGAAGAATTCTCAGTAACTTCCCTGTGTTGTGTGTATTCAACTCACAGAGTTGAACGATCCTTTACAGAGAGCAGACTTGAAACACTCTTTTTGTGGAATTTGCAAGTGGAGATTTCAGCCGCTTTGAGGTCAATGGTAGAATAGGAAATATCTTCCCATAGAAACTAGACAGAATGATTCCCACAAAATCCTTTGTGATGTGTGCGTTCAACTCACAGAGTTTAACCTTTCTTTTCATAGAGCAGTTAGTAAACACTCTGTTTATAAAGTCTGCAAGTGGATATTCAGACCCCTTTGAGGCCTTCGTTGGAAACGGGATTTCTTCATATTATGCTAGACAGAAGAATTCTCAGTAACTTCCTTCTGTTGTATGTATTCAACTGACAGAGTTGAACTTTCATTTAGAGAGAGCAGATTTGAAACACTGTTTTTGTGGAATTTGCAAGTGGAGATTTCAAGCGCTTCGGGGCCAAAGGCAGAAAAGGAAATATCTTCGTATAAAAACTAGACAGAGAATCATTCTCAGAAACTGCTCTGCGATGTGTGCGTTCAACTCTCAGAGTTTAACTTTTCTTTTCATTCAGCAGTTTGGAAACACTCTGGTTGTAAAGTCTGCACGTGGATAACTTGACCACTTAGAGGCCTTCGTTGGAAACGGGTTTTTTTCCTGTAAGGCTAGACAGAAGAATTCCCAGTAACTTCCTTGTGTTGTGTGCATTCAACTCACAGAGTTGAACGTTCCCTTAGACAGAGCAGATTTGAAACACTCTATTTGTGCAATTTGCAAGTGTAGATTTCAAGCGCTTTAAGGTCAATGGCAGAAAAGGAAATATCATCGTTTCAAAACTAGACAGAATCATTGCCACAAACTGCGTTGTGATGTGTTCGTTCAACTCACAGAGTTTAACCTTTCTGTTCATAGAGCAGTTAGGAAACACTCTGTTTGTAAAGTCTGTAAGTGGATATTCTGACATCTTGTAGCCTTCTTTGGAAACGGGATTTCTTCATATTCTGCTAGACAGAAGAATTCTCAGTAACTTCCTTGTGTTGTGTGTATTCAACTCACAGAGTTGAACGATCCTTTACACAGAGCAGACTTGAAACACTCTTTGTGTGGAATTTGCAAGTGGAGATTTCAGCCGCTTTGAGGTCAATGGTAGAATAGGAAATATCTTCGTATAAAGACTAGACAGAATGATTCTCAGAAACTCCTTTGTGATGTGTGCGTTCAACTCACAGAGTTTAACTTTTCTTTTCATAGAGCAGTTAGGAAACACTCTTTTTGCAAAGTCTGCAAGTGGATATTCAGACCTCTTTGAGGCCTTCGTTGGAAACGGGATTTCTTCATATTATGCTAGACAGAAGAATTCCCAGTAACTTCCTTGTGTTGTGTGTGTTCAACTCACAGAGTTGAACTTTCATTTACACAGAGCAGATTTGAAACACTCTTTTTGTGGAATTTGCAAGTGGAGATTTCCAGCGCTTTGAGGCCAAAGGCAGAAAAGGAAATATCTTCGTTTCAAAACTAGACAGAATCATTCTCAGAAACTGCTGCGTGATGTGTGCGTTCAACTCTCAGAGTTTAACTTTTCTTTTCATTCAGCGGTTTGGAAACACTCTGTTTGTAAAGTATGCACGTGGATATTTTGACCACTTAGAGGCCTTCGTTGGAAACGGGTTTTTTGCATGTAAGGCTAGACAGAAGAATTCCCAGTAACTTCCTTGTGTTGTGTGTGTTCAACTCACAGAGTTGAACGTTCCCTTAGACAGAGCAGATTTGAAACACTCTATTTGTGCAATTGGCAAGTGGTGATTTCAGCCGCTTTGGGGTCAATGGTAGAAAAGGAAATATCTTCGAATAAAAACTAGACAGAATCATTCCCACAAACTGCGTTGTGATGTGTTCGTTCAACTCACAGAGTTTAACCTTTGTGTTCATAGAGCAGTTAGGAAACACTCTGTTTGTCAAGTCTGTAAGTGGATATTCTGACATCTTGTGGCCTTCGTTGGAAACGGGATTTCTTCATATTCTGCTAGACAGAAGAATTCTCAGTAACTTCCTTGTGTTGTGTGTATTCAACTCACAGAGTTGAATGATCCTTTACACAGAGCAGACTTGAAACACTCTTTTTGTGGAATTTGGAAGTGGAGATTTCAGCCGCTTTGAGTTCAATGGTAGAATAGGAAATATCTTCCTATAGAAACTAGACAGAAATGATTCTCAGAAACTCCTTTGTGATGTGTGCGTTCAACTCACAGAGTTTAACCTTTGTTTTCATAGAGCAGTTAGGAAACACTCTGTTTGTAAAGTCTGCAAGTGGATATTCAGACCTCCTTGAGGCCTTCGTTGGAAACGGGATTTCTTCATATTATGCTAGACAGAAGAACTCCCAGTAACTTCCTTGTGTTGTGTGTGTTCAACTCACAGAGTTGAACTTTCATTTACACAGAGCAGATTTGAAACACTCTTTTTGTGGAATTTGCAAGTGGAGATTTCAAGCGCGTTGAGGCCAAAGGCAGAAAAGGAAATATCTTCGTTTAAAAACTAGACAGAATGATTCTCAGAAACTCCTTTGTGATGTGTGCGTTGAACTCACAGAGTTTAACCTTTCTTTTCATGGAGCAGTTAGGAAACACTCTGTTTGTAAAGTCTGCACGTGGATACTTGGACTTCTTTGAGGCCTTCGTTGGAAACGGGTTTTTTTCATGTAAGGTTAAACAGAAGAATTCCCAGTAACTTCCTTGTGTTGTGTGCATTCAACTCACAGAGTTGAACGTACCTTAGACAGAGCAGATTTGAAACACTCTATTTGTGCAATTTGCAAGTGTAGATTTCAAGCGCTTTAAGGTCAATGGCAGAAAAGGAAATATCTTCGTTTCAAAACTAGACAGAATGATTCTCAGAAACTTCATTGTGACGTGTGCTTTCAACTCACAGAGTTTAACCTTTCTTTTCATAGAGGAGTTAGGAAACACTCTGTTTGTAAAGTCTGCAAGTGGATATTCAGACCTCTTTGAGGCCTTCGTTGGAAACGGGATTTCTTCATACTGTGCTAGACAGAAGAATTCTCAGTAACTTCCTTGTGTTGTGTGTATTCAACTCACAGAGTTGAACGATCCTTTACACAGAGCGGACTTTAAACACACTTTTTGTGGAATTTGCAAGTGGAGATTTCAGCCGCATTGAGGTCAATGGTAGAAAAGGAAATATCTTCGTATAAAAACTAGACAGAATGATTCTCAGAAACTTCTTTGTGATGTGTGCGTTCAACTCACAGAGTTTAACCTTTCTTTTCATAGAGCAGTTAGGAAACACTCCGTTTGTAAAGTCTGCAAGTGGATATTCAGACCTCTTTGAGGCCTTCGTTGGAAACGGGATTTCTTCATACTATGCTAGACAGAAGAATTCCCAGTAACTTCCTTGTGTTGTGTGTGTTCAACTCACAGAGTTGAACTTTCATTTACACAGAGCAGATTTGAAACACTCTTTTTGTGGAATTTGTAAATGGAGATTTCAAGCGCTTTGAGGCCAAAGGCAGAAAAGGAAATATCTTCGTATAAAAACTAGACAGAATCATTCTCAGAAACTGCTCTGTGATGTGTGCGTTCAACTCTCAGAGTTTAACTTTTCTTTTCATTCAGCAGTTTGGAAACACTCTGTTTGTAAAGTCTCCACGTGGATATTTGGACTTGTTTGAGGCCTTCGTTGGAAAAGTGTTTTTTTCATGTAAGGCTAGACAGTAGAATTCCCAGTAACTTCCTTGCGTTGTGTACATTCAACTCACAGAGTTGAACGTTCCCTTAGACAGAGCAGATTTGAAACACTCTTTTTGTGCAATTGGCAAGTGGAGATTTCAAGCGCTTTAAGGTCAATGGCAGAAAAGGAAATATCTTCGTTTCAAAACTAGACAGAATCATTCCCACAAACTGCGTTGTGATGTGTTCGCTCAACTCACAGAGTTTAACCTTTCTGTTCATAGAGCAGTTAGGAAACACTCTGTTTGTAAAGTCTGTAAGTGGATATTCTGACATCTTGTGGCCTTCGTTGGAAACGGGATTTCTTCCTATTCTGCTAGACAGAAGAATTCTCAGTAACTTCCTTGTGTTGTGAGTATTCAACTCACAGAGTTGAACGATCCTTTACACAGAGCGGACTTGAAACACTCGTTTTGTGGAATTTGCAAGTGGAGATTTCAGCCGCTTTGAGGTCAATGGTAGAAAAGGAAATATCTTCGTATAAAAACTAGACAGAATTATTCTCAGAAACTCCTTTGTGATGTGTGCGTTCAACTCACAGAGTTCAACCTTTCTTTTCATAGAGCAGTTGGGAAACACTCTGTTTGTAAAGTCTGCAAGTGGATATTCAGACTTCTTTGAGGCCTTCGTTGGAAGCGGGATTTCTTCATATTCTGCTAGACAGAGTAATTCTCAGTAACTTCCTTGTGTTGTGTGTATTCAACTGACAGAGTTGAACTTTCATTTAGAGAGAGCAGATTTGAAACACTGTTTTTGTGGAATTTGCAAGTGGAGATTTCAAGCGCTTTCGGGCCAAAGGCAGAAAAGGAAATATCTTCGTATAAAAACTAGACAGAATCATTCTCAGAAACTGCTCTGCGATGTGTGCGTTCAACTCTCAGAGTTCAACTTTTCTTTTCATTCAGCAGTTTGGAAACACTCTGTTTGTAAAGTCTGCACGTGGATAATTTGACCACTTAGAGACCTTCGTTGGAAACGGGTTTTTTTCATGTAAGGCTAGACAGAAGAATTCCCACTAACTTCCTTGTGTTGTGTGCATTCAACTCACAGAGTTGAACGTTCCCTTAGACAGAGCAGATTTGAAACAGCCTATTTGTGCAATTTGCAAGTGTAGATTTCAAGCGCTTTAAGGTCAACGGCTGAAAAGGAAATATCTTCCTTTCAAAACTAGACAGAATCATTCCCACAAACTGCGTTGTGATGTCTTCGTTCAACTCACAGAGTTTAACCTTTCTTTTCATAGAGCAGTTAGGAAACAGTCTGTTTGTAAATTCTGTAAGTGGATATTCTGACATCTTGTGGCCTTCGTTGGAAACGGGATTTCTTCATATTCTGCTAGACAGAAGAATTCTCAGTAACTTCCTTGTGTTGTGTGTATTCAACTCACAGAGTTGAACTATCCTTTACACAGAGCAGACTTGAACCAAACTTTTTGTGGAATTTGCAAGTGGAGATTTCAGCCGCTTTGAGGTCAATGGTAGAATAGGAATTATCTTCCTATAGAAACTAGACAGAATGATTCTCAGAAACTCCTTTGTGATGTGTGCGTTCAACTCATAGAGTTTATCCTTTCTTTTCATAGAGCAGTTAGGAAACACTCTGTTTGTAAAGTCTGCAAGTGGATATTCAGACATCCTTGAGGCTTTCGTTGGAAACGGGATTTCTTCATATTCTGCTAGAAAGAAGAATTCTCAGCAACTTCCTTGTGTTGTGTGTATTCAACTCACAGAGTTGAACGATCCTTTACACAGAGCAGACTTGAAACACTCTTTTTGTGGAATTTGCAAGTGGAGATTTCAGCCGCTTTGAGGTCAATGGTAGAATAGGAAATATCTTCCTAAAGAAACTAGACAGAATGATTCTCAGAAACTCCTTTGTGATGTGTGCGTTCAACTCACAGAGTTTAACCTTTCTTTTCATAGAGCAGTTAGGAAACACTCTGTTTGTAAAGTCTGCAAGTGGATATTCAGACCTCCTTGAGGCCTTCGTTGGAAACGGGATTTCTTCATATTCTGCTAGAAAAAAGAATTCTCAGTAACTTCCTTGTGTTGTGTTTATTCAAATCACAGAGTTGAATGATCCTTTACACAGAGCAGACTTGAAACACTCTTTTTGTGGAATTTGCAAGTGGAGATTTCAGCCGCTTTGTGGTCAATGGTAGAAAAGGAAATATCTTCGTATAAAGACTAGACAGAATGATTCTCAGAAACTCCTTTGTGATGTGTGCGTTCAACTCACAGTGTTTAACCTTTCTTTTCATAGAGCAGTTGGGAAACACTCTGTTTGTAAAGTCTGCAAGTGGATATTCAAACTTCTTTGAGGCCTTCGTTGGAAGCGGGATTTCTTCATATTCTGCTAGACGGAAGAATTCTCAGTAACTTCCTTGTGTTGTGTGTATTCAACTCTCAGAGTTGAACGATCCTTTACAGAGAGCAGACTTGAAACACTCTTTTTGTGGAATTTGCAAGTGGAGATTTCAGCCGCTTTGAGGTCAATGGTAGAATAGGAAATATCTTCCTATAGAAACTAGACAGAATGATTCTCAGAAACTCCTTTGTGATGTGTGCGTTCAACTCACAGAGTTTACCCTTTCTTTTCATAGAGCAGTTGGGAAACACTCTGTTTGTAAAGTCTGCAAGTGGATATTCAGACCTCCTTGAGGCTTTCGTTGGAAACGGGATTTCTTCATATTCTGCTAGAAAGAATAATTCTCAGTAACTTCCTTGTGTTGTGTGTATTCAACTCACAGAGTTGAACGATCCTTTACAGAGAGCAGACTTGAAACACTCTTTTTGTTGAATTTGCAAGTGGAGATTTCAGCCGCTTTGAGGTCAATGGTAGAAAAGGAAACTATCTTCGTATAAAGACTAGACAGAATGATTCTCAGAAACTCCTTTGTGATGTGTGCGTTCAACTCACAGAGTTTAACCTTTCTTTTCATAGAGCAGTTGGGAAACACTCTGTTTGTAAAGTCTGCAAGTGGATATTCAGACATTCTTGAGGCTTTCGTTGGAAACGGGATTTCTTCATATTCTGCTAGAAAGAAGAATTATCAGTAACTTCCTTGTGTTGTGTGTATTCAACTCACAGAGTTGAACGATCCTTTACACAGAGCAGTCTTGAAACACTCTTGTTGTGGAATTTGCAAGTGGAGATTTCAGCCGCTTTGAGGTCAATGGTAGAAAAGGAAATATCTTCGTATAAAAACTAGACAGAATGATTCTCAGAAACTCCTTTGTGATGTGTGCAGTTCAACACACAGAGTTTAACCTTTCTTTTCATAGAGCAGTTAGGGAACACTCTGTTTGTAAAGTCTGCAAGTGGATATTCAGACCTCTTTGAGGCCGTCGTTGGAAACGGGATTTCTTCATATTATGCTAGACAGAAGAATTCTCAGTAACTTCCTTGTGTTGTGCGTATTCAACTCACAGAGTTGAACGATCCTTTACACAGAGCAGACTTGAAACACTCTTTTTGCGGAATTTGCAACTGGAGATTTCAGCCGCTTTGAGGTCAATGGTAGAATAGGAAATATCTTCCTATAGAAATTAGACAGAATGATTCTCAGAAACTCGTTTGTGATGTGTGCGTTCAACTCACAGAGTTTAACCTTTCTTTTCATAGAGCAGTTAGGAAACACTCTGTTTGTAAAGTCTGCAAGTGGATATTCAGTCCTCTTTGAGGCCTTCGTTGGAAACGGGGTTTTTTCATATAAGGCTAGACAGAAGAATTCTCAGTAACTTTCCTTGTGTTGTGTGTATTCAACTCACACAGTTGAACGATCCTTTACACAGAGCAGACTTGTAACACTCTTTTTGTGGAATTTGAAAGTGGAGATTTCAGCCGCTTTGAAGTCAAAGGTAGAAAAGGAAATATCTTCCTATAAAAACTAGACAGAATGATTCTCAGAAACTCCTTTGTGATGTGTGTGTTCAACGCACAGAGTTTAACCTTTCTTTTCATAGAGCAGTTAGTAAACACTCTGTTTATAAAGTCTGCAAGTGGATATTCAGACCCCTTTGAGGCCTTCGTTGGAAACGGGATTTCTTCATATTATGCTAGACAGAAGAATTCTCAGTAACTTCCTCGTGTTGTGTGTATTCAACTCACAGAGTTGAATGATCCTTTACACAGAGCAGACTTGAAACACTCTTTTTGTGGAATTTGCAAATGGAGATTTCAGCCGCTTTGAGGTCAATGGTTGAAAAGGAAATATCTTCAAATAAAAACTAGACAGAATGATTCTCAGAAACTCCTTTGTGATGTGTGCGTTCAACTCACAGAGTTTAACCTTTCTTTTCATAGAGCAGTTAGGAAACACTCTGCTTGTAAAGTCTGCAAGTGGATATTCAGCCCTCTTTGAGGCCTTCGTTGGAAACGGGTTTTTTTCATATAAGGCTAGACGAGAAGAATTCCCAGTAACTTCCCTTGTGTTGTGTGTGTTCAACTCACAGAGTTGAACTTTCATTTACACAGAGCAGATTTGAAACACTCTTTTTGTGGAATTTGCAAGTGGAGATTTCAAGCGCTTTGAGGCCAAAGGCAGAAAAGGAAATATCTTCGTATAAAAACTTGACAGAATCATTCTCAGAAACTGCTCTGCGATGTGTGCGTTCAACTCTCAGAGTTTAACTTTTCTTTTCATTCAGCAGTTTGGAAACACTCTGTTTGTAACGTCTACACGTGAATAATTTGACCACTTAGAGGCCTTCGTTGGAAACGGGTTTCTTTCATGTAAGGCTAGACAGAAGAATTCCCAGTAACTTCCTTGTGTTGTGTGCATTCAACTCACAGAGTTGAACGTTCCCTAGACGGAGCAGATTTGAAACACTCTATTTGTGCAATTTGCAAGTGTAGATTTCAAGCGCTTTAAGGTCAATGGCAGAAAAGGGAATATCTTCGTTTCAAAACTAGACAGAATGATTCTCAGAAACTCCTTTGTGATGTGTGCGTTCAACTCACAGAGTTTAACCTTTCTGTTCATAGAGCTGTTAGGAAACACTCTGTTTGTAAAGTCTGCAAGTGGATATTCAGATCTCCTTGAGGCCTTCGTTGGAAACGGGATTTCTTCATATTCTGCTAGACAGAAGAATTCTCAGTAACTTCCTTGTGTTGTGTGTATTCAACTCACAGAGTTGAATGATCCTTTACACAGAACAGTCTTGAAACACTCTTTTTCTGGAATTTGCAAGTGGAGATTTCAGCCGCTTTGAGGTCAATGGTAGAATAGGAAATATCTTCCTATAGAAACTAGACAGAATGATTCTCAGAAACTCCTTTGTGATGTGTGCGTTCAACTCACAGAGTTTAACCTTTCTTTTCATAGAGCAGTTAGGAAACAATCTGTTTGTAAAGTCTGCAAGTGGATATTCAGACATCTTTGAGGCTTTCGTTGGAAACGGGATTTCTTCATATTCTGCTAGACAGCAGAATTCTCAGTAACTTCCTTGTGTTGTGTGTATTCAACTCACAGAGTTGAACGAACCTTTACACAGAGCAGACTTGAAACACTCTTTTTGTGGAATTTGCAAGGGGAGATTTCAGCCGCTTTGAGGTCAATAGTAGAAAAGGAAATATCTTCATATAGAAACTAGACATAATGATTCTCAGAAACTCCTTTGTGATGTGTGCGTTCAACTCACAGAGTTTAACCTTTCTTTTCATAGAGCAGTTAGGAAACACTCTGTTTGTAAAGTCTGCAAGTGGATATTCAGACCTCCTTGGGGCCTTCGTTGGAAACGGGATTTCTTCATATTATGCTAGACAGAAGAATTCTCAGTAACTTCCTTGTGTTGTGTGTATTCAACTCACAGAGTTGAACGATCCTTTACACAGAGCCGACTTGAAACACTCTTTTTGTGGAATTTGCAAGTGGAGATTTCAGCCGCTTTGAGGTCAATGGTAGAAAAGGAAATATCTTCGTATAAAGACTAGACAGAATGATTCTCAGAAACTCCTTTGTGATGTGTGCGTTCAACTCACAGAGTTTAACCTTTCTTTTCATAGAGCAGTTAGGAAACACTCTGTTTGTAAAGTCTGCAAGTGGATATTCAGACCTCCTTGAGGCCTTCCATGGAAGCGGGATTTCTTCATGTTCAGCTAGACAGAAGAATTCTCAGTAACTTCCTTGTGTTGTGTGTATTCAACTCACAGAGTTGAACGATCCTTTACACAGAGCAGACTTGAAACACTCTTTGTGGAATTTGCAATTGGAGATTTCAGCCGCGTTGAGGTCAATGGTAGAAAAGGAAATATCTTCGTATAAAAACTAGACAGAATGATTCTCAGAAACTCCTTTGTGATGTGTGTGTTCAACTCACAGAGTTTAACCTTTCTTTTCATAGAGCAGTTAGGAAACACTCTGTTTGTAAAGTCTGCAAGTGGATATTCAGACCTCCTAGAGGCCTTCGTTGGAAACGGGATTTCTTCATATTCTGCTAGTCAGAAGAATTCTCAGTAACTTCCTTGTGTTGTGTGTATTCAACTCACAGAGTTGAATGATCCTTGACACAGAGCAGACTTGAAACACTCTTTTTGTGGAATTTGCAAGTGGAGATTTCAGCCGCTTTGAGGTCAATGGTAGAAAAGGAAATATCTTCATATAAAAATTAGACAGAAGGATTCTCAGAAACTCCTTTGTGATGTGTGCGTTCAACTCACAGAGTTTAACCTTTCTTTTAATAGAGCAGTTAGGAAACACTCTGTTTGTAAAGTCTGCAAGTGGATATTCAGACCTCTTTGAGGCCTTCGTTGGAAACGGGTTTTTTTCATATAAGGCTGGACAGAAGAATTCCCAGTAACTTCCTTGTGTTGTGTGCATTCAACTCACAGAGTTGAACGTTCCCTTAGACAGAGCAGATTTGAAACACTCTATTTGTGCAATTTGCAAGTGTAGATTTCAAGCACTATAAGGTCAATGGCAGAAAAGGAAATATCTTCGTTTCAAAACTAGACAGAATCATTCCCACAAACTGCGTTGTGATGTGTTCGTTCAACTCACAGAGTTTAACCATTCTATTCATAGAGCAGTTAGGAAACACTCTGTTTGTAAAGTCTGTAAGTGGATATTCTGACATCTTGTGGCCTTCGTTGGAAACGGGATTTCTTCATATTCTGCTAGACAGAAGAATTCTCAGCAACTTCCTTGTGTTGTGTGTATTCAACTCACAGAGTTGAACGATCCTTTACACAGAGCAGAATTGAAACACTGTTTTTGTGGAATTTGCAAGTGGAGATTTCTGCCGCTTTGAGGTCAATGGCAGAAAAGGAAATATCTTCCTATAGAAACTAGACAGAATGATTCTCAGAAACTCCTTTGTGATGTGTGCGTTCAACTCACAGAGTTTAACCTTTCTTTTCATAGAGCAGTTAGGAAACACTCTGTTTGTAAAGTCTGCAAGTGGATATTTAGACCTCTCTGAGGCCTTCGTTGGAAACGGGATTTCTTCATATTCTGCTAGACAGAAGAATTCCCAGTAACTTCCTTGTGTTGTGTGTGTTCAACTCACAGAGTTGAAATTTCATTTAAACAGAGCAGATTTGAAACACTCTTTTTGTGGAATTTGCAAGTGGAGATTTCAAGCGCTTTGAGGCCAAAGGCAGAAAAGGAAATATCTTCCTATAAAAACTAGACAGAATCATGATCAGAAACTGCTCTGCGATGTGTGCGTTCAACTCTCAGAGTTTAACTTTTCTTTTCATTCAGCAGTTTGGAAACACTCTGTTTGTAAAGTCTGCACGTGGATAATTTGACCACTTAGAGGCCTTCGTTGGAAACAGGTTTTTTTCATGTAAGGCTAGACAGAAGAATTCCCAGTAACTTCCTTGTGTTGCGTACATTCAACTCACAAAGTTGAACGTTCCCTTAGACAGAGCAGATTTGAAACACTCTTTTTGTGCAATTGGCAAGTGGAGATTTCAAGCGCTTTAAGGTCAATGGCAGAAAAGGAAATATCTTCGTTTCAAAACTAGACAGAATCATTCCCACAAACTGCGTTGTGATGTGTTCGTTCAACTCACAGAGTTTAAACTTTCTTTTCATAGAGCAGTTAGGAAACAGTCTGTTTGTAAATTCTGTACGTGGATATTCTGACATCTTGTGGCCTTCGTTGGAAACGGGATTTCTTCATATTCTGCTAGACAGAAGAATTCTCAGTAACTTCCTTGTGTTGTGTGTATTCAACTCACAGAGTTGAACGATCGTTTACACAGAGCAGACTTGAAACACTCTTTTTGTGGAATTTGCAAGTGGAGATTTCAGCCGCTTTGAGGTCAATGGTAGAAAAGGAATTATCTTCGTATAAAAACTAGACAGAATGGTTCTCAGAAACTCCTTTGTGATGTGTGCGTTTAACTCACAGAGTTTAACCTTTCTTTTCATAGAGCAGTTAGGAAACACTCTGTTTGTAAAGTCTACAAGTGGATATTCAGACCTCTTTGAGGCCTTCGTTGGAAACGGGTTTTTTTCATATAAGGCTAGACAGAAGAATTCTCAGTAACTTCCTTGTGTTGTGTGTATTCAACTCACAGAGTTGAACGATCCTTTACACAGAGCAGACTTGAAACACTCTTTTTGTGGAATTTGCAAGTGGAGATTTCAGCCGCTTTGAGGTCAATGGTAGAAAAGTAAATATCTTCGTATAAAAACTAGACAGAATGATTCTCAGAAACTCCTTTGTGATGTGTGCGTTCAACTCACAGAGTTTAACCATTCTTTTCATAGAGCAGTTAGGAAACACTCTGTTTGTAAAGTCTGCAAGTGGATATTCAGACCTCCTTGAGGCCTTCGTTGGAAACGGGATTTCTTCCTATTATGCTAGACAGAAGAATTCTCAGTAACTTCCTTGTGTTGTGTGTATTCAACTCACAGAGTTGAACGATCCTTTACACAGAGCAGAGTTGAAACACTCTTTTTGTGGAATTTGCAAGTGGAGATTTCAGCCGCTTTGAGGTCAATAGCAGAAAAGGAAATATCTTCGTAGAAAAACTAGACAGAATGATTCTCAGAAACTCCTTTGTGATGTGTGCGTTCAACTCAAAGAGTTTAACCTTTCTTTTCGTAGAGCAGTTAGGAAACACTCTCTTTGTAAAGTCTGCAAGTGGATATTCAGACCTCTTTGAGGCCTACGTTGGAAACGGGATTTCTTCATATTATGATAGACAGAAGAATTCTCAGAAACTTCCTTGTGTTGTGTGCATTCAACTCACAGAGTTGAACGATCCTTTACACAGAGCAGATTAGAAACATTCTTTTTGTGGAATTTGCAAGCGGAGATTTCAGCCGCTTTGAGGTCCATGGTAGAAAAGGAAATATCTTCGTATAAAAACTAGACAGAATGATTCTCAGAAACTTCATTGTGATGTGTGCGTTCAACTCACAGAGTTTAACCTTTCTTTTCATAGAGCAGTTAGGAAACACTCTGTTTGTAAACTCTGCAAGTGGATATTCAGACCTCTTTGAGGCCTTCTTTGGAAACGGGATTTCTTCATACTGTGCTAGACAGAAGAATTCTCAGTAACTTCCTTGTGTTGTGTGTATTCACCTCACAGAGTTGAACGATCCTTTACACAGAGCAGACTTGAAACACTCTTTTTGTGGAATTTGCAAGTGGAGATTTCAGCCGCTTTGAGGTCAATGGTAGAATAGGAAATATCTTCCTATAGAAACTAGACAGAACGATTCTCAGAAACTCCTTTGTGATGTGTGCGTTCAACTCACAGAGTTTAACCTTTCTTTTCATAGAGCAGTTAGGAAACACTCTGTTTGTAAAGGCTGCAAGTGGATATTCAGACCTCTTTGAGGCCTTCGTTGGAAACGGGATTTCTTCCTATTCTGCTAGACAGAAGAATTCTCAGTAACTTCCTTGTGTTGTGTGTATTGAACTCACAGAGTTGAACGATCCTTTACACAGAGCAGACTTGAAACACTCTTTTTGTGGAATTTGCAAGTGGAGATTTCAGCCGCTTTGAGGTCAATAGTAGAAAAGGAAATATCTTCGTATAAAGACTAGACAGAATGATTCTGAGAAACTCCTTTGTGATGTGTGCGTTCAACTCACACACTTTAACCTTTCTTTTCATAGAGCAATTAGGAAACACTCTGTTTGTAAAGTCTGCAAGTGGATATTCAGACCTCTTTGAGGCCTTCGTTGGAAGCGGGATTTCTTCATATTCTGCTAGACAGAAGAATTCCCAGTAACTTCCTTGTGTTGTGTGTGTTCAACTCACAGAGTTGAACTTTCATTTACACAGAGCAGATTTGAAACACTCTTTTTGTGGAATTTGCAAATGGAGATTTCAAGCGCTTTGAGGAAAAAGGCAGAAAAGGAAATGTCTTCGTTTCAAAACTAGACAGAATGATTCTCAGAAACTCCTTTGTGATGTGTGCGTTCAACTCACAGAGTTTAACTTTTCTTTTCATAGAGCAGTTAGGAAACACTCTGTTTGTAAAGTCTGCAAGTGGATATTCAGACCTCCTTGAGGCCTTCTTTGGAAACGGGATTTCTTCATATTCTGCTAGACAGAAGAATTCTCACTAACTTCCTTGTGTTGTGTGTATTCAACTCACAGAGTTGAACGATCCTTTACAAAGAGCAGACTTGAAACACTCTTTTTGTAGAATTTGCAAGTGTAGATTTCAGCCGCTTTGAGGTCAATGGTAGAAAAGGAAATATCTTCGTATAAAGACTAGACAGAATGATTCTCAGAAACTCCTTTGTGATGTGTGCGTTCAACTCACAGAGTTTAACTTTTCTTTTCATAGAGCAGTTAGGAAACACTCTGTTTGTAAAGTCTGCAAGTGGATATTCAGACCTCCTTGAGGCCTTCGTTGGAAACAGGATTTCTTCATATTCTGCTAGACGGAAGAATTCTCAGTAAATTCCTTGTGTTGTGTGTATTCAACTCACAGAGTTGAACGATCCTTTACAAAGAGCAGACTTGAAACACTCTTTTTGTGGAATTTGCAAGTGGAGATTTCAGCCGCTTTGAGGTCAGTAGTAGAAAAGGAAATATCTTCGTAGAAAAACTAGACAGAAATGATTCTCAGAAACTCCTTTGTGATGTGTGTGTTCAACTCACAGAGTTTAACCTTTCTTTTCATAGAGCAGTTAGGAAACACTCTGTTTCTAAAGTCTGCAAGTGGATATTCAGACCTCTTTGAGGCCTTCGTTGGAAACGGGTTTTTTTCATATAAGGCTAGACAGAAGAATTCCCTGTAACTTCCTTGTGTTGTGTGTATTCAACTGACAGAGTTGAACTTTCATTTAGACAGAGCAGATTTGAAACACTCTTTTTGTGGAATTTACAAGTGGAGATTTCAAGCGCTTTGAGGCCAAAGGCAGAAAAGGAAATATCTTCGTATAAAAACTAGACAGAATCATTCTCAGAAACTCCTTTGTGATGTGTGCGTTCAACTCTCAGAGTTTAACTTTTCTTTTCATTCAGCGGTTTGGAAACACTCTGTTTGTAAAGTCTGCACGTGGAAATTTTGACCACTTAGAGGCCTTCGTTGGAAACGGGTTTTTTTCATGTAAGGCTAGACAGAAGAATTCCCAGTAACTTCCTTGTGTTGTGTGCATTCAACTCACAGAGTTGAACGTTCCCTTAGACAGAGCAGATTTGAAACACTCTATTTGTGCAATTTCCAAGTGTAGATTTCAAGCGCTTTAAGGTCAATGGCAGAAAAGGAAATATCTTCGTTTCAAAACTAGACAGAATCATTCCCACAAACTGCGTTGTGATGTGTTCGTTCATCTCACAGAGTTTAACCTTTCTTTTCATAGAGCAGTTAGGAAACAGTCTGTTTGTAAATTCTGTAAGTGGATATTCTGACATCTTGTGGCCTTCGTTGGAAACGGGATTTCTTCATATTCTGCTAGACAGAAGAATTCTCAGTAACTTCCTTGTGTTGTGTGTATTCAACTCACAGAGTTGAACGATCCTTTACACAGAGCAGACTTGAAACACTCTTTTTGTGGAATTTGCAAGTGGAGATTTCAGCCGCTTTGAGGTCAATAGTAGAAAAGGAAATATTTTCGTAGAAAAACTAGACAGAATGATTCTCAGAAACTCCTTTGTGATGTGTGCGTTCCACTCACAGAGTTTAACCTTTCTTTTCATAGAGCAGTTAGGAAACACTCTGTTTGTAAAGTCTGCACCTGGATATTTGGACTTCTTTGAGGCCTTCGTTGGAAACGGGTTTTTTTCATGAAAGGCTAGACAGAAGAATTCCCAGTAACTTCCTTGTGTTGTGTGTGTTCAACTCACAGAGTTGAACTTTCATTTACACAGAGCAGATTTGAAACACTCTTTTTGTGGAATTTGCAAATGGAGATTTCAAGCGCTTTGAGGAAAAAGGCAGAAAAGGGAATATCTTCGTATAAAAACTAGACAGAATCATTCTCAGAAAGTGCTCTGCGATGTGTGCGTTCAACTCTCAGAGTTTAACTTTTCTTTTCATTCAGCAGTTTGGAAACACTCTGTTTGTAAAGTCTGCACGTGGATAATTTGACCACTTAGAGGCCTTCGTTGGAAACGGGTTTTTTTCATGTAAGGCTAGACAGAAGAATTCCCAGTAACTTCCTTGCGTTGTGTACATTCAACTCACAGAGTTGAACGTTCCCTTAGACAGAGCAGATTTGAAACACTCTTTTTGTGCAATTGGCAAGTGGAGATTTCAAGCGCTTTAAGGTCAATGGCAGAAAAGGAAATATCTTCGTTTCAAAACTAGACAGAATCATTCCCACAAACTGCGTTGTGATGTGTTCGTTCAACTCACAGAGTTTAACCTTTCTTTTCATAGAGTAGTTAGGAAACAGTCTGTTTGTAAATTCTGTACGTGGATATTCTGACATCTTGTGGCCTTCGTTGGAAACGGGATTTCTTCATGTTCTGCTAGACAGAAGAATTCTGAGAATCTTCCTTGTGTTGTGTGTATTCAACTCACAGAGTTGAACGATGGTTTACACAGAGCAGATTTGAAACACTCTTTTTGTGGAATTTGCAAGTGGAGATTTCAGCCGCTTTGAGGTCAATGGTAGAAAAGGAAATATCTTCGTATAAAAACTAGACAGAATGATTCTCATAAACTCCTTTGTGATGTGTGCGTTCAAATCACAGAGTTTAACTTTTCTTTTCATAGAGCAGTTAGGAAACACTCTGTTTGTAAAGTCTGCAAGTGGATATTCAGACCTCTTTGAGGCCTTCGTTGGAAACGGGATTTCTACATATTATGCTAGACAGAAGAATTCCCAGTAACTTCCTTGTGTTGTGTGTGTTCAACTCACAGAGTTGAACTTTCATTTACACAGAGCAGATTTGAAACACTCTTTTTGTGGAATTTGCAAGTGGAGATTTCAAGCGCTTTGAGGCCAAAGGCAGAAAAGGAAATATCTTCGTATAAAAACTAGAGAGAATCATTCTCAGAAACTGCTCTGTGATGTGTGCGTTCAACTCTCCGAGTTTAACTTTTCTTTTCATTCAGCAGTTTGGAAACACTCTGTTTGTAAAGTCTGCACGTGGATAATTTGACCACTTAGAGGCCTTGTTTGGAAACGGATTTTTTTTCATGTAAGGCTAGACAGAAGAATTCCCAGTAACTTCCTTGTGTTGTGTACATTCAACTCACAGAGTTGAACGTTCCCTTAGACAGAGCAGATTTGAAACACTCTTTTTGTGCAATTGGCAAGTGGTGATTTCAGCCGCTTTGAGGTCAATGGTAGAAAAGGAAATATCTTCGTATAAAAACTAGACAGAATCATTCCCACAAACTGCGTTGTGATGCGTTCGTTCAACTCACAGAGTTTAACCTTTCTGTTCATAGAGCAGTTAGGAAACACTCTGTTTGTAAAGTCTGTAAGTGGATATTCTGACATCTTGTGGCCTTCGTTGGAAACGGGATTTCTTCATATTCTGCTAGACAGAAGAATTCTCAGAATCTTCCTTCAGTTGTGTGTATTCAACACACAGAGTTGAACGATGGTTTACACAGAGCAGATCTGAAACACTTTTTGTGGAATTTGGAAGTGGAGATTTCAGCTGCTTTGAGGTCAATGGCAGAAAAGGAAATATCTTCGTATAAAAACTAGACAGAATGATTCTCAGAAACTCCTTTGTGATGTGTGCGTTCAACTCACAGAGTTTAACCTTTCTTTTCATAGAGCAGTTAGGAAACACTCTGTTTGTACAGTCTGCAAGTGGATATTCTGACCTCCTTGAGGCCTTCGTTGGAAAAGGGATTTCTTCATATTCTGCTAGACAGAAGAATTCCCAGTAACTTCCTTGTGTTGTGTGTGTTCAACTCACAGAGTTGAACTTTCATTTACACAGAGCAGATTTGAAACACTCTTTTTGTGGAATTTGCAAGTGGAGATTTCAAGCGCTTTGAGGCCAAAGGCAGAAAAGGAAATATCTTCGTATAAAAACTAGACACAATCATTCTCAGAAACTGCTCTGTGATGTGTGCGTTCAACTCTCAGAGTTTAACTTTTCTTTTCATTCAGCAGTTTGGAAACACTCTGTTTGTAAAGTCTGCACGTGGATAATTTGACCACTTAGAGGCCTTCGTTGGAAACGGGTTTTTTTCATGTAAGGCTAGACAGAAGAATTCCCAGTAACTTCCTTGTGTTGTGTACATTCAACTCACAGAGTTGAACGTTCCCGTAGACAGAGCAGATTTGAAACACTCTTTTTGTGCAATTGGCAAGTGGAGATTTCAAGCGCTTTAAGGTCAATGGCAGAAAAGGAAATATCTTCGTTTCAAAACTAGACAGAATCATTCCCACAAACTGCGTTGTGATGTGTTCGTTCAACTCACAGAGTTTAACCTTTCTGTTCATAGAGCAGTTAGGAAACACTCTGTTTGTAAGGTCTGCAAGTGGATATTCAGACCTCCTAGAGGCCTTCGTTGGAAACGGGATTTCTTCATATTCTGCTAGACAGAAGAATTCCCAGTAACTTCCTTGTGTTGTGTGTGTTCAACTCACAGAGTTGAACTTTCATTTACACAGAGCAGATTTGAAACACTCTTTTTGTGGAATTTGCAAGTGGAGATTTCAGCTGCTTTGAGGTCCATGGTAGAAAAGGAAATATCTTCGTATAAAAACTAGACAGAATGATTCTGAGAAACTCCTTTCTGATGTGTGCGTTCAACTCACAGAGTTTAACCTTTCTTTTCATAGAGCAGTTAGGAAACACTCTGTTGGTAAAGTCTGCAAGTGGATATTCAGACCTCCTTGAGGCCTTCGTTGGAAACGGGATTTCTTCATATTATGCTAGACAGAAGAATTCTCAGTAACTTCCTTGTGTTGTGTGTATTCAACTGACAGAGTTGAACTTTCATTTAGAGAGAGCAGATTTGAAACACTGTTTTTGTGGAATTTGCAAGTGGAGATTTCAAGCGCTTTGGGGCCAAAGGCAGAAAAGGAAATATCTTCATATAAAAACTAGACAGAATCATTCTCAGAAACTGCTCTGTGATGTGTGCGTTCAACTCTCAGAGTTTAACTTTTCTCTTCATTCAGCAGTTTGGAAACACTCTGTTTGTAAAGTCTGCACGTGGATAATTTGACCACTTAGAGGCCTTCGTTGGAAACGGGTTTTTTTCATGTAAGGCTAGACAGAAGAATTCCCAGTAACTTCCTTGTGTTGTGTACATTCAACTCACAGAGTTGAACGTTCCCTTAGACAGAGCAGATTTGAAACACTCTTTTTGTGCAATTGGCAAGTGGTGATTTCAGCCGCTTTGAGGTCAATGGTAGAAAAGGAAATATCTTCGTATAAAAACTAGACAGAATGATTCTCAGAAACTTCACTGTGACGTGTGCGTTCAACTCACAGAGTTTAACCTTTCTTTTCATAGAGCAGTTAGGAAACACTCTGTTTGTAAACTCTGCAAGTGGATATTCAGACCTCTTTGAGGCCTTCGTTGGAAACGGGATTTCTTCATACTGTGCTAGACAGAAGAATTCTCAGTAACTTCCTTGTGTTGTGTGTATTCAACTCACTGAGTTGAACGATCCTTTACACAGAACATACTAGAAACACTCTTCTTGTGGAATTTGCAAGTGGAGATTTCAGCCGCTTTGAGGTCAATGGTAGAATAGGAAATATCTTCGTATAAAAATTAGATAGAATGATTCTCAGAAACTCCTTTGTGATGTGTGTGTTCAACTCACACAGTTTAACCTTTCTTTTCATAGAGCAGTTAGTAAACACTCTGTTTATAAAGTCTGCAAGTGGATATTCAGACCCCTTTGAGGCCTTCGTTGGAAACGGGGTTTCTTCATATTCTGCTAGACAGAAGAATTCCCAGTAACTTCCTTGTGTTGTGTGTGTTCAACTCACAGAGTTGAACTTTCATTTAGACAGAGCAGATTTGAAACACTCTTTTTGTGGAATTTGCAAATGGAGATTTCAAGCGCTTTGAGGCCAAAGGCAGAAAAGGAAATATCTTCGTATAAAAACTAGACAGAATCATTCTCAGAAACTGCTCTGCGATGTGTGCGTTCAACTCTCAGAGTTTAACTTTGCTTTTCATTCAGCAGTTTGGAAACACTCTGTTTGTAAAGTCTGCACGTGGATAATTTGACCACTTAGAGGCCTTCGTTGGAAACGGGTTTTTTTCATGTAAGGCTAGACAGAAGAATTCCCAGTAACTTCTATGTGTTGTGTGCATTCAACTCACAGAGATGAATGTTCCCTTAGACAGAGCAGATTTGAAACACTCTATTTGTGCAATTTGCAAGTGTAGATTTCAAGCGCTTTAAGGTCAATGGCAGAAAAGGAAATATCTTCGTTTCAAAACTAGACAGAATAATTCCCACAAACTGCGTTGTGATGTGTTCGTTCAACTCACAGAGTTTAACCTTTCTTTTCATAGAGCAGTTAGGAAACACTCTGTTGGTAAATTCTGTAAGTGGATATTCTGACATCTTGTGGCCTTCGTTGGAAACGGGATTTCTTCATATTCTGCTAGACAGAAGAATTCTCAGTAACTTCCTTGTGTTGTGTGTATTCAACTCACAGAGTTGAACGATCCTTTACAGAGAGCAGACTTGAAACAGTCTTTTTGTGGAATTTGCAAATGGAGATTTCAGCCGCTTTGAGGTCAATGGTAGAAAAGGAAATATCTTCGTATAAAGACTAGACAGAATGATTCTCAGAAACTCCTTTGTGATGTGTGCAGTTCAACTCACAGAGTTTAACCTTTCTTTTCATAGAGCAGTTAGGAAACACTCTGTTTGTAAAGTCTCCAAGTGGATATTCAGACCTCTTTGAGGCCTTCGTTGGAAACGGGTTTTTTTCATATAAGGCTAGACAGAAGAATTCTCAGTAACTTCCTTGTCTTGTGTGTATTCAACTCACAGAGTTGAACGATACTTTACACAGAGCAGACTTGAAACCCACCTTTTGTGGAATTTGCAAGTGGAGATTTCAGCCGCTTTGAGGTCAATGGTAGAATACGAAATATCTTCCTATAGAAACTAGACAGAATGATTCTCAGAAACTCCTTTGTGATGTGTGCGTTCAACTCACAGAGTTTAACCTTTCTTTTCATAGAGCAGTTAGGAAACACTCTGTTTGTAAAGTCTGCAAGTGGATATTCAGAGCTCCTTGAGGCCTTCGTTGGAAATGGGATTTCTTCATATTATGCTAGACAGAAGAATTCTCAGTAACTTCCTTGTGTTGTGTGTATTCAACTGACAGAGTTGAACTTTCATTTAGAGAGAGCAGATTTGAAACACTGTTTTTGTGGAATTTGCAAGTGGAGATTTCAAGCGCTTTGGGGCCAAAGGCAGAAAAGGAAATATCTTCGTATAAATACTAGACAGAATCATTCTCAGAAACTGCTGCGTGATGTGTGCGTTCAACTCTCAGAGTTTAACTTTTCTTTTCATTCAGCGGTTTTGGAAACACTCTGTTTGTAAAGTCTGCACGTGGAAATTTTGACCACTTAGAGGCCTTCGTTGGAAACGGGTTTTTTTCATGTAAGGCTAGACAGAAGAATTCCCAGTAACTTCCTTGTGTTGTGTACATTCAACTCACAGAGTTGAACGTTCCCTTAGACAGAGCAGATTTGAAACACTTTTTTTGTGCAATTGGCAAGTGGAGATTTCAAGCGCTTTAAGGTCAATGGCAGAAAAGGAAATATCTTCGTTTCAAAACTAGACAGAATCATTCCCACAAACTGCGTTGTGATGTGTTCGTTCAACTCACAGAGTTTAACCTTTCCGTTCATAGACCAGTTAGGAAACACTCTGTTTGTAAAGTCTGTAAGTGGATATTCTGACATCTTGTGGCCTTCGTTGGAAACGGGATTTCTTCATATTCTGCTAGACAGAAGAATTCTCAGAAACTTCCTTGTGTTGTGTGTTTTCAACTCACAGAGTTCAACGATCCTTTACACAGAGGAGACTTGAAACACTCTTTTTGTGGAATTTGCAAGTGGAGATTTCAGCCGCTTTGAGGTCAATGGTAGAATAGGAAATATCTTCCTATAGAAACTAGACAGAATGATTCTCAGAAACTTCTTTGTGATGTGTGTGTTCAACTCACAGAGTTTAACCTTTCTTTTCATAGAGCAGTTAGGAAACACTCTGTTTGTAAACTCTGCAAGTGGATACTCAGACCTCTTTGAGGCCTTCGTTGGAAACGGGATTTCTTCATACTATGCTAGACAGAAGAATTCTCAGTAACTTCCCTTGTGTTGTGTGTATTCAACTGACAGAGTTGAACTTTCATTTAGAGAGAGCAGATTTGAAACACTGTTTTTGTGGAATTTGCAAGTGGAGATTTCAAGCGCTTTGGGGCCAAAGGCACAAAAGGAAATATCTTCGTATAAAAACTAGACAGAATCATTTTCAGAAACTGCACTGCGATGTGTGCGTTCAACTCTCAGAGTTTAACTTTTCTTTTCATTCAGCAGTTTGGAAACACTCTGTTTGTAAAGTCTGCACGTGGATAATTTGACCACTTAGAGGCCTTCGTTGGAAACGGGTTTTTTTCATGTAAGGCTAGACAGAAGAATTCTCAGTAACTTCCTTGTGTTGTGTGTATTCAACTCACAGAGTTGAACGATCCTTTACACAGAGCAGACTTGAAAGACTCTTTTTGTGGAATTTGCAAGTGGAGATTTCAGCCGCTTTGAGGTCAATAGTAGAAAAGGAAATATCTTCGTAGAAAAACTAGACAGAATGATTCTCAGAAACTCCTTTGTGATGTGTGTGTTCAACTCACAGAGTTTAACCTTTCTTTTCATAGAGCAGTTAGGAAACACTCTGTTTGTAAAGTCTGCAAGTGGATAATCAGACCTCTTTGAGGCCTTCGTTGGAAACGGGATTTCTTCATATTATGCTAGACAGAAGAATTCCCAGTAACTTCCTTGTGTTGTGTGTGTTCAACTCACAGAGTTGAACTTTCATTTACACAGAGCAGATTGGAAACACTCTTTTTGTGGAATTTGCAAGTGGAGATTTCAAGCGGTTTGAGGCCAAAGGCAGAAAAGGAAATATCTTCGTATAAAAACTAGACAGAATCATTCTCAGAAACTGCTCTGCGATGTGTGCGTTCAACTCTCAGAGTTTAACTTTTCTTTTCATTCAGCAGTTTGGAAACACTCTGTTTGTAAAGTCTGCACGTGGATATTTTGACCACTTAGAGGCCTTCGTTGGAAACGGGTTTCTTTCCTGTAAGGCTAGACAGAAGAATTCCCAGTAACTTCCTTGTGTTGTGTGCATTCAACTCACAGAGTTGAACGTTCCCTTAGACAGAGCAGATTTGAAACACTCTATTTGTGCAATTTGCAAGTGTAGATTTCAAGCGCATTAAGGTCAATGGCAGAAAAGGAAATATCTTCGTTTCAAAATTAGACAGAATCATTCCCACAAACTGCGTTGTGATGTGTTCGTTCATCTCACAGAGTTTAACCTTTCTTTTCATAGAGCAGTTAGGAAACAGTCTGTTTGTAAATTCTGTAAGTGGATATTCTGAGCATCTTGTGCCCTTCATTGGAAACGGGATTTCTTCATGTTCTGCTAGACAGAAGAATTCTCAGTAACTTCCTTGTGTTGTGTGTATTCAAATCACAGAGTTCAACGATCCTTTACACAGAGCAGACTTGAAACACTCTTTTTGTGAAATTTGCAAGTGGAGATTTCAGCCGCTTTGAGTTCAATGGTAGAATAGGAAATATCTTCCTATAGAAACTAGACAGAATGATTCTCAGAAACTCCTTTGTGATGTGTGCGTTCAACTCACAGAGTTTACCCTTTCTTTTCATAGAGCAGTTAGGAAACACTCTGTTTGTAAAGTCTGCAATTGGATATTCAGACATCCTTGAGGCTTTCGTTGGAAACAGGGATTTCTTCATATTCTGCTAGAAAGAAGAATTCTCAGTAACTTCCTTGTGTTGTGTGTATTCAACTGACAGAGTTGAACGATCCTTTACACAGAGCAGACTTGAAACACTCTTTTTGTGGAATTTGCAAGGGGAGATTTCAAGCGCTTTGGGGCCAAAGGCAGAAAAGGACATATCTTCGTATAAAAACTAGACAGAATCATTCTCAGAAACTGCTCTGCGATGTGTGCATTCAACTCTCAGAGTTTAATTTTTCTTTTCATTCAGCAGTTTGGAAACATTCTCTTTGTAAAGTCTGCACGTGGATATTTTGACCACTTAGAGGCCTTCGTTGGAAACGGGTTTTATTCTTGTAAGGCTAGACAGAAGAATTCCCAGTAACTTCCTTGTGTTGTGTACATTCAACACACAGATTTGAACGTTCCCTTAGACAGAGCTGATTTGAAACACTCTTTTTGTGCAATTGGCAAGTGGAGATTTCAAGCGCTTTAAGGTCAATGGCAGAAAAGTAAATATCTTCGTTTCAAAACTAGACAGAATCATTCCCACAAACTGCGTTGTGATGTGTTCGTTCATCTCACAGAGTTTAACCTTTCTTTTCATAGAGCAGTTAGGAAACACTGTGTTTGTAAATTCTGTAAGTGGATATTCTGACATCTTGTGGCCTTCGTTGGAAACGGGATTTCTTCATATTCTGCTAGACAGAAGAATTCTCAGTAACTTCCTTGTGTTGTGTGTATTCAACTCACAGAGTTGAACGATCCTTTACACAGAGCAGACTTGAAACACTCTTTTTGTGGAATTTGCAAGTGGAGATTTCAGCCACTTTGATGTCAATGGTAGAAAAGGAAATATCTTCGTATAAAGACTAGACAGAGTGATTCTCAGAAACTCCTTTGTGATATCTGCGTTCAACTCACAGAGTTCAACCTTTCTTTTCATAGAGCAGTTAGGAAACACTCTGTTTGTAAAGTCTGCAATTGGATATTGAGACCTCCTTGAGGCCTTCGTTGGAAACGGGATTTCTTCATATTCTGCTATACAGAAGAATTCTCAGAAACTTCCTTGTGTTGTGTGTATTCAACTCACAGAGTTGAACGATCCTTTACACAGAGCAGACTTGAAACACTCTTTTTGTGGAATTGGCAAGTGGAGATTTCAGCTGCTTTGAGGTCAATGGTAGAAAAGGAAATATCTTCGTATAAAAACTAGACAGAATGATTCTCAGAAACTCCTTTGTGATGTGTGCGTTCAACTCACAGAGCTTAACCTTTTTTTTCATAGAGCAGTTGGGAAACACTCTGTTTGTAAAGTCTGCAAGTGGATATTCAGACCTCCTTGAGGCCTTCGTTGGAAACGGGATTTCTTCATATTATGCTAGACAGAAGAATTCTCAGGAACTTCCTTGTGTTGTGTGTATTCAACTCACAGAGTTGAACGATCCTTTACACAGAGCAGACTTGAAACACTCTTTTTGTGGAATTTGCAAGTGGAGATTTCAGCCGCTTTGAGTTCAATGGTAGAATAGGAAATATCTTCCTATAGAAAGTACACAGAATGATTCTCAGAAACTCCTTTGTGATGTGTGCGTTCACCTCACAGAGTTCAACCTTTCTTTTCATAGAGCAGTTGGGAAACACTCTGTTTGTAAAGTCTGCAAGTGGATATTCAGACTTCTTTGAGGCCTTCGTTGGAAGCGGGATTTCTTCATATTCTGCTAGACAGAAGAATTCTCAGTAACTACCTTGTGTTGTGTGTATTCAACTGACAGAGTTGAACTTTCATTTAGAGAGAGCAGATTTGAAACACTGTTTTTGTGGAATTTGCAAGTGGAGATTTCAAGCGCTTTGGGGCCAAAGGCAGAAAAGGAAATATCTTCGTATAAAAACTAGACAGAATCATTCTCAGAAACTGCTGCGTGATGTGTGCGTTCAACTCTCAGAGTTTAACTTTTCTTTTCATTCAGCGGTTTGGAAACACTCTGTTTGTAAAGTCTGCACGTGGAAATTTTGACCACTTAGAGGCCTTCGTTGGAAACGGGTTTTGTTCATGTAAGGCTAGACAGAAGAATTCCCAGTAACTTCCTTGTGTTGTGTGCATTCAACTCACAGAGTTGAACGTTCCCTTAGACAGAGCAGATTTGAAACACTCTATTTGTGCAATTTGCAAGTGTAGTTTTCAAGCTCTTTTAGGTCAACGGCAGAAAAGGAAATATCTTGGTTTCAAAACTAGACAGAAATCATTCCCACAAACTGCGTTGTAATGTGTTCGTTCAACTCACAGAGTTTAACCTTTCTGTTCATAGAGCAGTTAGGAAACACTCTGTTTGTAAAGTCTGTAAGTGGATATTCTGACATCTTGTGGCCTTCGTTGGAAACGGGATTTCTTCATATTCTGCTAGACAGAAGAATTCTCAGTAACTTCCTTGTGTTGTGTGTATTCAACTCACAGACTTGAACGATCCTTTACACAGAGCAGACTTGAAACACTCTTTTTGTGGAATTTGCAAGTGGAGATTTCAGCCGCTTTGAGGTCAATGGTAGAAAAGGAAATATCTTCGTATAAAAACTAGACAGAATGATTCTCAGAAACTTCTTTGTGATGTGTGCGTTCAACTCACAGAGTTTAACCTTTCTTTTCATAGAGCAGTTAGGAAACCCTCTGTTTGTAAACTCTGCAAGTGGATATTCAGACCTCTTTGAGGCCTTCGTTGGAAACGGGATTTCTTCATACTATGCTAGACAGAAGAATTCTCAGTAACTTCCTTGTGTTGTGTGTATTCAACTGACACAGTTGAACTTTCATTTAGACAGAGCAGATTTGAAACACTCTTTTTGTGGAATTTGCAATTGGAGATTTCAAGCGCTTTGAGGCCAAAGGCAGAAAAGGAAATATCTTCGTATAAAAACTAGACAGAATCATTCTCAGAAACTGCTGCGTGATGTGTGTGTTCAACTCTCAGAGTTTAACTTTCCTTTTCATTCAGCGGTTTGGAAACACTCTGTTTGTAAAGTCTGCACGTGGATATTTTGACCACTTAGAAGCCTTCGTTGGAAACGGGTTTTTTTGTATGTAAGGCTAGACAGAAGAATTCCCAGTAACTTCCTTGTGTTGTGTGCATTCAACTCACAGAGTTGAACGTTCCCTTAGACAGAGCAGATTTGAAACACTCTATTTGTCCAATTTGCAAGTGTAGATTTCAAGCGCTTTAAGGTCAACGGCAGAAAAGGAAATATCTTCGTTTCAAAACTAGACAGAATCATTCCCACAAACTGCGTTGTGATGTGTACGTTCAACTCACAGAGTTTAACCTTTCTGTTCATAGAGCAGTTAGGAAACATTCTGTTTGTAAAGTCTGTAAGTGGATATTCTGACATCTTGTGGCCTTCGTTGGAAACGGGATTTCTTCATATTCTGCTAGACAGAAGAATTCTCAGTAACTTCCTTCTGTTGTGTGTATTCAACTCACAGAGTTGAACGATCCTTTACACAGAGCAGATTTGAAACACTCTTTTTGTGGAATTTGCAAGTGGAGATTTCAGCCGCTTTGAAGTCAAATGTAGAAAAGGAAATATCTTCCTATAAAAACTAGACAGAATGATTCTCAGAAACTCCTTTTTGATGTGTGCGTTCAACTCACAGAGTTTAACCTTTCTTTTCATAGAGCAGTTAGGAAACACTCTGTTTGTAAAGTCTGCAAGTGGATATTCAGACCTCTTTGAGGCCTTCGTTGGAAACGGGTTTTTTTCATATAAGGCTAGACAGAAGAATTCCCAGTAACTTCCTTGTGTTGTGTGTGTTCAACTCACAGAGTTGAACTTTCATTTACACAGAGCAGATTTGAAACACTCTTTTTGTGGAATTTGCAAGTGGAGATTTCAAGCGCTTTGGGGCCAATGGCAGAAAAGGAAATATCTTCGTATAAAAACTAGACAGAAATCATTCTCAGAAACTGCTCTGCGATGTGTGCGTTCAACTCTCAGAGTTTAACTTTTCTTTTCATTCAGCAGTTTGGAAACACTCTGTTTGTAAAGTCTGCACGTGGATATTTTGACCACTTAGAGGCCTTCTTTGGAAACGGGTTTTTTTCATGTAAGGCTAGACAGAAGAATTCCCAGTAACTTCCTTGTGTTGTGTATATTCAACTCACAGAGTTGAACGTTCCCTTAGACAGAGCAGATTTGAAACACTCTTTTTGTGCAATTGGCAAGTGGAGATTTCAAGCGCTTTAAGGTCAATGGCAGAAAAGGAAATATCTTCGTTTCAAAACTAGACAGAATGATTCTCAGAAACTCCTTTGTGATGTGTGCGTTCAACTCACAGAGTTTAACCTTTCTTTTCATAGAGCAGTTAGGAAACACTCTGTTTGTAAAGTCTGCAAGTAGATATTCAGACCTCCTTGAGGCCTTCGTTGGAAACGTGATTTCTTCATATTATGCTAGACAGAAGAATTCTCAGTAACTTCCTTGTGTTGCGTGTATTCAACTCACAGATTTGAACGATCCTTTACAAAGAGCAGACTTGAAACACTCTTTTTGTGGAATTTGCAAGTGGAGATTTCAGCCGCTTTGAGGTCAATGGTAGAATAGGAAATATCTTCCTATAGAAACTAGACAGAATGATTCTCAGAAACTCCTTTGTGATGTGTGCGTTCAACTCACAGAGTTTAACCTTTCTTTTCATAGAGCAGTTAGGAAACACTCTGTTTGTAAAGTCTGCACGTGGATATTTGGACTTCCTTGAGGCCTTCGTTGGAAACGGTTTTTTTTTCATGTAAGGCTAGACAGAAGAATTCTCAGTAACTTCCCTTGTGTTGTGTGTATTCAACTGACAGAGTTGAACTTTCATTTGGAGAGAGCAGATTTGAAACACTGTTTTTGTGGAATTTGCAAGTGGAGATTTCAAGCGCTTTGGGGCCAAAGGCAGAAAAGGAAATATCTTCGTATAAAAACTAGACAGAATCATTCTCAGAAACTGGCTCTGCGATGTGTGCGTTCAACTCTCAGAGTTTAACTTTTCTTTTCATTCAGCAGTTTGGAAACACTCTGTTTGTAAAGTCTGCACGTGGATATTTTGACCACTTAGAGGCCTTCGTTGGAAACGGGTTTCTTTCCTGTAAGGCTAGACAGAAGAATTCCCAGTAACTTCCCTTGTGTTGTGTACATTCAACTCACAGAGTTGAACGTTCCCTTAGACAGAGCAGATTTGAAACACTCTTTTTGTGCAATTGGCAAGTGGAGATTTCAAGCGCGTTGAGGTCAATGGCAGAAAAGGAAATATCTTCGTTTCAAAACTAGACAGAATCATTCCCACAAACTGCGTTGTGATGTGTTCGTTCAACTCACAGAGTTTAACCTTTCTTTTCATAGAGCAGTTAGGAAACAGTCTGTTTGAAAATTCTGTAAGTGGATATTCTCACATCTTGTGGCCTTCGTTGGAAACGGGATTTCTTCATATTCTGCTAGACAGAAGAATTCTCAGTAACTTCCTTGTGTTGTGTTTATTCAACTCACAGAGTTGAATGATCCTTTACACAGAGCAGACTTGAAACACTCTTTTTGTGGAATTTGCAAGTGGAGATTTCAGCCGCTTTGAGGTCAATAGTAGAAAAGGAAATATCTTCGTAGAAAAACTAGACAGAATGATTCTCAGAAACTCTTTTGTGATGTGTGCGTTCAACTCACAGAGTTTAACATTTCTGTTCATAGAGCCGTTAGGAAACACTCTGTTTGTAAAGTCTGCAAGTGGATATTCACACCTCCTTGAGACCTTCGTTGGAAACGGGATTTCTTCATATTCTGCTAGACAGAAGAATTTTCAGTAACTTCCTTGTGTTGTGTGTATTCAACTGACAGAGTTGAACTTTCATTTAGACAGAGCAGATTTGAAACACTCTTTTTGTGGAATTTGCAAGTGGAGATTTCAAGCGCTTTGAGGCCAAAGGCAGAAAAGGAAATATGTTCGTATAAAAACTAGACAGAATCATTCTCAGAAACTGCTCTGCGATGTGTGTGTTCAACTCTCAGAGTTTAACTTTTCTTTTCCTTCAGCAGTTTGGAAACACTCTGTTTGTGAAGTCTGCACGTGGATATTTTCACCACTTAGAGGCCTTCGTTGGAAACGGGTTTTTTTCCTGTAAGGCTAGACAGAAGAATTCCCAGTAACTTCCTTGTGTTGTGTACATTCAACTCACAGAGTTGAACGTTCCCTTAGACAGAGCAGATTTGAAACACTCTTTTTGAGCAATTGGCAAATGGAGATTTCAAGCGCTTTAAGGTCAATGGCAGAAAAGGAAATATCTTCGTTTCAAAACTAGACAGAATGATTCTCATAAACTCCTTTGTGATGTGTGCGTTCAACTCACAAAGTTTAACTTTTCTTTTCATAGGGCAGTTAGGAAACACTCTGTTTGTAAAGTCTGCAAGTGGATATTCAGACCTCTTTGAGGCCTTCGTTGGAAACGGGATTTCTTCATATTATGCTAGACAGAAGAATTCTCAGTAACTTCCTTGTGTTGTGTGTATTCAACTCACAGAGTTGAACGATGCTTTACACAGAGCAGACTTGAAACATTCTTTTTGTGGAATTTGCAACTGGAGATTTCAGCCGCTTTGAGGTCAATGGTAGAATAGGAAATATCTTCCTATAGAAACTAGACAGAATGATTTTGAGAAACTCCTTTGTGATGTGTGCGTTCAACTCACAGAGTTTAACCTTTCTTTTCATAGAGCAGTTAGGAAACACTCTGTTTGTAAAGTCTGCAAGTGGATATTCAGACATCCTTGAGGCTTTTGTTGGAAACGGGATTTCTTCATATTCTGCTAGAAAGAAGAATTCTCAGAAACTTCCTTCTGTTGTGTGTTTTCAACTCACAGAGTTGAACGAACCTTTACACAGAGTAGACTTGAAACACTCTTTTTGTGGAATTGGCAAGTGGAGATTTCAGCCGCTTTGAGGTCAATGGTAGAAAAGGAAATATCTTCGTATAAAAACTAGACAGAATAATTCTCAGAAACTCCTTTGTGATGTGTGCGTTCAACTCACGGAGTTTAACCTTTCTTTTCATAGAGCAGTTAGGAAACACTCTGTTTGTAAAGTCTGCAAGTGGATATTCAGACCTCTTTGAGGCCTTCGTTGGAAACGGGATTTCTTCATATTATGCTAGACACAAGAATTCCCAGTAACTTCCTTGTGTTGTGTGTGTTCAACTCACAGAGTTGAACTTTCATTTACCCAGAGCAGATTTGAAACACTCTTTTTGTGGAATTTGCAAGTGGAGATTTCAAGAGCTTTGAGGCCAAAGGCAGAAAAGGAAATATCTTCGTATAAAAACTAGACAGAATCATTCTCAGAAACTGCTCTGCGATGTGTGCGTTCAACTCTCAGAGTTTAACTTTTCTTTTCATTCAGCAGTTTGGAAACACTCTGTTTGTAATGTCTGCACGTGGATAATTTGACCACTTAGAGGCATTCGTTGGAAACGGGTTTTTTTCATGTAAGGCTAGACAGAAGAATTCCCAGTAACTTCCTTGTGTTGTGTGCATTCAACTCACAGAGTTGAACGTTCCCTTAGACAGAGCAGATTTGAAACACTCTATTTGTGCAGTTTGCAAGTGTAGATTTCAAGCGCTTTAAGGTCAATGGCAGAAAAGGAAATATCTTCGTTTCAAAACTTGACAGAAATCATTCCCACAAACTGCGTTGTGATGTGTGCGTTCAACTCAAAGAGTTTAACCTTTCTTTTCATAGAGCAGTTAGGAAACACTCTGTTTGTAAAGTCTGCAAGTGGATATTCAGACCTCCTTGAGGCCTTCGTTGGAAACGGGATTTCTTCATATTCTGCTAGACAGAAGAATTCTCAGTAACTTCCTTGTGTTGTGTGTATTCAACTCACAGAGTTGAATGATCCTTTACGCAGAACAGACTTGAAACACTCTTGTTGTGGAATTTGCAAGTGGAGAATTCAGCCGCTTTGAGTTCAACGGTAGAATAGGAAATATCTTCCTATAGAAACTAGACAGAACGATTCTCAGAAACTCCTTTGTGATGTGTGCGTTCAACTCACAGAGTTTAACCTTTCTTTTCATAGAGCAGTTAGGAAGCACTCTGTTTGTAAAGTCTGCAAGTGGATATTCAGACCTCTTTGAGGCCTTCGTTGGAAACGGGATTTCTTCCTATTCTGCTAGACAGAAGAATTCTCAGTAACTTCCTTGTGTTGTGTGTATTCAAATGACAGAGTTGAACTTTCATTTAGAGAGAGCAGATTTGAAACACTGTTTTTGTGGAATTTGCAAGTGAAGATTTCAAGCGCTTTGGGGCCAAAGGCAGAAAAGGAAATATCTTCGTATAAAAACTAGACAGAATCATTCTCAGAAACTGCTCTGTGATGTGTGCGTACAACTCTCAGAGTTTAACTTTTCTTTTCATTCAGCAGTTTGGAAACACTCTGTAAAGTCTGCACGTAGATATTTTGACCACTTAGAGGCCTTCGTTGGAAACGGGTTTTTTTCATGTAAGGCTAGACAGAAGAATTCCCAGTAACTTCCTTGTGTTGTGTGCATTCAACTCACAGAGTTGAACGTTCCCTTAGACAGAGCAGATTTGAAACACTCTATTTGTGCAATTTGCAAGTGTAGATTTCAAGCGCTTTCAGGTCAATGGCAGAAAAGGAAATATCTTCGTTTCAAAACTAGACAGAATCATTCCCACAAACTGCGTTGTGATGTGTTCGTTCAACTCACACAGCAGTTAGGAAACCAACTCACCTTTCTTTTCATAGAGCAGTTAGGAAACACTCTGTTGGTAAATTCTGTAAGTGGATATTCTGACATCTTGTGGCCTTCGTTGGAAACGGGATTTCTTCATATTCTGCTAGACAGAAGAATTCTCAGTAACTTCCTTGTGTTGTGTGTATTCAACTCACAGAGTTGAACGATCCTTTACACAGAGCAGACTTTAAACACTCTTTTTGTGGAATTTGCAAGTGGAGATTTCAGCCGCTTTGAGGTCAATAGTAGAAAAGGAAATATCTTCGTAGAAAAACTAGAAAGAATGATTCTCAGAAACTCCTTTGTGATGTGTGTGTTCTACTCACAGAGTTTAACCTTTCTTTTCATAGAGCAGTTAGTAAACACTCTGTTTGTAAAGTCTGCAAGTGGATATTCAGACCCCTTTGAGGCCTTCGTTGGAAACGGGATTTCTTCATATTATGCTAGACAGAAGAATTCTCAGTAACTTCCTTGTGTTGTGTGTATTCAACTGACAGAGTTGAACTTTCATTTAGAGAGAGCAGATTTGAAACACTGTTTTTGTGGAATTTGCAAGTGGAGATTTCAAGCGCTTTGGGGCCAAAGGCAGAAAAGGAAATATGTTCGTATAAAAACTAGACAGAATCATTCTCAGAAACTGCTCTGCGATGTGTGAGTTCAACTCTCAGAGTTTAACTTTGCTTTTCATTCAGCAGTTTGGAAACACTCTGTTTGTAAAGTCTGCACGTGGATATTTTGACCACTTAGAGGCCTTCGTTGGAAACGGGTTTTTTTCATGTAAGGCTAGACAGAAGAATTCCCAGTAACTTCCTTGTGTTGTGTACATTCAACTCACAGAGTTGAACGTTCCCTTAGACAGAGCAGATTTGAAACACTCTTTTTGTGCAATTGGCAAGTGGAGATTTCAAGCGCTTTGAGGTCAATGGCAGAAAAGGAAATATCTTCGTTTCAAAACTAGACAGAACGATTCTCAGAAACTCCTTTGTGATGTGTGCGTTCAACTCACAGAGTTTAACCTTTCTTTTCATAGAGCAGTTAGGAAACACTCTGTTTGTAAAGTCTGCAAGTGGATATTCAGACCTCTTTGTGGCCTTCGTTGGAAACGGGATTTCTTCATATTCTGCTAGACAGAAGAATTCTCAGTAACTTCCTTGTGTTGTGTGTATTCAACTCACAGAGTTGAACGATCCTTTACACAGAGCAGACTTGAAACACTCTTTTTGTGGAATTTGCAAGTGGAGATTTCAGCCGCTTTGAGGTCAATAGTAGAAAAGGTAATATCTTCGTAGAAAAACTAGACAGAATGATTCTCACAAACTCCTTTGTGATGTGTGTGTTCAACTCACAGAGTTTAACCTTTCTTTTCTTAGAGCAGTTAGGAAACACTCTCTTTGTAAAGTCTGCAAGTGGATATTCAGACCTCTTTGAGGCCTTCGTTGGAAACGGGTTTTTTTCATATAAGGCTAGACAGAATAATTCTCAGTAACTTCCTTGTGTTGTGTGTATTCAACTGTCAGAGTTGAACGATCCTTTACAGAGAGCAGACTTGAAGCACTCTTTTTGTGGAATTTGCAAGTGGAGATTTCAGCCGCTTTGAGGTCAATGGTAGAATAGGAAATATCTTCCTATAGAAACTAGACAGAATGATTCTCAGAAACTCCTTTGTGATGTGTGCGTTCAACTCACAGAGTTTAACTTTTCTTTTCATAGAGCAGTTAGGAAACACTCTGTTTGTAAAGTCTGCAAGTGGATATTCAGACGTCTTTGAGGCCTTCGTTGGAAACGGGATTTCTTCATATTATGCTAGACAGAAGAATTCTCAGTAACTTCCTTGTGTTGTGTGTATTCAACTCACAGAGTTGAACGATGCTTTACACATAGCAGACTTGAAACACTCTTTTTGTGGAATTTGCAAGTGGAGATTTCAGCCGCTTTGAGGTCAATGGTAGAAAAGGAAATATCTTCGTATAAAGACTAGACAGAATGATTCTCAGAAACTCCTTTGTGATGTGTGCGTTCAACTCACAGAGTTTAACCTTTCTTTTCATAGAGCAGTTAGGAAACACTCTGTTTGTAAAGTCTGCAAGTGGATATTCAGACCTCTTTGAGGCCTTCGTTGGAAACGGGTTTTTTTCTTATAAGGCTAGACAGAAGAATTCTCAGTAACTTCCTTGTGTTGTGTGTATTCAACTCACAGAGTTGAACGATCCTTTACACAGAGCAGACTTGAAACACTCTTTTTCTGGAATTTGCAAGCGGAGATTTCAGCTGCGTTGAGGTCAATGGTAGAAAAGGAAATATCTTCGTATAAAAACTAGACAGAATGATTCTCAGAAACTCCTTTGTGATGTGTGCGTTCAACTCACAGAGTTTAACCTTTCTGTTCATAGAGCAGTTAGGAAACACTCTGTTTGTAAAGTCTGCAAGTGGATATTCAGACCTCTTTGAGACCTTCGTTGGAAACGGGATTTCCTCATATTCTGCTAGACAGAAGAATTCCCAGTAACTTCCTTGTGTTGTGTGTGTTCAACTCACAGAGTTGAACTTTCATTTACACAGAGCAGATTTGAAACACTCTTTTTGTGGAATTTGCAAGTGGAGATGTCAAGCGCTTTGAGGCCAAAGGCAGAAAAGGAAATATCTTCGTATAAAAACTAGACAGAATCATTCTCAGAAACTGCTGCGTGATGTGTGCGTTCAACTCTCAGAGTTTAACTTTTCTTTTCATTCAGCGGTTTGGAAACACTCTGTTTGTAAAGTCTGCACGTGGATATTTTGACCACTTAGAGGCCTTCGTTGGAAACGGGTTTTTTGCATGTAAGGCTAGACAGAAGAATTCTCAGTAACTTCCTTGTGTTGTGTGTATTCAACTCACAGAGTTGAACGTTCCCTTAGACAGAGCAGATTTGAAACACTCTATTTGTGCAATTTGCAAGTGTAGTTTTCAAGCTCTTTAAGGTCAACGGCAGAAAAGGAAATATCTTCGTTTCAAAACTAGACAGAATCATTCCCGCAAACTGCGTTGTGATGTGTTCGTTCAACTCACAGAGTTTAACCTTTCTGTTCATAGAGCAGTTAGGAAACACTCTGTTTGTAAAGTCTGTAAGTGGATATTCTGACATCTTGTGGCCTTCGTTGGAAACGGGATTTCTTCATATTCTGCTAGACAGAAGAATTCTGAGAAACTTCCTTGTGTTGTGTGTTTTCAACTCACAGAGTTGAACGATGCTTTACACAGAGTAGACTTGAAACACTGTTTTTGTGTAATTTGCAAGTGGAGATTTCAGCCGCTTTGAGGTCAATGGTAGAAAAGGAAATATCTTCGAATAAAAACTAGACAGAATGATTCTCAGAATCTTCTTTGTGATGTGTGCGTTCAACTCACAGAGTTTAACCTTTCTTTTCATAGAGCAGTTAGGAAACACTCTGTTTGTATACTCTGCAAGTGGATATTCAGTCCTCATTGAGGCCTTCGTTGGAAACGGGATTTCTTCATACTATGCTAGACAGAAGAATTCCCAGTAACTTCCTTGTGTTGTGTGTGTTCAACTCACAGAGTTGAACTTTCATTTACACAGAGCAGATTTGAAACACTCTTTGTGTGGAATTTGCAAGTGGAGATTTCAAGCGCTTTGAGGCCAA